>NC_000012.12:100187400-100490431 GCF_000001405.40 Homo sapiens | reverse complement strand
TGGTCTTTAAAAATAGGATATTACAGCTCTGTGACTCTGACTTCAGGTTTCCCTCTGTGCTCTCCTTGTCTCACATCTGTCTTTTTTAACCTTGAGCCATGTTCAGCAAGCTCCCCCGTACTTCCACTGCACATTACAGTTTTTTAATATTTTCCAGGCACACTCATCTTCATTTTGGATTCCTGTGATATATTTTCTTCAATACATTCATATAAACTTGGCACCTTCAAATTAAGGGCCTGGCATACAGTCAGCCCTCAAGAAATGTTGGCTCTATTAAATTATCTGCATTTATTGTTTTTCTTGCTTAGTTCTGCCAAATTCTATGACATTTGACTTGCTCTTCCTGGAGAAATGTTATAAGCCCTATTGGCACAAAAGCTTAGGACATAATTTATCACTTGCTCTCCCAAATGAAAAGTCCAGTTCCCCTAATTCTGCATCATTTAAGTTATTATCCCTGATTGGAGACCTACCATGTGAATGCCCCTGATTAGCTAACAGCAGAACTCTCTAGAATCCAGATAGTTAGCAGGGTCCACTCAAGTCAGATTCATTGGGTTTACAATTCCCGAATGGGCTTTAAAAAAAAAGAAACTAAATTTTTGAAATAGTAACACAAGCACATGGTAAACAATTCAAACAGTATACTGAAAAAAAGTCTTCCCAGCTTAGACACCCATTTTCCTTACCTAAATACAATTACAATTGCTAATTCTTTGTGTATCCTTCCAGAATATTGTTCTCACTCTTCAGTATAAAAGGGCCTTCAAATACTGTATCTAAAAACAGAGTTGGTAAACTATTGCCTGCAGGCCAAATCCGGTCGGCTGCCTGTTTTTGTGTAGCCTGTGAGCTTAGAATGGTTTTACATTTTCAGATGGTTAAAAAAAACAAAAGAAGAATATTTTATGACACATGGAAATTATATGAAATTCATATTCAGTGCCTATAAATAGTTTAATGGTACTCAGCCACAGCCACTTGTTTATGGAATATCTATGGCTCTTTTCTCCCTGCAGTAGCAGAGTTGAGTACAGTAGTTGCAACACAAGACTGCACGGTTCAGAAACCCAAAAATATTTACTATCTAGCCTTTTACACAAAAAGTATGTTAATCCCTGCCTGAAACAAAGAACAGAAGGGATTCAAACAATCAAAGTAGTGTTAGAGGTAAACTATGAATAAATGTAAAGATTACCTTGGGGATATAAACCCACTTAATTAAATACATCTCATAATAGTCAGATTTTCTTTACCTCTTAACAGCTTCTTACTGGGATTAGCAACTTTAGCCTATTTGCCAAGAGTTTCCATATACATTATTTGTCTAATTACGGTTACTTTGGTGCTCTTCTTTCTCTAATACTCTTCACTTTCATTTTGGGGAAGGAACTGCAAAAGAAGAACTCCCAGGAGACCCTTGACTTTAGCTCTATAGTCTTTTTTCCTTCAAATCCTCCCTTCCATAAAAGGAGTCATGTTATAGGTTGAGAATTTTAACCTTTGAAAGACCCTTGAAAAACAATATGCTCCTTCAACACACTTTTTGGGTTGACATCTAATGTCTTTCACTAAAAAATAAAATAGTTGCAAGTAATATAATTTCTGATGTATTATAAAAATTGACATTTTTACATGTTGTTGCATTACTTTTAAATAATTCGATTAAATCTAAATATCACAGCAACTTTTTACCCTCCCTTATCCTTTTAAGAAATAGATGAAGTTATTCTTTAACAGCTGGAAACTTTTTAATCATTCCTGTTCTTCCTCAAGTTTACATTTCATTCCATTCCACTTCATGGCAGAATTTTATCCTAAGGTAGCATATGTCTACACGTGAGAGTCTGTTATTGGTCATTTTATCATATTTTCTGCCACTAAAATATGTATATAAATTTGAATTTTTTTAATTTCTAATGACTTTAAGATTTTAAACATTTTTTTAAAATTTCAGGATTTACTTTATGACTAGCTATTATGAGTACCCATTTACTCAAAACTATGCCTTGTCCATGAGACTGTCTCTACAAATGGGGCAGCTCATTTTCCATGCCAAAAGGCACAAGTAGAGAAAGCAGTCTATTGTGGAAGAGAGAACACCAGATCAGAAAGAAAAACAACATTATGGCCGGATGCAGTGGCTCACGCCTGTAATCCCAGCACTTTGGGAGGCTGAGGTGGGCGGATTACTTGAGGTCGGGAGTTCAAGACCAGCCTGGCCAACATGAGGAATCTCATCTCTAATAAAAATACAAAAATTAACCAGGCATGGTGGCACAGGCTTGTAATCCCAGCTACTCGAGAGGCTGAGGCAGGAGAATCACTTGAACTCGGGAGGCAGAAGTTGCAGTGACCCAAAATTGCACCACTGCACTAACCTGGGAAACAGAGTGAGATTCCATCTCAAAAAGAAAAGAAAGAAAGGAAAACAACATTGTCAGGTGATAGCCATGGTCAACAGCTGGCAGAACACATGAAGTAGAGGAAGCAAATCTCCTTAGAAATGCAGCTAAAGGCCAGACATAGTGGTTCACACCTGTAATCCCAACACTTTGGGAGGCTGAGACAGGCGGATCACTTGAGGTCAGGAGTTTGAGACCAGCCTGGTCAACATGGTGAAACCCCGTCTTTACTAAAAATATAAAAATTAGCCAGGCGTGGTGGCAGGTGCCTGTAATCCAAGCTACTCAGGAGGCTGAGGCAGGAGAATCATTTGAACCTGGGAGGCAGAGGTTGCAGTAACTCGAGATCACGCCACTGCACTCCAGCACTCCAGCACTCCAGCCTGGGCAACAGAGTGAGACTCGTCTCAAAAAAAAAAAAAAAAAAAGAAGAAGAAGAAGAATCAGAGCAGGTAAAGAAAAGAAAAAGATCTGATTTGAACATGATCACTTCCCTACCTTCCCCCTGACTCCCCCATTCCCCACCCCTGTCCTGGAAGAGGGATAGGGTGGATGCAGGATAGATTAGCCAGCTGCCCCCTCTGTTAGCCTAATCAGTCTCAATTAATAGTTTGTTAACTTAATAAAACCCCAACTTTAAGCATTCCTTCATCCACTGTTTTTCTGAAAAGTTATTAAAATTTATTTTTAAGCTAAAGTATTTTTAAAATAAAAGGGTCATTGCAGAAAATTGAGGCAATACAGCAAAGCATAAAAAATGTCAAATTGTGTTCTATCATTTTTTTCCATTTATACTCCCACCAGCAGTAAGACTGCTTTTCTCATCATACCTTTATTAGCATCACCCACTCTCACTTTGAACAATTTTTTCTAATTTACTAGGTGACAAATCCTATCTTGTTGTATTAAATTACTCTGATTAGCAGTAATTTAAAAAACATTTCTTTACATCTATATTGGCTATGTGTGACAGTTTCCATTTTGGGTTTACTTCCTTTGCCATTTTTCTACTGAAGTGTTCCTTTTTTTATTGACTTGGCAGAGTTCTTCATACGTTGAATGTATTAGCATTCTATTATATTTACTACATGCCTTTAAATTACCTTTACCTAAAAAGTTTTGCATTGCATGTAGTTAAATATATCTGATTTTTTAAAGGTTACTTTTATTGCTTCTTATTTTTAGTTTATGGTACAAGGTGGATTTTTTTTTTTCAGAATTGCTTCTTGAGTACATTTTCCCTCACCCATTGGTTCATAGTGCTTCTTTAAGACTTTAGTTTTCCATTGATCGTGCAGTTACTTCTTGTATCAATATCATCCTTTCTTATTATCGATCATTCTCTTTCAACATTTCCTAAGATACCCTTGCTTGTTTTCTGTGATAAAATTATCATATCTTTTATCACACTCTTAAAAAGAAAAGTTTCTTTGGGAGTTTGAGACGGTGCCAAACGTAGATATTTAGGGAGAAAATCTGCTCATTTCTGATATTTAATTTTGCCTTTCAAGGGCACAGCATGTCTCCATTTGCTCAAATGTGCTCTTGCACCTCTCAGTCTTATAGATTTTTCCCCTATATGTTCCAGTTTGTTGATTGATGCTTCCTTGTCATTTTTCTCTCCCTCCTCCTTGTATAGTAATTAATGCTTTGATTTCATCTGTTTTGTCTTTACTATATCACCAGATCGTAAACTTCTAGAAGAGAGGAATCATTGCTTATATTTATTTCATATTCCCTTTGCATAGCTGGCAATGTTTTACATATGCAGAAATAATAGCTTTGGTCTAGTATAAATATCACTGGGGATGAGACATGAGGAGATTAAGGGTGGAGTGCCAGTTCTGACATTCCGTAGCTTCACGCATGACCTGGAACTACTCACTCAGCACCTCCTCCTGACACTACCACCCAGACACTCCCCTGATTGGGGATTTAAATCGAAATAATAGGGTTGCCGTAAAGCTTAAAAAGTGAATCTTTCATAGGTTTTCAAATATATGTATACAGTGACATGTACAAAAAAAGTTCACCACATTGTTTCCAATGGTAAGAAATTGGAAACAGCATAATGTCCATCAAAAAGAGAATGGATACAATAAATAAATTGCACATTCACAGGTGAATACTATACAGCAATTAAAATAATTATAATCTGAACTAAAATAAATGACTATAAAATGAACTAGCGGCTGGGCATAGTGGCTCACACCTGTAATCCCAGCACTTTGGGAGGCCGAGGTGGGCAGATCAGCTGAGGTCAGGAGTTCGAGACCAGCCTGGCCAACATGGTGAAATCCCTTCTCTACTACAAATACAAAAAATTAGCCGGGGGTGGTGACACATGCCTGTAATCCCAGCTACTCGGGAGGCTGAGGCAGGAGAATCACTTGAACCCAGGAAGTGGAGGTTGCAGTGAGCCGAGATCGCACCACTGTACTCCAGCCTGTGCAACAGAGCACTCCATCTCAAAAAAAATTAAAAAATAAAATAAAATAAAATGAACTAGAACTAGATGTATTCATATGAATAAATGGGGAAACATCATATTGAGCAAAAGAATCAGGTTGCAGAATAATACATACAGTTTGATATAAAGATATGCAAAGCAGTGCTACATATTATTACTGTTACTCTACTGCAGAGATCAGCAAACTATGACTCTCAGACCCAACCCAGCCTGCCAAGGACCAGATTTGCCCTTTTGTTTACTTGCTCTCTATGGCTCCTTTCTGAGCCACAGTACAGAGTTAAGTACTGTGGTTGCAATACAGTCCATATGGTCTGCAAAGTCTAAAATATTCAGTCTATCCTTTGTAGAAAAAGCTTGTGATCCTTGCCTTAACTGTAAAGACATGAATGAAAGTAATGAGCCCCATATTCAGAATAGAGCTGCAGAATGTGACTGGGCAGGTACATAGGGAGTTTCTATAATACCTGTAATGCTCTCCTTCTAAGTTGAGCAATAAATACAAGGAAGTTGATTATATTACTCTATTTTGTTGCATGTTGAAAATATTTCACAATGAAAAAGATTGAATGAAATTATATATGGAAAGCTTCCTATGTAAAAATACACAAGTTCATACAGGGCTTCTCTCTTTCTCACACATCCTTGCCCTTGCTACACACCATTCTTAAAGCTTTGAGGAAAAAGTAATTCCTCCCCATAAAATGTTTGGGGAACCTAACTGTGGTCAATGGGGAACTACTGGAAATTTTGAGTGGCACAATAAAATCAGTAGATATGATTACTCTAGTGAGAAGGTGGGCTGGGGAGGGGAAGCAGTAAAAGAAGGAGAAACATTCAGGAAGTTGTTGTGTGGTGACCAGAGTGCATAGCAGCGTGGCGTCAGTAGAGATGGGAAGGAAGGAACTTGTGTACAGCATACAAAAAGGAGGAGGAAGGAGAAGCAGCAGCCCCATGATACAAAGTTTAAACCTTGGGTATTGGTGAAAGGAGGGACAAAATGTTTATTTTACTTTTTGCTTATTTCTAAAATGCTGTAACCTAAGTCTTCATTTAAGGACCCAGGAATTATTTCAGAAATGGTATGCACTGTTTGTTTTTATTGTGATAAGACACATAGTTACTGGTAGCTTGGACTCCCACTTTCTGGTTATCAATATTTACTTATTTAGATACCGTGTGTCATGGGAAGTTCATGGCGTATGGAGCTCCTCTGACTTAGTATAAACCATTTGCAATCGGAGACCTTGGAAAGACACTGCTGCAATTAAATAACTTTGACTCTGATTTAGAGGAATCTTAGTGCTTGGAGGATGAAGATAAAAACCGATTACATGCACTAGTTCACTATGAACTCTACATATCAAGACATCATCCTTGGTGACATTGTCTCAAATGAACTCAGTTGTTGATAGAAAGTATACACTTTGTTGGATATCTATGTAATCCATTTTTAAAGGGCAGGAAAAAACATGAAGGTTTTCTAACCATCATCATTTTATGCTCAGAGGAAGCCTTAGATTCTGCCCAAAGGCTGGAAATACATTCTTTTTTTTTTTTTTTTTTTTCTGAGACAGAGTCTTGCTCTGTTGCCCAGGTCGGAGTGCAGTGGCACGACCTCAGTTCACTGCAATCTTCATCTCCCGGGTTCAAGTGATTCTCCTGCCTCAGCCTCCCGAGTAGTTGGGATTACAGGCATGCACCACCACACCCAGCTAATTTTTGTATTTTCAGTAGAGACAGGGTTTCACCATGTTGGCCAGACTGGTCTCAAACTCCTGACCTCAAGTGATCCACCCGCCTTGGCCTCCCAAAGTGCTGGGATTACAGGCGTGAGCCACCGCGCCTGACCTGGAAATATATTCTTAAGGAAAAAGAGAAAAGAGCTCTAGGAAAAGAAAAAACGTTTTATTTTTCCAAGTATTTGGTCTTCAAGCAGCACTCAAACTGAAGTTCTTTCCAGGACAGAAATACAGATTTAGAATAAATAGATACTTCCGAAAATCCAGAGACACGTCAAGGACAACATATGGCCAACAAGGATGGCTGCGAGCCAATATGACCATTGGACCACATCATTCTGAAGACAGTGCTCTATAAGAACCAAACAATTTTTATTACTATCTTAGTAACCACTACATAGATTTTTAGTGATAGATTAAAATAAAATTTAATATTTAAATTAACATTTTAATTAAATTTTTAATAATAGCATTCTCTGGATCATATCTATGATCAACTTATACTGATATTCAAACTAATCAACCTCAGTTTTGTTTGTGCCCATTAGCAGCAAGAAATATGACTTGTTTGTCAAGAACTATGACAGGCCAGGCACAGTGGCTCATGCCTGTAATCCCAGCACTTTGGGAGGCTGAGGTGGGTGGATCACCTGAGGTCAGGGATTTGAGACCAGCCTGGCCAACATGGTGAAACTCCATCTCTACTAAAAATACAAAAATTAGCTGGGCACGGTGGCACACGCCTGTAGTCCCAGCTACTTGGGAGGCTGAGGCAGAAGAATTGCTTGAACCCAGGAAGCAGAGGTTGCAGTGAGCCGAGATTGCGCCACTACACTCCAGTCTTGTGACAGAGTGACACTCTGTCTCAAATAAATAAATAAATAATAAAATACCTGCATCAACTAGATATCCACAGCTTTCAAAGCGTCTCTGCTCTCTGGAGCTTACACAATGGTGCCTAAACAACAGCTGACCTTTATTTCCAACTAGATGTAGAAGAAGCACCTGGAGTTGAGGCTTCCAGGACCAGGAACCTGGAAGTGAATGTCTTCTTAAATTTTGCACCCTCAGTGCCTCACTTGCCTAGCTCTAGGCCTAGCCCTGCTTCTCAACTCCTTGATTAGCACAAACTCCAGGAGACGTTCATAGCCCTGGG
The DNA here is from genome assembly GCF_000001405.40 of Homo sapiens. Classification (NCBI taxonomy): domain Eukaryota; kingdom Metazoa; phylum Chordata; class Mammalia; order Primates; family Hominidae; genus Homo; species Homo sapiens. The sequence goes on along the minus strand of NC_000012.12, from coordinate 100,482,655 downwards.
TACTTCTTCTTTGCAGTGGTGTTACCATTGTAATTCAACCTTTGTTTTTGTGGATTTGGTTTTCTGTGTCTCCCATTAAACCAGCAGCTCTAGGAGAGATTACATTGGATCTCCAATGCCTTGCACAATGCCAGCCAGGTACATCTTAGATGCACAATAAATTCTTGTTAATTGAGTAAATGAACAAATGGTTGCATGAATAAATAAAGTAACTAATACATAAATGAGTGAATGAATAATATACCTTACTAGATAACCACCTTTAGAATCAGTCTTGCTTAGGCCATAGGACAGAAATTAGTGAATAGAGGCATACAACACAATACACACAAGAGCCGAAGAAGGATTTTTTTTTTGTCACATAAAGAAATCTAACAACTAAGTCTGCTTCCCCACAATGTAGACTAATTAGTGAATGGTAACCATTTTTATTGGAAATCTCTTAAGCATAGGCTTTCCAGTCTCCCCATGGGAACCATTTTATACATGAGTTGACCACCCCAGGAAATTGTTTTGTTTTGTTTCAGGGTTTTTGTTGTTTGTTTGTTTGTTTTGAGACAGGGTCTCTCTCTTTCACCTGGGCTGGAATGCAGTGGTGCGATCTTAGCTCGCTGCAGTCTTGACCTCCCAGGCTCAAGCAATCCTCACACCTCAGCCTCCCAAGTAGCTGGGACTACAGGCATGCACCACTTGCCCAGCTAATTTTATTTATTTATTTATTTATTTTTATTTTTATTTTTTTGAGATGGAGTCTCGCTCTGTCACCCAGGCTGGAGTGCAGTGGTGCCATCTCGGCTCACTGCAAGCTCCGCCTCCTGGGTTCACACCATTCTCCTGCCTCAGCCTCCCGAGTAGCTGGGACTACAGGCACCCGCCACCATGCCCAGCTAATTTTTTGTATTTTTAGTAGAGATGGGGTTTCACCGTGTTAGCCAGGATGGTCTCGATCTCCTGACCTCATGATCTGCCAGCTTCGGCCTCCCAAAGTGCTGGGATTCAGGCATGAGCCACCGTGCCCAGCCCCAGCTAATTTTTTTAATTTTTTGTAGAGACAGGATTTCACCATGTTGCCCAGGCTGGTCTAGAACTCCTGAGCTCAAGCAATCTGCCCACCTCAGCCTCCCAAAGTGCTGGGATTACAGGAGTGAGCCACCATGCTGGGCCGGAAATAGTTTTAATTAATCTCGCGAATTTCCCGTTGTTAATTCTCTTCCATCAGAACTACCAGGAATAGTTTTGTTGTTGTGGTTGTTTGGTCTTCTTAATGTTCACTCTTCATAATCAGGAAAGTTTGTTTTTTCTTTTTTCGCATTATGTACATTAGTCAAAATGGTCAAGAAGCTATTTGTTGAATGCTTTCTCCGTGACTAACTTGTCATTTTTTTTTTCAAATACTTAATTGGATCTTTGAAATATTATGCCTCTTACTCATGGAAATTGTTTGCAAAGATGGCCACCACAATTGCTTCCTTTCCACACGCTCTTACAATGTGAGTTTGCCACACCTCTCATCAATGCACAAAGTCTGTTTCGCTAGCCCTTGGACCTGAGCTGGTCTAATAAATTCGTTGACCAACAGAATGTGGTGGAAGTGAGGTTGGGGACTTCTAAGCCAGGCTTTAAGAGACCTTGTAGCTTCTGTTTTCCATATCTAAGAAAGAATGCTGCCCTGAGATTGCCATACTGTTTGCAGATATCTCAGATTTAAAAATCTCATGGAGAAAGAAGTCCAGCTCTTCCAACTATCCCAGCTGACGGCCACATCAAGACCCCAGACATGAGTGAGGCCATCTCAGTCCTTTCATTCCAGTTGAACTCACATCTGAATGAGCAACATGAGTGAACCCAGGCATAACCAGCAGAGAAGCTGCTCAGCCGCCCCACAGAACTATGAGAATTAATGGATCATTCCTGTTTTATGCCACTAAGCTTTGGGATGGTTGTTACAAAGACATAAATGACTGGTATAGAAATCAGTACCTGGAAGTGAGATGCTGTCTAAAAAAACCGCTAACATATATGGCCTGGGCTTTGGGATTGGGGGATGATCTGAGGCTAGAAGGGCAGTGAGGAGACTGGTTAGTGGAAACTGGAAGAACAATAAGAAAATTCCCATAGGAGGTGGGAAGATGGGGGTCCTGTTTATAATCATGAAACAATCAGTAACACTGTCTCCTGTGGTAACTTGGAAGATAGAAATGTTTCTAAACTTATAGATCTAAGATTTCCCACTAGTACGGTGGATGTGTCAGTTGGTCTCTTTAGCTATGTGTGATAAGGTACTTACTCTTTAAAAACGGCATCTCAACATCAATTTCCCATTCATTCACTCATTTATTTTGTCAGTGCACATTTATTGACAGACACTAGACATAGTAAAAAATAATGATTTTTCAGAAAGCTTAGTGGAAAAGTCAGGCAAGAAAAACCCAATGGTAGTAGTGTGAGGATTGCTACAACAGAGCTAAGCACAGGTGCCATCAGGAGCACAAGCAGGGACATTCATTCATCCAATATTCATTAATTCTCTACTACATACCAAGTTTCGGTCTAGGTTTTAGAAATACAGTGGTAAGACAAAGAGCTTACATTCTAGAGGGATAAGTGAATAATACACAAGTCAACAAATAATAGGATTTCTGATGAGGATAATAAGAAAGTAAAAGAGAAGTATAGAGTGTTGTAGTTGAACACAGTTTTGGAGAGGGCAATCAGAGAAGAGCTCTCTGAAAAGTGGACATTCGAACTGAGATGTGAAGGACAAGAATGAGTAAGTCATACAAAGGGAAAATAAGTTCAGGCAGAGTGATCAGCAAAAGCAAAGGGCCTGGGCTTGGAGTGTTGGAAGAACAACACAAGCCCAGTGAGGCTGGAAATGAGTGAGCCAAGGAGGGGCTATAGGAAATGAGGTCTGAGAGTAGGCAGCTCTTGTATGGCCTGTTGGCCATGGTAAGGAGTTTGGATTTTCTTCTAAATGGAAGTAATTGATGAGTTTTAAACAAGGGTATAGTGAGGAGAATGAGGGAAATCTTTCTGAGCGTGGAGGGTTGATTCTTGAACTTAGTCTTGAAGGAATAGGCATTAGGCTAGGAAAATGACACGCAACAGGGATGGCTATAGGAAGGGAAAATAGCATGCTGTGTTCTGAGCAACCCTAAATAGTTGTCTATGCTGTAGCTAGTGGACTCAGCTCAAATCAGTGGAAGAAGGATGACCTATTCAAGAAATTGTGGCAAGAAAATTGCCTATGCTTTGAGGGTAAAAATAAAGACATCTTTATGAATCATTCTTGGAAAATACATCTCAGATGGATTAAAGACTGAAAATTATAAAATTATTGGGAGAAAATATATTTATGATCTTTATGGATTTGGGGATTGAGAAGGACTTTATTAAATAAGAAGTAAATAGGAAAAGAATACATTTGAGAACGTTGAAATGTAAGACAGAGGTTAAGGCATCACAAACAAAGCTAAATATATAAAAATGGATAAAAATATTTACAACATAAATAACACCAAAAATATTAGTACAAACAATATATAAACGATTCCTATAAATAAAAACAGAAAGGATAAACAACCCAAGAGAGAAATTGGCAAAGGATACAAAAAGGAAATTCACCAAAGTGGAAACACAAGTGGCCAGTAAACACAGAAAATATCTGAAACTAATAATAATTAGGAAAATGGATATTACTATAACTAAATACCATTTTCACCTATGAGATTATCAAAAAATTTTAACTTTGATAATATTCAAAGTGTATGAAAATATGCATTCTCACATATTGCTAGTGGGGGCATAGGTTTTAGTCTTTTTGGAGGGCTCTTTAGCAGTGTATCTTAAAATAAAGTGCAATTTTAATTCCTAGGTATCTTTCCTGGAGAAATCTTTGCTGGTATGCACCAGGATGTTCATTGTAGCATTGCCTCTAATGCAGAAAGAGGGCAAACCACCTAAAAAACCATCAACAGTGGAATGGCTAAATGAACTGTGCTCTATAGTATCAACTATTAGGAAGTGGTTAAACAAGATTAAAGTGTTTTGATATGTATTAACATTGAAACAGTGAAGTAGAGGAGAATAGGGCTAGGGGAAGGTCAAAAAATATTTTAGACTTATTCATAATGTTGAAACTTTTAACACAATGACTACATTAAGATATGTCAGTCTCCTAGGGTATCATTTCCTGTCCTCAACTTTGCCAATTATATAATCAGATGCTATAAGCAGGTATATTTAGATTCTCCAGAAAAGAAGGGTTTGCTTCATTTTCTTAAAACAATTTTAGGATTGTGCAGCATTTTTGAGCTTCAACAAAAATTATAAACCTCTCTCTAGGAAAGACATACACAAAATACAGATATTTTTCTAAATTAATAAATGTTTAGGAGAAATTTTATGTTCACTATAAAATTGAACAAAATGTATGGAGAGCCTCCATATACGTCTTCTCCCCCACCCCCCACACACATGCACAGCCTCCTTTACTTTCAACAACCAGCACCAGAGTGGCACATTTTTTTACAATCGATGAACCTATGCTGACACATCTTTATCAGCGAAGGACTATAGTTTACATTAGGGCTCAATCTTGGTGTTGTGTATTCTATGGGTCTTGACAAGTGTATAATAACATGTACCCACCATTGGTAATATCATATAGAATGAATTCACTGCCCTAAAAATTCTCTGTAAAATGCATAGATTTTTAAATGTAGTCTTAAGTGACCCTGGCCCCCTGAAGCCCAGCTATAGCCTCAGATTCAGAGTCGGGACTCCAGGAGAGCAAGAATCTTTTACATGACCACTTTGGAATGACATTTCTTTGTCCTGTCTCTGCCCTGCAAATTCTGGATGGCAACCAGCTTTTGCTCCTTAAGCCCCAGGCTGGTATCAACTTGTCGTCTACACTGGCAGCTTCCATAACTCTCTAGGACATGGCAGCAAATAGCTCTCTGCTTAGGAACAGTCACAGCCCAGAGCAGTGTTTTTGTTTTCTCTAATCAGCAACATCCCACAGCAGGACTATCTTCTCCATGCACAACTACATTATTTACCATGTTTTCCAGATAACTGTGTTAAATATATCTACAGGACTTGAAAATGCAAAGCCATACCATTTCTCCTTTTCTTTACATTAATAACATTAATTAAAGTGTAATAGACCCAGGTTGTCTCAGGTTCATTGAGACCTGGGAAAGGTCATCTAAATCTCTTTAAAATGGGAAGCAAAATCTCAAAGTTTTGTTAGGATTTTATATTAAAAAATGAAAATTAATAAAAATTTATTTTATATTTATACTTATTTATTTTAATCACCAGAACCCTGTTATATTTCTTAATCCTAACAAAGAATAAATCTTATTTTTTTTCCTGTGCAATATTTGCAATTTTACTTTGCAATCAAGTTGCATTATATTAGTGTCATCTTATCACCAATTTACAAAGCAGAGAGAGTAGGAATAGTAGATGTTCTTTTATGGCCAAAATTGGAAATGGGCAAACTGAGGGAGAAAATAATTCACTGTGAAGAGCAAAGGGGTTAGGGGATTCCAGAGCAGGGTGAGAGAAGGGAGAGAAAAGACAGAAGGATGAATATTTGTATGTAATAATGATTTTTGCCTCCTCATACAGCTTGGTGACTAAGGACACTCGTATGGTGATGCCTTTTAGCTACATCTTCACTGGTAGAAACTACTGTGACAATAAAAAAATACCTGGGAGGAAAATTGTTCCTATTTCTTATTTTTTAAAAAAAATTTTGAGGTGGTGTCTCTCTATGTTACCCAGGCTAGAGTATAGTGGCATTATCATAGCTCACTGCAGCCTTGAACTCCTGAGCTCAAGCAATCCTTCCACCTCAGCCGCCCGAGCTGCTGGGATCACAGGCACTCATCACTGTATCTAGCTTGTTCCTATTTTCTTTTATTCCCCTTTATAATCTGTGTTGCTAGAGACTAAGATAAAAATGAGACTGAGAGCAAAGGGAAGGGAAATCTCTTTCTATGAAGTAAAGAACCTTTTCTGTCCTTTATGCACCCACCTAATGACAATGTGAGCCTTTGAAAATCTATCACATCATGATATGCATTCTCATGGCATTCATAATCCAGAGACTGTGAGCCACAGCAGTTCTGAGCTCCTCTCTAAGATGTCCCTAATCACAGCAGCATGGAGAGTTCATTGTGGTCTTTAATTAAAACGCTGATAACGGAAATATTCACCCAGCTATCTTAGACTGGTCTCTGGGTTAAAACAAATAGTGCTCCAAACTTTCCAGTTTCCCTACTGATGGTGCAATCTCTCGAAAATGCCCTATGCAGGAGGTTTCAGGAAACGTCTAACTAGTTCCTGGGTTTAACAAATCACCCCTGTCAGGCTGGAATGCTTAACGGCTGGTCCCCCCTCGCCGCTCCCCGATCATTCCCCATTTCAAGTTTTCCCAGCCTCCGCCAATAGCCAATATCAGAGTAGCCAGGAAGAGGCTTTGGAGTCAGAAAGACCCGCCCTCAAGTTCAGGTCCCGCTACTTCCTAACTATCTGCCTGTGGACGGGTCACTTGTATTTTTTGAGTCTCAGTTTTCTCATCTGTAAAATGAGTATAAGAAAAACTCCTGGCTGGGCGCAGTGGCTCACGCCTGTAATCCTAGCACTCTGGGAAGCCGAGGCGGGCGGATCACCTGAGGTCAAGAGTTCGAGACCAGTCTGGCCAACATAGTGAAACCCCGTCTCTACTAAAAATACAAAAAATAGTGGCATGGTGGTGCACGCCTGTAGTACCAGCTACTCAGGAGGCTGAGGCAGGAGAATCGCTTGAACCCGGGAGGTGGAGGCTGCAGTGAGCCGATATAGCGCCACTGCACTCCAGCCTGGGAGACAGAGCGAGACTTTGTCTCAAAAAAATAATAATAAAAAGTAAAGAAAAACTCCCATACAGGGTTTTTGTGAGAAGGAAACAGGCGAATGAAGTAAAGGCTAGGACATGTTAGTAGACATTGTAGAAAAGTTAGCTCCATCACACACTCATACATACACACATTTCTTTTCTTTTCCTTGCAGAGTACAAAGGCCTCACAACCAATGGATATTCCATTGCAATTGGCCCAATCTTGAAGAGGTGGAAACAAGAGGAAGGACAAGGATTCCATGACTTTCCCTCTCCAGCTGTGAGGAGAGGGCAGAGGTACGTGGTGGGAAATTGCTGCAAATCTTGAGGAAGGGTCTCAGGACAAGAGAGCTTTGTCCCTGGCCAGTACTTTATCAGTTAACCAGGAGTTGCATCAGTATTTGTTGCAACATCCTCAGAAAACAGAAAAGTCCACGGTACAAATGGCACAGATCCATAATTTGGAGGACTGGGGGTAGGAACGTAACACAAAGATAAAAGTGTCTATCATTTTATAAAATCACAGCTAGAAACAAAATGGTAGCTCCCTGAACATCTTTTCCTCTCTTCTCCCTTCCTTTTTTTAGGAACAGAAAAAAAAATTTAGATAGATAGATAGATAGATAGATAGATAGATAGGTAAACCACTTTACTGAGGTGTGACTGACATATAAAAGCTTTACATATTCCATGTATACACTTTGATGAGTCTGGGGATAGGCATACACTCATTAAATCATCACCACAATCTATACCATAAACCTATCCATCACCTCCAAAAGTTTCTTCCTGCCTTCTTATTTATCACTAATATTATTTCTAAGGGTTCCTACCCCTCTTGTCAATACTCCTGAAGTGATTCTAAGACAGCACCAGAAACAGCATCAGATTTCTTTATAGCTCAAAGCTCAGGTGTGAGTTTCTTAGAGGAAGAATTCAAGGTGAGTCACTTGTCATTCCCTCCTGCCCCTCCCTTCTGAATAAAAACCCAATTAAAAGAAGTAAGTCAGGCTCCACAGTTGCCCCATTCACTCTGTCAATAAGGAGACAAAGAGGTATCTTATCTATAAATTTAGTCCTTGGACAATTTTATTACTAAAGTTCTTCGTCATACTCACATTTCTATCTTTTAAAAATATTTCCATCTGATATTTCCTGTCATATTAATATTCAAAATGGAAAGCAATAGAAGAGTTTACAACTGAAGTCAAGAAAGAAGACTTTTTCCACCTACTCTTCTTCTAGGGAAAAATTTCATTTCAATTAAGCATAGGTTAAATGTCTTATTCTTAGTTCCCAAGTCATCTGACATTAGCAATACTCCCAAACTCACATCAAGATTTGATAAATCACCAAAATATAGCACACTATACAAGTCAAATTGTTTATGGAATCAGAACGGAGACATTTCTGAAATGCACTATCTCCAGTGATTTACTCAGGTGACCACAATGTTAAAAGAGTATTTCTAAATAAGTTTTCAATAGGTAAGCAACTGTTAAGACTCATTAACTTTTGCTTCTGCTTCTTTTTGTTTTTTAGTTTCTCTCTTTTTTAATTTTCAGGACTTTACATCAAACTCTACTAACTTAGAATTCATTTATTGACATACATTACAGATGTCAAAGAGAAACTTTTAAGTGACTATTTTTTCTCTGTTGCTGTGAGATACACAACCCACTCCCAAAGGAATTAGGTACTTACTTGGATTGTTTTGGGTCAGAGATGGACTTTCAAGGCCCTGGGAGGATTCTGGACTGAGTCTTCCTCTCCAGATCCCAGCGATTTTGCTACAAATGCTCAGAATCCAATTTCGCATTAGGATAAGTCGGGGAGACAATGAGGTGAGGAGGAGGAGAGAGTTCCAGTGTACTGTGCATGATCACAGGCGGCCTTCTGGGCTAGCAGCAGCATCTCTTCCTTGGCTCTGTGCCTCATGGACACAGATTAGTCATTAACAATCCTTCCCTGCTAAATGATATAAACATAGAAAGGAACCTTGGGAGAGCCTCGAGATTCCCAAGACAAAACCGCAAAGCCCCAGAATGAGGAATGTGACAAAACCAAGGAGCCCTGCAGCTTGCCTTTGAAAGCATTTCTCCTCTGGCCGTTTTGTGGGCTCCTGGGCACCCGTATTTCTGTACACATCAACTAAAACCAAACTGTCATCTTCCCTCTCTCTCACTACAACTTCTTTGAATAGCTCTATCACTTCCCCGGGACTGAACTAGAAGCTGGGAGCCTTTTTGACCCTTCCCTCTGCCCAGCCACCCATATCAAATAATAACAGATTTGGGTTGATTGCATCTTTGGAATGTCTCTTATTTCCAACCCACATTGTTCTTCTCCTACTTTGGGCCTATCATAGCTTCCTTTCTGGATGACATTGGTCCCACAACCCCTTTTTCTTCTCTCCCCTTCTTCTGTTTTCCAAATTGCACAGCAGTGTGGAAGCACAGGCTCTGGTTAGATGCCCACTCTTTAGTCACAGCCTTGAGCAAGACACTTAGCCTCTCTGAGTCTCAGTTTCCTCATCTGTAGAATGGATATGGAGAAACCATCTCATGGGCTGTGGTGAGAATTACATGAGTAGTGAAAATGTTTAGAAAAGTGTGTGGCAGATAGCAATCACCCAATAATTTGTGGCAATTATTATTTCTCTCCTTCATTAGTTGAACCATCATTGATTGATTATCAGCCTACTATGTACCCAGCAACTTGCTAGGCACTCCCCTCATCGAAAATCCCCAATGCACTCTCTATGCCTAAAAAACGAACACAAAATGCTTGACATTTAGAACCCCTTCCACACCTGAAGATCTAGCCCTAATGTCTCTAGGATTTTCTCACATTCTGTCCCTTCAGACATCCCAACCTCTGCCAACCTGTACCAAGCTCTCCCGCCTCCACACTTTTGCACAAGCTCTTCCTTCTACCTCAGTTACTTTCTTTTCACACCCACACATCTTCCAGGCGTGGAACAGAAGCAGAGTTCTCCCTGAAGCCAGCCCCATTCCTCATCTGCCCCTATTCTCCCCACCCAACTCCCTTGATCTTTTATTTGTAGTTTCCTTGCTGTCCCTTAAATCCTCTGACCTTATATATTATAGTTTTCTACTTGTTTTATCTCTTTTACAAAAACCAGGCATGGTAGCAGACTTGTCTTTGTATCTACCCTTTGTCTTAGCACAGTGCCTCTCACAGAAAAAGCATTGTGTAACTCTTTGTTAACGCAATCAATGAGTGAGCTGAGAAACAACTTCCCAAAGCAGCATGGCTGCACATGCACCTGTGTGTGTGTGTGTGTGTGTGTGTGTATGTGATGTGTGCATTTCCCATCTGTGATGTGTGTCATTTGTTTCCCGTCACAAGGTCAGCTAGTAGAAGATCTACATTCAAACCTGTTAGAAATGTTATATTTTGCTTCTCTTATAAAATAGCATTTTTGTAGGTCCTACAGGCTCCTACTTCCTACCTACTTCTGGGGGTTCCCAATGTACTATGGTGCATCCTCCAGCCCCTTCGGCACAAGGAAGAGGGTCACCCCAGGCCTGTACATTTTCTTTTGAAGAGAGTTTGCACTGACACTTACTGCACTCTGCAGCTCTGGGCTGCCTGAGGGACTCCTGTGTGACTTCTATGTGACACCAAGCCCATTTCTTCTTGGATGATAAGAGCCTGTACTGTGATTTCATTCTCTCCAGCAGAGATGGAGACAATGACTGAAGACACAGACTGTGGCGCTGGACCGGCTGGGTTCAAATCCCAGCTCTGCCACTTACAAGCTGTGTGACCTTAGACCTTAGGCTTTTCCTTAACATCTGTCTCAGTTTCCCCATCTGTAAAATAAAGATATAATTACTATGTATTTCATGAGGTTATTGCAAGGATTTAATGAATTAATCTATGCAAAGCGCTGGTACCTGACACACAGAAAGTGCTGTGTAGGGGTTAGCTGTTATTATTTTCTCTGGGCCTTCACACTGACAATCGTATTTGCCCACTGGACTGGATACTCCCTGAGGGTGGCATGTATTTCCCATCCTTTTGGATCTCCAGTGGTGTAGCACATAGTGCTGGGTATGACATAAGAGCCCATTCAAAAATTTCAACAATTATTTTTCTTCTCTTCACACCACACAATCAATCCATTAGAAAATGTTTAAGTTTTACCTTCACAATATATGTATTGAATCTGATACCTTCCCACCACCTCCACTGTCATCTCTCTGGTCCATGCCAGGTTTCTTGCACCTGGGTTTGTGCCATGGCCTCCTAAGTGGCCTCCTTATTTCCATGCTTGCACTCTGTCATTTGTTCCCAGCATGGCAGCCAGAGTGATCCTACCAAAACCAAAGGATCATGTCGTTCTTTTGCTCAAAACCCCCACAGGCTTTCATCTCTCTCAGAGTAATGGCCAAACTTCTTACAGTGACCCCAAGGATCTAAATGACCCTGAATCCTACCCCATCCCAACATAGCTCTAACTTCATCTATCACTCACGCCGGTCATGAGGCCTCCTTGTTGTTCTCTGAACTCATAAAGCACATTCTCTCCCCAGGGCCCCTGTACTTTCTGTTCCATAGCCTGGATTGATTTTTGCCCAGAGACCTTCCATTGCATGCTACAGGTTTCTACTCACCTTACCAGAGAGGCCTTTCCTGGACACACCAAATACAATGCCATTTCTCTTCCCAGTACAGGATATCACTTCTCATTTCTCATTCCTTTTTTTGTTTGTTTGTTTTTGGAGACACAGTCTGGCTCTATCACCTAGGCTGGAGAGCAGTGGCATGATCTTGGCTCACTGCAACCTCAGCATTTCGGGTTCAAGCGGTTCTCCTGCCTCGGCCTCCCGAGTAGCTGAGACTACATGCACGTGCCGCCACACCCAGCTAATTTTTTGTATTTAGTAGAGATGGAGTTTCGCTATGTTGCCCAGGCTTGTCTCAAACTCCTAAGCTCAAGCGATCTTCCCGCCTCAGCCTCCCAAAGTGCTGGAATTACAGGCGTAAGCCACCGCACCTGGCCTCTCTTCTCATTCTTACCTTGCTTTATTTTACCCTGTAGCACTAAGCACTGAGCACCACTTAGCATACATGGACATGTTTCATGTCTCTCTCACTATATGGAACATAAATAGATGATTACACCTATCTTGTTCACCACTGTGTCCCTGATAACTGGATGCCCCAGGCAATGTGCTAGTGCTGAGTAGGAGAGACCCAAAACCCAAGCTCTGAAAGCTCACCATCCCATGAACAAGGGACACTCAGCAAAATAATAACAGCAATAACCATAACAATAAAGTAAATCATATAAAGAATGAATAACATTCACTTGTGTTATGTGATAAGATGGAAAAGTTCAGGGTGTCATAAAATACTCTCCATTAATCATAACAAACAGAAAATGTGCTCTCTATTCATGGGATTAATTCTAACTAGCACAGAAAGAAAGAAGGGGAAAAGGAACAAGCATTTACTGAGCAGCTAATATTTTCCAAACAGTCTGTTAAGCACTGGCAAATCAGCAGTGAACAAAATGATATGGTTCCTGCAGTCATGCAATTTACAGCCTAGTGTGAGAGACAGACAATTAATAAAAACTACACAGACAATCTTATAAGTTCTCTTGTGACAGCATGTTATGAAGGAGAAGCACAGGGTTCTGCGACTGTATTTATCAGGGAGCCCTCACCATGTCAGAGGGGTTTAGAAAGGCTTCCTCTAAGAAAGTGATGTTTTAGCTAAGATGGAAGGATCTCTGATGTGTTGGGAGTGAAAGGTGTTGAGAAGGAAAAAAAGGAGCATTTCAGGGTAAGGAAAAGACAGCAGCAAAGGCTCTGAGACAGGAGAGAGGTTGGAGAATCCCATTAAATAAAGAGAAGGACAATGTCTTTCAAGGAAGAATGTGGGGGAGGAACAAAGAAATCGGGATAGAACAGGAGGTGGGAGCAGTGGTGTGCTGGTAGGTGATTAACAACCAGTTCTCAGAGAGGTGGGTGAATATATACATATAAACATTTATTTTAAATTTTACTGATAGAACAGGTAAGTAACACATGTTTTACAAATAATAATAAATATACAGTTTCTGTATATTGTAAATTCCATGTAGCCAGTGAGTCAACTGGGATGTTTTCATTGAGTTTTGCTGAACTCTTGTATTGATAGCCAACTTATGGTTGCCGTTCAACCATGGTTTGACAAATGGAATCGCATTCCAGACCACTAATCCTTTCTCCAATATAAATATCGTACTGAAATGTTATATGTGATCTACTGTTAAACTATGATTTTCACACAAATTATTTTTGTTAAACTGAACCCTCTTTGAGTTCCACCTTTACGTATGTTGGAAATTCACTTGTTCGTTGGTGACGTGAGTAGCTTCTTTGCTGAATCAAATAATAGTTTTCATATACTGGAAACTGTTCTTTCATATACCGAAGAACATTTCTTCAGTATTGTGTGTGTTCTTCACAATGTAACAGCTACTAACATGAAGCTCTTTTAAGTTTAATCTGCTTTGTTAACAGTTTCTTTATCACTAAGACTAAGGGTCAACAAACATTTTCTTTAAGGGGCGAAAAAGTAAATATCTTAGGCTTTGCAGACCACATCTAGTCTCTGTTATGTTTTACAATCCTCTAAAAATGCAGAACTTCTTAGCTTGAGGGCTGTATATAAACATCCACGGGCCAAATTTTGCCCACTGACCTTAATTTGCCAACTCCTTAGACCAGTAGCTCTCAATGGAGAGAAGGAGCAATTCTGCTCCCCAAGGCATATTTGGCAATATCTGGACACAGTTGTGGTTGTCACAACTTAAAGGGAGTGTCATTTAGTAAGGAGAGGCCAGAATGCTGCTAAATATCCTACAATGCACAGCTTCTCCCTCCACAACCAAGAATTATGCAGCCCCAAATGTCAATAGTGCCAAAGTTGAACAGGCCTGCCTTAGACAATAGATAATACAATAAATGAGGTCTTGATTTGTAAATTTTTTTGTGTTGTAAATATTCTAGTTGTGGCCACTTTCAAACTACCAATGTAAAGTCACCTAACAATGGACTTGCGGAGAATGCAAACTGGCACACCATTATACGCCACCACACAGATGCACTAGGCATAAATAACCACAAGAGCATAGACGATCGTAAAATAGCAAAATAATTAGGGCATGGTAAGTTTTGAGTATTTATTACTTTTGTTTGTTTTAATGTCTTTAATTATAAGTTTATATAATTTAATTTTTGATAAGGGCTATGTTTAACAACAACCAGCTCAGAATGCCCTGAAAGTTTAACAGTTGACTCTCATGAACCAGGGTAAGCTGGCTCCAGGGCAGCACTGGGAGAAAGAAAGCTTCTTTCACTTAGTCCTTACAAGTTAGGAGCTAGACAGTATTATCTTCCTTTAACAAATGAGGAGACTAAGCCTGAGAGATTCAGGCAAAGAGACAAAGACTTATGCAAAAGAGACAAATCAGGGGCTTTAAATACAGGTTTGTTTTCTCCAAAGCTGATAGTCTTTACCCTATCCTGTACTCCACTATCAACCCAGGGAAAGTGAGATCAAAATATTTATTCTGTGAAATGCTTATCAGTACTGGGACATTTTAATTAATTGCTGAATAAAATAGGGATAGAAGTCATTATCATATTGTTAGTGATCAACTCTGGTATATTATTACAAATATAACAGAAAGGCCATCCTGCCAAAAAAGATTTGCATCCATAGAAATTATTATTTTTATTAATATTTTGACTTCCTTGCCCTTTCCAGGATTCTCTCTTTTCAGTTAAACATCTGCACTCCTCACCTCTCCTGTTCAGTGAATTAGTTCACAACAGGTCAGGAACTGTAAGATCCTGAAACAAACAGGAAACAAAACAGCCAAACTTTGAATACTGGTATATCAAGGGAGGGGTCTATGCCAGACTCTGAGGCCTGAGTGAGCACTACAGTCAGAGTACAGTGTCAGGGCATTCAACTTCACAAACGGTGGCCACGAAGGGGACACTGAAATGAACAAGGAGAGAGAAAGAGAAAGAGCATGGATAATCCAACTGGCCTCTGTCCCCACTGGCTCAGGCTTGGCTGTGAGTGTGAGTCTTTGTCCCAACATGGAATCAATCTGTTGGAAAGTGCTTGGTGGCTGAGCCTTTAATAACTTCTTTTTTCTTATTAGACGCCACAACCCTCCAGAAACTGAGTTCTCAGAACCAGACAAAATTTCCAAGACCTAAAGGTAACATGGTAGGGGTGGTGTTGAAAGCATGGACGTTAGGGTCAGGGGCCTGGGTCTGAACTCTGGGTCTGATCATGTGACCTTGGGCAAGTCAATCTCTGGGACCTTAGTTTCTTCGTACAAAAAATATATATAATAGAAGGGAATGAATTCCTATGTCATAGGGTTATTGTAAGGATCCACCTGAAATATCACATGAGAATGTGTGGTAAAAAACATTGAAGAGAAGAAAATGGCATACCCCACTAGATATGAAATCTTCCAGAAGCTAGTAGCCATATGGGAGCCCCATCCACCCCTGCAGTCAGCTGAGTTTTTTTCTTTGTTTGTTTTTGAGACAGTCTTGCTCTGTCACCTAGGCTGGAGTGCAGTGGCATGACCATAGCTCACTGTGATCTCGAACTCCTGGGCTCAAGCAATCCTCCTGCCTCAGCCTCCCAAGTAGCAGCTGCGACTACAGGTCTGTGCCACCATGACTGGCTATTTTTTTTATTTTTTGTTGACAATTTTTTTTTTTTTTTAGATGGAATCTCACTCTGTCGCCCAGGCTGGAGTGCAATGGCATGATCTCGGCTCACTGCAACCTCCCTCTGTCACCCAGGGTCAAGCGATTCTCTTGCCTCAGCCTCCTGAGTAGCTGGGATTACAGGCATGCACCACCACGCCAAATTTTTGTATTTTTAGTAGAGACGGGGTTTCACCATGTTAGTCAGGCTGGTCTCGAACTCCTGACCTCATGATCTGCCCGCCTCGGCCTCCTGAACTGCTGGGATTACAGGTGTGAGCCACCGCACACGGCCCTTGTTGGTAATTTTTAAGTTTTTTGTTACCCAGGCTGGTCTCAAACTCCTGGCCTCAACAGATCTTCCTGCCTCAGGCTCCCAAAGCACTGGGATTACAGGCGTGAGCCATCACGCTATTTTAAGTGACTGAAATCAACCTATTTTAAGTGACTCACTGAAGTCCCTGGGTCCATGTCGTGGAGAAACTCTTCTACGGACAGATGAAAAATGGAGCTGAAGCTTCATCAGAACTTGGACAGCCAGTGCTAATGATTAGAACCCTTTAAAAAGAAAATATTCACAAACTGCTTTATTGGCTATGTAACCCAAGAGATAAAATGTTACTATATTGTAGTTAGACAGTCTCAAATGAGTTTCTTCACTTATCCTACATCAAATGCATGTTGCTTTCATTATCTTCCCTGCCCCACTCTTCTTTTTAGAGGAGCCCTATATTGGTTATTTTTTTAAATTAAATAAGTCATTTAAATTTAAATTATACAATGGTCATTGTAGAAAGATTAGAAAGTATAGAAAATCAAAAAGAAGAAAATAAAATTCCCCCATAATCTTACAACCCATATGTTATGGACTGAATTGTATCTCCCCAAAATTCACAGGTTGAAGCCCTAATCTCAAATGTGATCACAGTTGGAGATAGGGCCTTTGAGAAGATAATTATGATTAAATTAGGTCATAAGGATTGGACCCTAATCCAATAGGACTGGTGTCTTTATAAGAAAAGGAACACCTACTGGAAGTTTGCATGCACAGAGGAAAGACCATGTGAAGACACAGCAAGAAGTTGGCCATCTTCAAGCCAAGGAGAGAAGCCCCAGGAGAAAACAAACCTAACAACACCTTGAGCTTGGACTTCCAGACTCCAGAACTGTAAGAAATAAATGTCTACTGTTTAAGCCACCCTGTCTGTGGTATTTTGTTATGGCCGTCCTAGTAGACTAATACACCATAGATTCACAGAATACACTGTTAATAGTTGATATGTTTTCTTCTAAATGTTTAAACACAATTTTTTTTTTTTTGAGAAATAGTGTTACTCTGCTACCTAGGCTAGAGTGCAGTGGTGCAATCTCAGCTCACTGCAACCTCCACCTCATGGGTTCAACTAATTCTCCCACCTCAACCTCCCTAGTAGCTGAGAATATAGGCATGCACCACCACACCTAGCTAATTTTTGAATTTTTAGTAGAGATGGGGTTTCACCATGTTGGCCAGGCTGGTCTCGAACTCCTGACTTCAAGTGATCCACCCACCTTGGCCTCCCAAAGTGCTGGGATTACAGATGTGAGCCACCATGGCCAGCCTTAAATGCATATAAATTTATATAAATCCTCATCTTTTTCATACTGACAGTATGTACTGTTCTGTATCCGCTTTCCTCAATTAATATATCATAAATATTTTTATCACTAAAACTTTCATTACATATATGACTTAATGGCAGTACATTCAATTCATAGATATAGGCCCTCCTTTAACTAATTCTCAACTCTTGACATTTAAGTTGTTTCCAGTTTTCCTCCATTATATAAATGATATTGCATTGATCATCCTTTGTAGCTAAGTCTTTGTCTACATCAATGATTATTTCCTTGGCCTGATTTTTAAAGGTGGAATCGCTGAGTCAGAGTGAACACATTTTTAAGACTCTACGGTAAACTTACAGTAAACTTAACAAATTACTTTTAGAAAGATTGTTCCAATTTAGATTCCCCTATTAGAGTTCAAATATGTCTATTTCTTGCCCTATTACCAGCACATCTGGGCCTTGGTGGTTCTTATTCTAGAAGAGGCTTTCTGTGAAATGTCCTCAGGCTTCACCCACCACTCCCAGCAGATAAGCAACATAGACATTCAAGCAGTATTTTTTGAACTGTGTGATATGACCCATTAGTGGTTCATAAAATCAGTGTAGGGGGTCATGACTGGCACTTGTTTGTTTTCAATGAAATGGTATGTAAAAGAATAGCAGAGCAAATATTTGCATTGCAAGTAAAAACACCCATTAATGGAGCTTTTATTTACTTGTATATGTGTGTGTTGATGAGACCTAGATTTCAAGGTAACACTGTCGTAAGGTCACAGTTTAGAAAGTTTGAAAAGTACTGGTGAGTCAAAAGTTCATTGAATTGGGGCCCAAAAGACTTGAATTCTGGGCCTAATTTGAAGGGGAAGGAAGGCACACAAAATTAGCTACTAAAAAATATATACCATAAGTTATGGTTTATAATAGAGGAAATTATAAATTTCAGGGCATGGAAAATAATCTGCACCTCCCTTCTCCATGTATTTTAGTCATATTACATCTATGATTGTAGATCTGGCTCTGCCTCTCCCTGGTTTTGTTTAATATTCTGCAGTCATCATTTGAAATTGTTAATAATTTTAAACAAGAGGTCCTATATTTTTGCTTTGCATTGAGCCCCCACAAATTATGTAGCCATTCTTATCCATTAATTCAGACAACATGCCATCTTCCTGACAGAAAAGTGGAATTCATTTCTTTGGCAATGCTGAGAGCTGAAGCAAGAACTCTCAACCTTGGTGGATAAGGTAGGAGCTGCTTTGAGGGTTTATGACATACACTATTGCAAGGAATCAGCTGTGCCCTAGACCACACACAAGGCAATCTGTAGCTGTTAAGAAATTTTGTTCTGCCCAAGGCTTGTGTTCAATTGCTTCAGTCCCAGCTGGAATAGATCGTCCAAACTGCATTCAACTCTTATAAAAAAAAGTCTTAAAATAGGATGGCCCACTTAATACCATGTGCTGCTATATGGGTTAATTGGATGTGAAACATTCACAGCAGGTCCTCAATAAAAGATACAATAGAAAGATGAAGGTCACTGTTGGGCCTGAGTGCTATATTATGTCCAACCAGCATTGAAAACCCAAAGGTTGCTAAATGATTAATAGGTAGATCAAAATACCACATTTGGGGATATGGCCTGTTTTATATTTGGAAAAGCCCCCATCTATTTGTGAAATCTAGCTGATAGCTCAATAGTAAACTATCTTTCTTCAACAGAGATAAAGCTACTTATCATCAAAAACGTGTGAAGTTAGAGCTTTCCCAGTGATGGTAATAACATGTTTACACTATTCTTTGTGTGCTTCAGGGGCTGGGAATAGGTCGTAAATATGGAGCAAAGTCAGATATGATGACAATCAGAATACTGGCCTCCTTAGAAATGAGTCTGAAACAGAGGAGCCAACCAAGTACTTAACCACAGGAGCCAATCAGTCTTTACACACAGAACAAGGGTTTATCAAGCATCTTCCACTCAAAGGCTTTGAACACCCTTTGCAGAATTCCCTAATCAGACATGGTTCATGTGAGTTTTCTCTCTCCTCTGTGCTCTCAAAGCACCCCATGCTCACCCTCTCAAATTATTTTTTATTCTTTATTGTGAATGTTAATTTTTTTACCTGTCTTCTTCACTAGTTTGCAAGTTCTTTGAAGGTAAATACTGTGTTATTGTTTGTTTTTTTTGTTTTTTTTTTTAATCTCTGTATCCTTAGTCCTGGAACAGCAAACAGCACTAAGCCTGCTGTAGGTGCTCGATAAATTTGTATAGTTAAGTAAAAGAACAAATGGCATATGATATATAAAGAACTCCTACAAATCAATATAAAAAAGGCCAACAACACAAAAGTGAAATGGGTGAAGCATATAAGAAGGCAGTACACAGAAAAGGAAATGTAAAGGACTGTTAAACACATAAAAGGACATTAAAACTCAATCATAATATGAACCATAATAAAAGACAAAAAAGAAAATGTGTAAATGGCTGTTAAATCTTTTTTTTTTTTTTTTTGACAGTCTTGCTCTTTCGCCCAGGCTGGAGTGCAGTGGTGTGATCTCAGCTCACTGCAACCTCCGCTTCCCGGGTTCAAGCGATTCTCATACCTCAGCCTCTCGAGTACTTGGGACTACAGGCACACACCACCACGCCTGACAACTTTTTTTGTATTTTCGGTAGAGACGGGGTTTTGCCATGTTGGCCAGGCTGATCTGGAACTCCTGGCCTCAGGCAATCCATCTGCCTTGGCCTCCCAAAGTGCTGGGACTACAAGCGTGAGCCACTGTGCCCAGCCTAAATGGCTGTTAAGTCTCAATCACAATAAGAGAAATGCAAACCACACTGAGGTATCATTTTTCACCTATTAGATGGGCAAAGATAAAAAGAAGCTCTACCCACATATATTGCTGGAAATTAGGCAAATTGGTACGATCTCCAAGGAGGACAAATTGCAAGTGTTTATAACCTTCGACTTAGCAATTCCACTTCCCAGAATTTATCCTAAAAGATAATATGCACATAAGTATGAAGTGATATGTGAACACATAGCTAACTAACTGCACATGTTCTGGTATGCTCCAGAGCTGGTTGTTAGAAATATTGAAATGCTTGGCCATGCCTGTAATTCCAGCACTTTGGGAGGCCAAGGCAGGTGGATCACCTGAGGTTAGGAGTTCAAGACCAGCCTGGAAAACATGGTGAAACCCTGTCTCTACTAAAAATATAAAAATACAAAAAATACAAAAAAAAAAAATGCATGCCTGTAATCCCAGCTATTCAGGAGGCTGAGGCAGAAGAATCACTTGAACCTGGGAGGCAGAGGTTGCAGTGAACCAAAATCACACCACTGCACTCCAGCCTGGGTGACAGAGCGAGACTCTGTCTCAAAAAAAAAAAAATGCTTATTTATTGATGAGTAAATGCTGCTGTCCTGCCATACGATCCCTCCCCAAGAACCCCTAGCCTTTGCTGCAACCCAGCAAATCAAGAGGTAAATGCCTGTGACCACATGGGACCTCTGGAACCCTGCTTCAGCACTGTGGCCAGCATTATTCTGATTCATCAGTGCCCATTCTGTAATAGCTGTTAAATATTTGGGTATCACTCCTATGTTCAAGGTTATTTACTGCAGCACAGAATGCAATAGCAAAACTTGAGAAATAATCAATAGCTAATGTTTACTGGAGCTTACTATGTGCCATTCACTGTTCTAAGTACTTGACATTGATTAACATATTTAATCCTCACAACAACCCTAAGAGGAGGTACTATTGTAATTGCCAGTTTACAAGTGAGAAAACTGAGGCACAGAGAAGTTAAATAAGTTGTCCAAGATCATATAGCTAATATGTGATCAAGCCAGAATTCTATCAAGGTAGTCTGATTCCAAAGTCTATGTTCCTAAAATCAAAGTCCTTCAGGAGGGACTGATGAAATAAATTAGGGTTTATCCATGGAACAGAGTATTATACAGCCATAAAGAAGATGGAGAAGCTCTATAAATATGATGGAATGGAATAGTCACCAAGCTATACTTCTAATTGAAAATAAAGCACAGAAAACTGTGTGCAGTAGATATCCAGTGTATGGATAATACATATATGTATATGGGTACATATGTATGTGTATATCTATCAAAAATTGGATATGTATCACATATAAATATGTGTATGTATATGTAAAATCACAAAATAGATAAGTGGGATATGCCTGGAATGATATACAAAAAAACTGGTAACACTAGTCACGTGCCTCTAGGGGACAAGGTATTAGGAAAAATGCTTGCTGTGTGTGCCTTTTGTACCTTTTGAATTTTATACCATGTGAAAGTTTTGCCTGTCTAAAAAGTTAAACTACAAATTGATCATAAAAAAGAACAATGTGACACATACATAAAAACTCTGAAGCAGAAAATAAAAAGAGCTTAGAGGGAAATAGAAAAGGCATGTAGCTAGCCAAGGGTGGGCGAGATTCCAAGCTCCTGGTAACCAGGAATTGCTGAGCACTTGAGTAGGGGATTTCAAGGATATTTGGAGGGTGGGGGATGGGCATCCTAAGGGGAGAGGCTGAGTTAGGGAGACTGTGACAAACTTTAACAATAGCCATCCACACATGAGGTGAAGGGCCCTGGAGGCACCCGTGCCCTGTACAATTCCAAGTGGATGCGTGGAAGCCAAGATCTGTGTGCACAGGGGCTCTAAGAGGGGCTGTCAGGGCCCCCAGTGGCTGAATGAGATTAGAAGCCAGGGGAATTCAGAGGAATAGAAACTAGAAGTGCCCAAACCTCATCCTGCCCCCACATCCATTGCTGACAAGGAGCGAAGCTGTGGAGCTATCCCCAAGAAACTGGGCAAAAAAAGAAATAATTGAAGGGTTGGGAGAAAACAGGGCCAAAGAAAAACAGTTCAAGAAGCTGGGATTGTTGGTTCTGAAGGAGGAAAATTATTGTCCCCTACTTGACGACGCATCATTGTTAGTGGGACAGTGACCAGCTGTTCTTGGCCGCCACAAAGGAGACAAAGAGGCAAAGGGCTTCGACTGCAGCATGAGCAATTTAAATTAGACCCAGAGAAAATCTTTCTGTCAGAAAAAAGCTAAGTTGCTAAGCATCGAGGGGACAGATTCTCAGGGAAGATGTGGTATCGCTATCCCTCCCTCCAGATTAGACTTGGGGATGTGGATGTCAATAGGGTTTGAATTCTTCTTCTGCTGGACAAGTCAGTCACCTTGCCTGCCTCCTAGTGTCTTCATCTTAAACTCCGGGAATTAATACCAGCCTCATAAACTTGTCATAAGGACCAAGAGATCCTGTATATAAAGCCTTTAGAACAGGGTCTTATATACAGTAAATTGTCATTAAATAGCAGGTAGTGCCCTTTAGGGCAACAGAGACAGTGGCTATTAGCCATGCTTTTAGGTGATTGAGACAGTTACCTGGGATGGTCTGAAGGTCTCTTTGATTCAAGAAAATATCCCAAGTGCATCATCAATAATGTTATATATATATAATTAGATCTTGACTTTTCTGGAATAAATATTTATGTTATTTATTTTATTTTTTAGAGACAGGGTTTTGCTCTGTCACCCAGGCTGGAGTGCAGTGCCACGATCATGGCTAACTATAGCCTAGAACACGTGGCTTCAAGGGAGCCTCCCACTTCAGCCTCCTGAATAGCTAAGATTGGAATAAACATTAAACCATTCATTTCATCTGCTTTGGTTGTAAGTTCTGGTGTCAGTCATTTTCCCAAAAATCACATTTCTAACAACCTCACTCTCTGGATGCGTATCATACAGAGCAGAGTTTTTCAAAAATTTGGACTATGACTTACAGTAATAACTTTCATATCACAGCACGGTGACACACACATTTGTATACATGTAACTGAAATGAAAGCTTACAAGAAAATACTTAGGCTTTCTATGTGTCACCTATTTTGATATTTTCTATTTTACTCTTTCATTTTTTAAAAACACTTATTCTGACCCACTAGGTTGATTTCAAGAAACAATATTTATCCATATCAGTAAAAGAAGTGCAATTACATTCAAAGTTTTCCTTTTGATGAATATTATGATTTTATTTTATTTATTCTTAAAAGTTTCTTTTAAAAGCTTCTGTGTGTATTTATATACGTGTGTGCACCCCTGCCAGGCAAGTGCCCTGTTTATTCTGCCTTTGAGCTTATCTACCACTTAGTGTTTGAGAGGAAAGATATTCCTAAGACTGGGAAGTGGAAGTAGGTTAGTGAGAATGCGTACTCCACTTTACCTTGGGTAGAGGGGAGGACCTCCAAGGAATAGCTACATGGGGCTTCTAGAAAGATTGGGCGCTACTCCCAGGGATTCCAAGTCCTGCTAAGTATTTGGGCACCCCAAGTGTGGTGCAGAAACCACTGAACTGCAGGGTCCCATGCAGACTGGGACAATGGATAGTCTAATAGAGAACATTATGGATGGTATCCTGTGGTGGGCAAGGTAAGATCTTGACACAACTCTGGAGCAGAATCTTAAATGATGATCAAGATTTATTTTCTAGCCAGCTTAACAGAACAGAAAACGGATTTATTTTTTACCCAGACTTGAATTTCTGGTCTGAGTTTTAAACCTGCCCACTCTTGGTCCTTGGTGGTACTTCTGCAGCTCTGGCTGAAATCTTCCTTCCTGGACCATGCAGACTGTGGCCTTTGAGGGCACTGCTTCTGCCACATCAGAGAAGCTTCTCCCCTGGTCCAGCCCAGCCAATCAGACTCTACCCCTTGAGTATATGCTCCCAGGTTGGTGTCTTACCAGCAAGACTGGGACAATAGGCAAAAGATCTACACCAATTTCTGGGATTTTATGTTTCAGAAATAAACTCATCCTCCTACTACAACGATTCATCATCATCCATCATATTGGGAAGATATAAGACAAGGTAATACTGTGGGGAGACACATCTCACTGTGGGATGATGAATTATTCCAGACATAAGACATTGTCATCCCAGCCTTCTCCTTCCGGTCTCGAGGTGAAGGAAGTGAGTGTGTCTGTATCAGGCTTGAGGATCAGATATTGTGCATGAAGCTGAGAAGAGTGAATGCTTTGTTATTTTATCAAAGTTCGTTTTCAAAGGTTATCCCTCCCTGCTACTGTATTTATCAAAGAGAATCAAATTATCATCAGAACAAGGCCCAGCATTATTTTATAAAGAAAGCTAGATCATTACTCATTGGGTTTTAATTACTGGGTTTAATTTTGTTGATGCCTACTTTAATTTTCTTCTTCTGAAGAAAACTCTTGTATGTTTCTTCCTCAGTAAAATCCCTTCTGATGTTATTATTATATATCTGTGAGTACTACATTCCTGGTTTATTAATATTTTTTCTTAATTGATTTTTAAAATTCAGTTCCAAACACCAGTCTCTATGAATCACTTTGGTAATATCTTCTCTGTAAGTCCATGGCCAAAGATCAAATACAACTAACTGTGAGATTTTTCATTAATGGCTAATTTGTTAAAGTATTGCCATTATAGCATAACATTAAATCATCTATTAGCAAATGTGAATTCCCTGGACTTGATTGCTGAACGCATAATATTGAAAGCAAAGATATTATCTACATGGTAAAATGAGCAAATGTGTCTATAGCAACCACATATGAAGTCTAAAGTTATTATCAGACCTGGACTTCATTGTTTCCCCACTGAGGTGTAAAAAGAAGTAAGATGAAGAAGAGGATTACAAAAACCAAACTGATCTTTAGCAATAGCAGGAAAAGGAATATGTGAATATCAATCAGGCCAGTGAGGGGTGGGGGGTGTTTAGGCCCCTTAGCCCCTTCAAAAACAGAAGTTATCTTCTGGTACAATGTAATATGAGAAGGACTACATTTTCCACACCAGAAACCTTCATGCATAGCGTAATGAGGATGAGTGCAGTTATGGCACAAGCACTGCCTACTTTGCCCTAATTCATCCATTAATTCACTCATTCAATACATATTTATTGAGTCATGTTGCTAGGCCAGCCGCTGGTCATACAACACAAGGCTGATGCATTTTCTATCTTCATGAAGCATATTATCTAGCAAACTGTAAACCTACTTCACATTTTAAAAAATGAAAAAAATGCATACAAGTAAAAAGCAACTGAACATAATTGAGGCAAATCTTTTTTTTTTTTTGAGATGGAGTCTCACTCTGTCGCCCAGGCTGGAGTGCAGTGGCCCGATCTCGACTCCCTGCAAGCTCCGCCTCCCGGGTTCCCGCCATTCTCCTGCCTCAGCCTCCAGAGTAGCTGGGACTACAGGCGCCCGCCACCACGCCCGGCTAATTTTTTGTATTTTTAGTAGAGACGGGGTTTCACCGTGTTAGCCAAGATGGTCTCGATCTCCTGACCTCGTGATCCGCCCGCCTTGGCCTCCCAAAGTGCTAGGATTACAGGCTTGAGCCACCGCGCCCGGCTGTCAAATCTTAATATAAACCTCCATGGCTGCAAATAGAAGAATCAAAGAAAATTAGATAATCATCATACTTGTCATGTATTGACCTGCCATTTTTCATGTAATTAATACTTATTCAAACTTTCCAAAGTAGATCCTGTTTCCTTCTGTACAGCCAAGGAAGCTGAAGCTGGCTACGGAGCTTGCCTAAAGCCAAGGGCTAGAAAGTCCAAATAGTGGGGTGTGAACCAAGGCCCATCAGTCTTCCAACACTTACACTCTTTCCCTATACAGAGGAATCTCTGGGCAGAGGATTTTTCCTTCTCTAAGAATCAGAGGGATCTGGGACTGTCTGCTGGACATGAAACATAGCTATTCTTCTAGCAGTTTAGGCACAAAAAACCACAACTAATACACAGAACAGAGAAGAAATATTCCTGCATTCTCACAATGCAGCTACCACTAAGGGTTTCCTTCCAGGAATGTGAGTAGGGAGAATGAGATGGGATCCACTCAGGTGTGCAGTTAGTAGATTCCTGGAAGGAAATACGTAGTGGTAGCTGCATTGTGAGAAGGCGAGAATATTTCTTTCTGTATTAGGTAGTAGGAAAGAATATAAGCTCCTTAAGTGCAAAGGCCACTCTTACTGATCTTGGTATGTATCCTTGGGTTGAGCACATAGCCCAGGTGCTCAATAAATGTAAGATGAGAGGGTGAAGAAAAAAGCAAAGGCAAATGGAAGTGGGAGTGAGTCTGGCCCTTGGTCGTCTAGTCCCTATCCACTGAGTTTCTCACAGCTGGCTCCATCACAGTTTGTCAGGTGTTCCGGGGTTTCTACTTTCCATCAAACACAGTCTTATAATTCTACAATCTCTAAGCTCAAGTATTGCATCATGTTGGCATAACTGAAGGAGACATACCTAGAGCATATTCGCTTAGCTCCTCATAGAAATGTTTTGTAAGGATTTGCCATCTGCTTTTTAGAGACCATTGAATAAACAACTTTTATCTGCAAATCATTTTTGTTTCTTCTGAAATATAACATAAATAACATGGTCATTTATGTTACCCTCATTATTAAAGTCCATGCAGAAAATTGTTCCGCTAAGCTTATATGCTTTCTTATGTTAGGTATGTAACTCATCATGTTTCTATTTTTTGCTCTAGCTTCTAAAACTTCCAAGTTTGAACCCTCTAATTGTAGTTTAATTCATTTATTTATTCATTCAGTGAACATTTATGGAAAATGATTACTTTAGTTTCATTATCTTGTCCCTGCCTCATAGAGCTTTGATTTCCTTTTTATCATTATTGTAACTGCTTTTCTATTATATGTTTAGTACAATGTATTTTTATTACATGCATCTTTTGGAAGTTGCTGTAGAGAATAAATGTAAATAATAAATAATTAAAATAGTTTTACTGTAAATATGATAAGTCCTGGGACATACTATTGCATAGGAGCTAAGCACACAGGGCTTGGAATCCCATAGCCTCTAGAGTCAAATCTCAGTTCTGCTCCACTAGCAGTATAAACTGAGATGAACTATGCTTTCTGAACCTCACTTTGCCCACCTGCAAAATAGGGCTAAGAATTCCCACATGAGATGTTTATGAAGATTAAATAAGACAATGTATAAAAAGCACCTAGCATGGCCTGGCACATGGTAAATGTTTTAACAGTCACTACTTGTGTTAAAGCAGGTAAACATACAACAAATAATTCTGTCCATAAATACCTTGTCTCTGAGGTCGGTTGAGCTTGGTTTCCATGAAAAATAAATGGACATTTTTAAAGCCTCACATTTTAAATTAATTTTAAACTGTTTTCTTTTGGTCTTCTCCAAGATTCTCGGCCATGTTCCATCACCCCTTGTTGTTGAGTCCTCTTGTCTAATTATAAACTAAATTCTGGCTTGTTAGCAAGAAAGATTTTTCTCAGGCTCTGTTCTATAAACAATACCAGAGAAATCACAGATGCCTTGAAAACCAGGAGGGCTCTCCCAGTCTGCAATTTTTTTTTTTTTTAATCTTAAAGAACCACAAATGACTCTGACTTTAAAAGTTGTGTATTTGCTCTCAACAAGCACAGCACATTAAGCCTTTCTCTTCTATAGCACACATTATACTGTCTTATAATTGTTTATTTCCATGGCTGCCTCATCCAAAAACTTCCTGAAGGCTGGCAGACCATCTCATTCCCCATTCATCCTCTGTTCCTAGCCTAGTAGCAAGCATATAGTAGGTGCTCAATAAATATTTGTTGAATCATTGAATGAACCAATCAATTAATGAAAAACTACATGAAGACAAGGACCATATCTAATGCAGTGTGTTGTCTTCTGGGGCACTTATCATAGTGAATGAATGAATCAGCAAATGAATATCATTTAACCGAGTCCACTTGAGATACAAATAACTTTTAAAATAAGAACAATTTAAACATGATTCTTTACCTTCAGCCACAAAACAAGAACTTTTTAAAATCTCAGTCAATTTATTTTTAGAGAACGTTCAAAGCCACGCCCAGTGTTTAAGAGATTGACTATTTTCCTCATGACTATTTTCATCAAATTCTCAAACATTACTACTAATACAAAATCATCAAGTTCACATAACATTTTGCTGTGGAATCTTGGTGTTGTACTTTCTCCTTAGTGACAGAAGCTTGGGCAAAGAGCAGAGAGGGGTAAATGGACCCCCGCCCAAGATGGAGACTGAGTTTAGCAGGGCCCATAGCTGGAGCCTGGGCTTTGTTCTTCCTAGGACTTGGCACAGCTGGAAGACTGTTAAGGGAAGCCGGCCAGGAGTTCATTTAGTACAGAAACCCAGGAGACTCTAGGGAAATAACTCTTCCAAAACTGGATTCAAAGGTAACAAGCCAGTGTAAAGCTGAGGGGTGGTTCTACGTCTTTCCAATTGTGCACTCATCACTTACTCAAGTGCTCTCCCTGTCACTCAAGATCCTGGCACACACATGAACCTCAGCTCCTTTCCTGGGTTGTCACACACACACCCATACATAAAACACAACGTCACAAAGCCTGTCTTTGTGTGGCAGACAAAAAACTTTGGTAAGTCCAGATTTCTGTCAAGTAACTTGGTACCCCTTCCTCTCTCCTCTTCGTAGGAAAAAAAAAATTAAAATATATTCATTTACCTATACAGAGAAACATCCAAACTCCTTTTATTCTAACTTCTCTCTCCCAATGCTTATATTTTCACACCCAAATGGCTCTTATATTCCTAAACAAAGGCACTTCCTTCCCTAAGATGAATCTCATACCAGCTATTAAAGAATTATTTTTGCCACCTCAACAGAGATTCCTAATTGTTTCTCAATATCCATTCTTGCTATATTCACTCAGAACCCTTAATTTTAGCTGGGTATATGGACACCCAGCATAAAGGCTGTCTTTTTCAGTCTCTCTTTCAGCTAAGAGTAGCCAAGGAATATGAGCAGACCTCATGTGAGCAACTTACTAGTCATGGAGTACGTCCTCCACCTTCTTTTTACCTCCTTCCTATTGGATGAAATGTGGACATGATGGTGAAGGCTGGAGCAGCCATCTTGGACCATAAATGAATGGTATGTGTTGAAAATGACAGAGTAAAAAGATAGAAGGAGCTTGAGTCCCCAGCACTACAGAGCTGCTGTTCCTGTCCTGGACTATTTATACTCTGACTATTATGTGAGAGAGAAATAGACTTTTCCCTTGTTTAAGCTACTTTTATTTTGGTTCTTGGTGACAGCCACTAACACTGTATCCTGCCAAATATACCACTTTACCCAGATATTGGCAAACATCAGCAGCATCAATAGATATGTGACAGGCATTCTAATCAGGTTATCCATTAGAGTGAGCCCTGCTCATTTCTCTTGCTTTATTGTTTTCTTCTTTCATGTAGAATCATTCTGCAGACTCTTATCAAGTTAACAGACTTCTATTGTTTTTGGTTATAAATTTAAAATGTTAGCATTTTATATGGGATGGGATTTTTTTCAACCAATTCCAATTAATCTTGCATGTTGCTGAATTTAACTTTAGTTTACATTTAAGTTCAATTTAAAATTTCTATGTAGATTTTATTAAGCTTATAACTTTTATTTCTTTCAGATTTTTTTGAAAAAAAAAGTATAATCTTCAAACGTTCAGAAAAAAACAGAATTTTTTAACCCCAAGAAATCACTAGCAATCAAATTCAAGAAATCTTAGGATTTTGTCAGATTTGTTTCAATTCTTTATTTGAAAGAAATAAAACCCTATGTACAGTTGGAAAATCACTAGCAATCAATTTCAAGAAACCTTAAGATTTTTTCAGATTTCTTTAGATTTTTTATTTTAAAGAAATAAAACCTTACATATAGCTGGAAGCCCTGTATACCCTCCCGGATCCCATTCTCCATCTTTCTTCCCTTAAGGTTGCCACTCTCATGAGTGTTGTGTGTTATCATTCCTACATATATATTTATACTTTTACTATCTACCTAATCATAAGCCACGTATAGTAATCTTCTGTGTGTTTTCAAATTTTAAATAAATAAATGATAAGAATATCATTCTGCAACTTGCTTTCTTATTTAACATTAGATTCTGGTTCATTAATTTTAATTATATTTTATAATTATTCTGCAATGTGCTCATTCTTCCATTAATGAACATTGAGGCTGTTTTTACTTTTCCACTATTTCAACCAATGCTTCAATGAACTTTCTAACTCCAGATGCGAAGGCTCATTTTCTAGAATGTTTGCCTAGAAATGAAATGGTAGTGTTATAGTATATGCATATTTTAAATTTTAATAAACTTTGCTAAACTGCTCTCCAAACTTGCTCTACCAATTTATACTCTCATTCCACTATATCTTTACTAGTATATGACATTGTCAGATTTTTTTATTTTTGCCAATACAAGGGGTATTCAATGGTATCTCATTATCATTTTAATTGGCATTTCTTTGATTACTGGCAAGGTTTACTCACCATTTAGTTTCCTTACTGTGATTTGCCTCTTTGCCTATTTTACTATTGGGATATTTGGCTGTTCTGTTCATTTACAGCTATTCTTCATATTTTGAGAATCTTAACCTTTTTTAGTTATGTGCATTGCAAATATTATCTTCTCCCAAGCTATAAGCTGTCTTTTAATTTTGATGTACATAATTTAAACATTTTAATGTTAATTCTTTCTGTCTATGAATTGTGCTTTTGTCTTCTGATGAAGAATCCTCTCCTACCTGAAATCATAAAAACATTCCTGTATATTTTAAGCTAATAATTGTAAAGTTTTGTTATTCACATACAGATCTTTAATCCATGGAGAAGTAAATATAATTTGAGTTTAAATGTTTTAATTCTAGGAATAACAAATTATGGGTCTTATGACATTTGAGGGATTGGTGAAAGAAAACAAAAGGAACCAGATTTTGAAAAAGTAGAAATAACATTCAAAAGCATCCAGAAAAATATCATAAGTAGCTGAAAGAATTCTGTCATATGTTGGGGAGGGGATCAAATTTTAAGTACTTTTAGGATCTTCTCATTAATTTCTCATGCAGTGTGTGATCCTTGGTTTATGTACTGAGCTCAGTGGGTGCACCACTCCAGGTCTGCTCATCCTCACTCCCTCAACAGCCTTTGACACTTGCCTTTCTTCCCAGGCTGGAGCAATCCCAGAGAAGGCTCACATCTCAGCTGCTGCCACCATCGCCTCATATCCTAATGTCTCCAATTTTCATAGCCTCCTCCGGGACGAGGACTGGACTTAGGCATGGAGATGCAGCAGGTCCTGTGTGCAGGTTCAACCTGACTAAACCCTAGGGAGTTTCTGGTTTTCCCAGCTCACAATTGCCCAGAGGGACTGGCAAATGAGGGAGACTCAATGGCCTGAAGAGCTGATTTTCACCAATGAGGCAGAAGATGAAAACAAACTTGCAAATAAATTTCTTGCCCTTATTCTTCTTCCACAGCATATTGTTCTGAGAATCAGTGACTCCATGTGACCACTCTGGAGAAGTCCCACATTAGTCAGTGATGTTTTCCTGAGAAGCCGTGCCTAAACTTGGCAGCATACCAGCTTGTATTGCTTTCCCTCCTTATCTGCCGTTTTCCCTCTCCTTTGTCTTCTGTAGGATTGTATCCCTCTCTTCAACAAGCCATAGCACGTACATTTTGTTTCATATTCTCCTTCTAGGGACTCCAGACTAACAGAATTGGCTTAAATTTTTTTAAAAAATGTTATTTATCAGTAACCAAAATTCAAATGTTTATTAAAGCTGTAAAAAGTTCTATTAAAGATGTTAAAACTACGATCAATACATTTTGTAAATACTGTATAAATGAGTCAGTTCATTGGCAAGTCAATCATGTGGAGAATTGACTTGCTTCTGTAGAAGGGAAGACAAAGAGAAGTCCAGCAATCTGAGTACTATTTAGAAGATACATCCGATAGGAATTTGTTATGAACTGAATGTGAAGGTTAAGGGATGGATGATATTAAGGATTACCCCTAGGTTTCTGTTTGGGGCACCTGAATGAATGGCAAGCCCATTCGCTTCATTAAAGCAGAGGGAGGAGGTTTGTGTGTGTGTTAGGGCTGAAGACTGTCAGGGAAGGCCGAAGACTGGATTTGGGCTACAGACTGTCAGGGAAGATGATGAGTTCATGGAATCTGAAGGATCTGAGATATTTTGTAGGCATTTGCATAAATGAGTCTAAACTTCATGTAGATCTGAGTTGGAGTCATTGATTTTTGAGTGCTATGATGAACACTGCTAATTGACTAACAACCTCTTCTCTCATCTTCCTTGCTAACAGAACCCCACTTTTATTCAGGCAGTGATGTACTCAGTTTATGAATTAAAATTGATTAAGCCAATCATGGTAACCCCATTTCTCTTTGTCATTGATTGGTTGAGGGTGTACGTATAATCCATTTCTAAGACAAGGGAAATCTATTGGGGAACTTCTAAGAAAGATTTTCCTCCCTGATAAAACAGCATGAGAAGAAATCTCACTTCTGCCTTCAAAACTCCCTGCCTTCTCATTTTAAATGTGTTACGTGAGAATCTAAAGCTTGGAGTTCCAGCCGCCATTTTGAAACCATGAGACAGCTCTGAATGGAGGCGCTGAAAAGCAGAAACAGCCCAGGTATCTGATGACACCTCTGAGCCCCTGAGCCAACCCTGGAACAGACTTTCTCCAGACTTATTGTTCTCTGACATACTTAAATATCATCATTGTTAGGCCATTACTGGGGACGCTGACATCTGCAGCCAGTTTCCCAACGTCACACAGATATCTTCTGCATACCCTTGATAAATGGAGCCATAGAAAGTAGATGAGGCTGGCAGAGAAGGTCTTGGATAGAACTCAGAAAAATGCCAATGTTAAAAGGACATAGAGGAGTCTGCCGAGGGGTATGAGAAGAACTAGCTCAAGAGATGTTAACCATCCCATATCACAAAGCTAACAGTAGTTATAATCTAGCAGTATCACAAGGAAATAAATATTTTAAAATGTAACTCTGAAAATACTCTGATTCTATAATAGTGGATACAAATGATTATGCATTTGTCCAAACTCACAGAATGTACAACACCAAGAGTGAACCCTAATGCAAACTATGGCCTTTGAATGAAAAAGGTGTGTCAGTGTAGGTTCACTGATTGTAAAAAATGTAGCAGTCTGGTGCTGGGTGTTGCTAGTAGGAGAGGCTATGCATTTGTGCGCAGGTGTATATGGAAAATCTGTACTTTCTGTTCGATTTTGCTGTGGATCTAAAACTCCTCTAAAAAATAAAGAATGTAACTCAAAATGATCCATTTGGCTTTGAAATTCCAAATCTGTTCAAATATTTAGCCAAAGATAAGGCGAAAAACAGAAACCATAGGTTTTTAAAATCTAAATAAAGATTTTTAAATTTTTGGGACCTTCATTCTTTGTTTCACCACATTATTCCAAATTAAGAATTAGTTTGGAGTCATTTGTTGATAAAGTGAACATCTTTAAATTCCATGCTTAAGAGTTTCCTATGGGTTTGGGTCATGAAATTCACTTAGCCTTGGAGAAATAATTGCTTGTCAGCATGAAGCCAAGCTGATGAATAATTCTGACAGCATCATGCACCAAATTAGTGAACCGGCCAACTTCAAATTTCTCTATTAGCTACTGTTTTTGCCAAGTGTTTAATTGTGAATGGATGTGATAAGTTATCCCTCTCCCTTCACTTAGAATAAATATTTGTAGACTCAGTGACATTACACTATCCTTATAATGCATTTATTCTTTCCTTGTGTTAGTGATAATTTAAGGGCATAATACTCTGCTGGATCATAGCATAAAAGATGAGGTCAGAGAATACTTTATGTGAGATAATAGTGCAATTTTAGAAATGTTCAAGGTAAACTAATTTAGCACAAGGAAGACAAAAGGGCATGGGAAAGAGCTCTGGTTAGACAGAGCTGGTATTGAATCTTGGCCTCACCACTTAGAAACTGTGAGAAATTAAGCAAGTTTCTTATACTTCTTCAGTGTCCGTTTTTCATCTGCCAGATGGAGATAATAATATCAACTCCATAGGGTAGTTCTGAGAACTAAATCATGTCTGCAAAGAGCTAGCATAGTGCCTGGCTCATAGTACATTGTTAATAAATAACTAAAAGTCCTAAATCCATACATTTATAGATTTAATATTGGAAAAGGTTATTGGGGCTAAATATTTGTTAACTATGTTGCAAAAACATTATTCCCAATCAGTTACACATTTCCTTTCTTTTCTTTCGCTTGAGACAGAGTCTCACTCTGTCACTGTCACCCAGGTGGTGTGATCGTGGCTCCCTGCAGCCTTGACCTTCAGGGCTCAAGCAATCTTCCCACCTCAGCCTCCCAAGTAGCTAGGACTACAGGTGTGTGCCACCATGCCTCGTTAATTTTTGTATTATTTTTATAAAGATGGGGTTTCACTGTGTTGCTTAGGCTGGTCTCAAACTCCTGGGCTCAAGTGATCCTCCCGCCTTGGCATCCTAAGATGTTGAGATTACAGGCGTGAGCCACCACACCCAGCCAGTCACACATTTCTTAGCTTTGTCTATAGTATATTTCTCTGGGCAAAAAAGTCCCATTTTTATACAAATGATTTGCTTAAGATTTTTCATCCATTTATAAGTGGGATGGGCATAAATTTCCTTCTGAGTGTGCTCACTGTGTCCCTTGTTCCATGATTGTCTTTCAGCTCCAAGCCTACCCTTCCATGCTTTGATTTGAGATGCTGGAGCTGGAACTCTGCAAACTGTATTTCTGCCTTGCCAGCTGGCTTCTTATTAGACTAACAAAGGAGACTGCAGGGCTAGAAGAGGAAGAAAGGATTTGCTCCTGCCTGACAGCTTGCTATGTTCTTCTGTCTGCTTCCTTTTCCTGTGTGCGGTAGCCCAGCAATGCTTCTTTATCCATACAGTGGCTTTTCCCATAGCAACAACGGAATCCAGTTTGGGGTCTTCCAACACTTGCAGAACCAGCTTCATCATGCCCCTCCCCTCAGAGACACCAGTACAGGCGGGGCAGCAGCCCCTCCTCATAGATCTGAGTTTCAGTTCATGGGGCTCCTCCTCCGAACTTCTATATGCTAATAAATCCAACTTATTCCCTTTATTCCTTCACCCCCTGAAATAGAAGCTGCTTTCTGCAGCTGCTAAAATTGTGGTAACTGAGAGTTCTCTTTCTGTCCTTTCAGTTACCTAACAGTGTTATATATCTAGTTTTGTATTTTTTCCTTTATTTTACCATTTTTCGATAACTGGCAAGCTTTCTCTTTCCCAATTAGACCTTCACAGTCCATTATCCTTGTCTGACTTTGATAACAGAGTCTGGTAGCATTTTTTTTTTTTTTTTGACAGAGTCTGGTTCTTGTTGCCTAGGCTGAAGTGCAATGGTGCCTTCTCAGCTCACTGTAACATCCACCTCCCGGGTTCAAGCAATTCTCCTGCCTCACCCTCCCAAGTAGCTGCAATTATAGGCACCCGTCACCATGCCCAGCTAATTTCTGTATTTTTAGTAGAGATGGGGTTTCACCACGTTGGCCAGGATGGTTATGAACTCCTGACCTCAAATGATCCACCTGCCTCAGCCTCCCAAAGTGCTGGAATTACAGGTCTGAGCCACTGCACCCGGCCATGGTAGCCTCTTCAAATGAGTTACAAAGCTTTCCATAGTTTCTCATCTGTTCCTTGAAATTCAATAAAACTCTCCTATAGATGCTTCTGGCCGTAGTGTCTCTTTAATAGGTGTGTTTTGAAATTAATTTTCAATTACCTCTATGAATGTAGGTCTATTCAATTTTTCTGTATCTTCTTCAGTCAATTTTGGTAATTTGTGTTTTCCATGAAAATTATCCAGTTCAACTTTTTTTTGTTTTGCTTTGTTTTTGTTTATTTGTTTTGAGACAGGAGTCTCACTCTGTCGCCCAGGCTGGAGTGCAGTGGTGCAATCTCAGCTCACTGCAAGCCCTGCCTCCTGGGTTCACGCCTTTCTCCTGCCTCAGCCTCCCGAGTAGCTGAGACTACAGGCGCCCACCACCACACCCGGCTAATTTTTTGTATTTTTAGCAGAGACGGGGTTTCACTGTGTTAGCCAGGATGGGTCTCCATCTCCTGACCTCGTGATCCACCTGCCTCGGGCCTCCCAAAGTGCTAGGATTACAGGCGTGAGCCACTGCACCCAGCCTCAACTTTATTTTCAAATTTGTTGCTGTTAAGAGAATATTGTTGCACAATATTCTCTTAAAATCCTGGCTGGGCACGGTGGCTCACGCCTGTAATCCCTGCACTTTGGGAGGCCGAGGTGGGCGGATCATGAGGTCAGGAGATCGAGACCATCCTGGCTAACACGGTGAAACCCCGTCTCTACTAAAAATACAAAAAATTAGCCGGGCATAGTGGCAGGCGCCTATAGTCCCAGCTACTCAGGAGGTTGAGGCAGAAGAATGGCGTGAACCCGGGAGGCGGAGCTTGCAGTGAGCCAAGATTCGGCCACTGCACTCCAGCCTGGGCGACAGAGCAAGACTCCGTCTCAAAAAAAAAAAAAAAAAAAAAAAAATCCTACTACCAGTCATATTCTAATTTGCCTGGTTACAGAATTTTAGGTTCCAAATCAAATTCCCTCAGGCTTTTGAGAATTTGGCTCACTGTATTTTAGTGCTCCACCAACAAGAAGTCTGTTACTACTCAACTTCTCTTCCATTTGTAGAGAAAGCTTCCCTTTCTCTTTTCTTTTCCTCTGTAGACATTCTCTATTTTGTTTTCTTTTTTCATTATAGAGTTCAGAATTTTAACCAGGTGGATTTTTGTTGCATTCATTCTGCTTGGAATTTTCTGGGTCCTTTCAATCTAAGAATATATCTCTATTTAGCTCTAGAATGTTTTTCTATTGCTTTGCTAATCTTTGATTCTTTCCTCTCTCTGTCTGGAAATCTTAGATGAATGTTGAACCAGCTTCCACTTCTAACCATGACTGAGTAACAGGGAAAGGCTTTATGCTCTTTCCTTAAGCAACCAGAAAACTAGATAAAATACGTGAAATGATGGCTTTTAGACATTGGGTAATAGGACTTAGGGCTATCATCCCTGAGAAAAGTGAAACAAATGAGGTAAGCTTTGCGATTGCCCCATCTTACTTCCTGGAGGCAGTTTCCAGACCCCAGTGCATGAAGGGTTATCCAAACAGAACTCACTTGGCAATCTTGCCAAATCGAGGGGACAGAAGTCAGAGTTTGAAGAGGTACCATTTCTCAGATGACAAAAATGAAAGAGTATGACCGCACTTTCTGTTGGCAAGACTATGGGGAAACAGGCACCCTTATGCATTGTTGGTGGGAATGCACACTGGTAAAACAATCCTGGAAGGAAATTTGGCAGTGCATTACAAAACTACATTTGCACTTACCTTTTGAACCAGCGATCCCACTGAAGATACATTTCCAACATGTATCTCCAACATGTGTGTGTGTCTCTCTATATATATGTATATATATGTGTGTGTGTATATATATAATATATATATATATATAGTTATTTACTGCATCATTGTTTTAACTGAAAAATATTGAACAACCTAAACACCCATATTTAGGACCCTGGTTGGATAAACTATAATGTATCTACACAAGGGAGTATTATGCTGCTGTAAAAAAAGAATGGGAGGCTGGGCATGGTGGCTCATGCCTGTAAACCCAGCACTTTGGGAAGCCAAGGCAGGCGGATCATGAGGTCAAGAGGAGACCATCCTGGCCAACATGGTGAAACCCCGTCAACACTAAAAATACAAAAATTAGCTGGGTGTGGTGGAACGTGCCTGTAGTCCCAGCTACTCGGGAGGCTGAGGCAGAAGAATCACTTGAACCCAGGAGGCGGAGGTTGGAGTGAGCCAAGATCGTGCCACTGTACTCCAGTCTGGTGACAGAGCAAGACTCCATCAAAAAAAAAAAAAAAAAAAAAGAAGAAGAAAGAAAAAGAAAAGAAAAGAAAAAGAGAATGAGGAACATTTCCATGAGCTGGAAGGGTGTAATCTACAGGCTATATTACCAAATGAAAAAGGGCAAAATGAAAAAGAGTATATACAATTTGCTACCCTTCAAGTAAGAAAGAAGGTTCTAAGCCAAGCTGGCCTGTAATCCCAGCACTTTAGGAGGCTGAGGTGGGTGGATCGCTTGAGGTCAGGAGTTCAAGACCAGCCTGGCCAACATGGTGAAACCCTGTCTCTACTAAAAATACAAAAATTAGCCAGGTGTGGTGGTGGACACCTGTAGTCCCAGCTACTCAGGGGACTGAAGCAAGAGAATCATTTGAACCAGGGAGGTGGAGGCTGCAGTTAGCTGAGATTGTGCCATTGCACTCCAGGCTGGGCAACAGAGCAAGACTGTCTCAAAAAAAAAAAAAAGAAGGTTCTGTAAGAAAATATACCTCTTTCTGCTCCTTAGCACAGAAGAAATGCAGGAAGGATAATCCAGAAACTAATGAGATTATTACCTGCAAGGAGTAAGTGGGAATGAAGTAGAGAAGGTGGAGAAAGAGGAATTGGGTGGTAGGGATGGGGGTGGGGCTGCTGCAGGGGCACTTCTCTGAATATACCTTTTGGACAGCCTTGACTCTAGAATCAATGTAATGTTTCACATGTCAAAAAATAAAGTCAGTTAACACCAACTAAGATGAGTGTGTCCATGGGGGCAGAGAGGAAGGGGAACAGAAAATGAAATACAAACAGTAACAAATGAACTTAACTATATTAAATGTGAATAATATAACCACACTTGTTGCACCTCTGCCAAGCCAAATCAGAAACCAAACAATGCAGTGAGGACTGCGGAAGCCTAAGTCTGCCTCAGAGCCAGAGATCTAACTTTGTTCTCATGTTTTCTCTTGCCTGCACATCTGAATTTCCCCAATTGTTTTACTAGGTCTCAGTTGTTTATCATCATCCTAAATAATATCCTTAGTTAGCAGCTGGAGAAGCCATCAGTTTAGAAAAACACTCATTATTTTTAGATTTGGTTTGTAGTTTTAGAAAAATTGGCCAGTTGCAGTGGCTTACACCTGTAATCCCAGCACTTTGGGAGGCCAAGGTGGGAGGGTCACTTGACTCCAGGAGTTTGAGTCTACCCTGGGAAACAGAAAGACCCTGTCTCTACAAAAAATAATTTAAAAAAAAATTAGCCAGGTGTGGTGGTGCACACCTGTGGTCCCAGCTACTCAGGAGGCTGAGGTGGGAAGATCACTTGAGCCCAGGAGGTGGAGGCAGCAGTGAGCTGTGATCACACCGCTGCACTCCAGCCTGGGCAACAGAGCAAGACCTTGTCAAAAAAAAAAAAAAAAGAAGGAAGGAAAGGAGGGATGGAGGGAGGGAAGGAAAGAAAGAGAGAAAGAGACAAAGGAAGGAAGGAAGAGAGAGAGAGAGAGAAAGAAAGAAGGAGGGAGGGAGGAAGGAATATCTAATATTGGGTCCAGCACCATGCCCTGCTAAACAGAGGTCTACAAGTGAAAGAAATCGACATAGCGTTGATCAAAAAGAAAATTCTTCTGTTATGAAATAAAGGGCACTGTGTTGGATATTTCATAATCATCAGCTTCTACATGACTTTCAAATGCTCTTCATGCTCATTAACACAGATTAATAATAGCTTTTTAATTAATACTTTAATCAAAGTTGGAAGAGAAGTAGGCACCAGTTTTAAAAGCATGGTGAGAAACTGAATAAGTGAGTGTTTAAATTTTCACTGCTGGGGACTTTAAAGTCTTAGCTTATCACCACCATGTGTTAGGTATAATCCTGAGGAATGATCAGAATTGTTTAAAAAATGTTGACCTGGTGATTTTCCATTCAGCTTTTCCTCTCATGAGGAAATAATCAGAGACATACACAAATATTTACATACAAAGATTGCAGCATTATCTTTAATAGTACAAAAATGGAAAGTGCCCAGATGTCCAAAAATAGAGAAATAGTTAAAGGCGTTAAATGTCACAGCTATGCTATGGTATATTATGCATTATTAAAAATTATTTTTTAAAAAACTTTTTTTTTTTTTGAGATGGAGTCTTGCGCTGTCATCCAGGCTGGAGTGCAATGGTGCAATCTCAGCTCACTGCAACCTCCACCTCCTGGGTTCAAGTGATTCTCCTGCCTCAGCCTCCCAAGTAGCTAGGACTACAGGTATGCACCACCATGCCTGGCTAATTTTTGTATTTTCAGTAAAGACGGGGTTTCACCATGTTGGCCAGGCTGGTCTCAAACTCCTGACCTCAAGTGATCTGACTGCCTCAGCCTCCTAAAGTGCTGGGATTACAGGCGTGAGCCACCACGCCTGGCCTCTAGAACATTTTAATGACAGAATAACAGAATGTTAGAAAATAATGTTACAGAGAAGTGTGTCTCCATATCCTGCTTGCTAACAGAAAAATGTTGGGTATCAATAGCTCAGAGATATTTTCATTGTGTTACATTTTGTCTTAATGCATGATAAATATATAAGTTTGAGTATGTATATGTATAAAATATGCATATTGTACACACACACACATACCCCCTGCTACATACACACACATCCTGGAACAATTAACAAGGAAGAAAATAATGACCAGATAGAAACACACCAAAATGTTAACAAAGATGATCATTAGATTATAGCAATTGTGAGCAATTCCTGTTTCCTTACATATATTTCAGATATTTTCCAGATACTCTGCATTAAACATGTATTACTTTTACTAATTCTCTTCTTCCTGTTGCTCAGGCCAAGAATCTTGGAGCCGTCCTTGACTTTATTTCTCTAAAACCCCATATCTAATCTATCAGCAAACCTGTCAACTCTACCTTTAAAACAATTCCAAATCTACCTGCCCATTTCTCACCACTTCCACTCACGATGGTCCAAATCACCATCATCGGTAGCCTAGATTTCTGCCACAGCCTTATTTCTGGTCTTCCTGTTTCAACACTTGCACCCCCACCCACACCCCAGTTTCTAGAAAGAGCAGGAGGGGTCATAAAAGAACATTATAAGGAGTAAAAGAGAGTCCCATTTAGAGAGCAACAAGCTGAAGTCTAAAGAGGAACATCTCTAATGGGGGAATTGAGGAAAATGGCTAGAACATTTCAAGGAATACCAAAGTCTGACACTGCAGTTGTTTTCCAATTCTGTGTTTAAATCACATACTTCACCTCCCATTAGCCACACAAAACACACAGGAAAATATCTCTTATCCATTGTCGCTTTGCGTTGGTGTGATTTGGGGTTTCTTGTGGTAAATCCATTCAGAGAGAGCACAGAGAAGGTAGGAGGCAAAATGACAAACAGAGCAGGAAAGAAACTGGAGTAAGAAGTGACCACTCAGAAAGCTTAAGGCAGGGTGCTGGGTTCCCCACAGTGCATACAATGGAGGCTTCAGTCATTTTATTTCATTATGATGAGAGAAGGGACCTCAAAAGTCTGGGGAACGTAAGGCTACCCACTCAAGCATTTATGTTACATTAATATGTCAGGAAAGAGATAGGTTGATCAAATGCCACTTCCAAATTGTTTTCTAATTGGCTTCATGTGAATATCTCATGAGCAGAGGCAATGTCTCATTCACCTTCATTTCCCCCCGCACCTGCCACAAAACAGGTGTCAGAAAACATTTGTAAAACAAATGGATTAATGAAGAAGGAAGGAAAGAAGGAAGGAAGGAAGGAAGGAAAGGGAAGAAGGAATAGAGGGAGGAAAGGAGGAAGAAGGAAGGAAGGAGAGAATTTACAGGTAATAAGAATAGCTAGTGCTTCTTAAGTATTTTCTATAGCCAGGCATTCTAAGTGTTTTCATGTATTAACATACATAAACCTAACATAGATTTATGTATTTTCCCCAAAAGTCTTCAAGTACATTCTCATTAATTTAGCCATTCAACAACTATTTATTGAGAACCACTATGTGTCAGGCACCTTTTTAAGTGCCGTGGTACAGCAGTAATCCAATACAGTCACTGTTACAGGATTCACATTCCCTGACTTGAGATTAGAATTAAATTCCCTCTGGCTTTGTGTACCTTGTACATTTGTATTGTCAACTTCACTAGCGAACAGATTCATGGTGCACAGAAACTCTCTAATGAGACTAAAAAAGGAGCAGATGTTCTTAATTTCAAAAAGGGTGTTCATCAAAGCTGTTCTTATATAAGTTGTCCAGGTGCTGTTGGCTTCTGAAAATGCTTATAAGCACCAGAGCTAGAAACTCTGAGGGGATGTCCTCATTATTCCATTATATGAACAACTAGAAATGACAGGCAGAGTCAAAGCAAAGTAATTATCCTGTTAATTCAGGCCTCCCCAAAAGCTCCTTGTCTCAGCAGTTACCTTAGTTCACTAATAATTAACCTCACATAGATTTATGTATTTTCCCCAAAGGTCTTTCTCATTCAGTCACTCAGCAACTATTTATTGAGAACCTACTATGTGTTGGGCACATTTGGAAATGCCTGGGTACAGCAACATTCCAACAGTCACTACTCTCATAGAGTTCACATTCCCTCACAATTGAGGCAGCAGAAGAGCGATCCCCATTTTACAGAAAAATAAATGGAGGTTCAGAGAGGTTAAGTGACTCGGATCATGGATCAAGCAGAGAGATAATGGCACTGTATTCTGATTCTTACTACTTAGAATTCACAACACTATGACATGAAAAGATTGTTTTGATGAAATAGTTTACTGTAAAATGCTTTGCCATCTGTCACACACACACTGTGAAGGCTCTTGAACACATAAATCCTCTGTGGCATTGTTATTTAGAGGATTCAGTGCAAGGAGAGAGGTAGATAACCAGCAGGAAAGCTGTAGGTATCCTTGATTCCTCTCTTTCTCTCAAATCCCACAGCAAATCTTACCCAGAACCCAGTCACTTTACTCCACCTGCATTGCTATCACCCTAATCTAAGC
Source organism: Homo sapiens (assembly GCF_000001405.40). NCBI lineage: Eukaryota > Metazoa > Chordata > Mammalia > Primates > Hominidae > Homo > Homo sapiens. Next base: position 100,439,514 of record NC_000012.12, on the reverse strand, counting down.
CATCATCATCTCCCATCCAGACTTTTTTTTTCTTTTTTTCTATCCTTTGCTTTTTTTTTTTTTAGATGGAATCTTGCTGTCTCACCCAGGCTGAAGTGCAATGGTGTGATCTCAGCTCACTGCAGCCTCTGCCTCCGGGTTCAAGTGATTCTTTTGTCTCAATCTCCCGAGTAGCTGGGACTACAGGCATATGCCACCACACCTGGATAATTTTGTATTTTTAATAGAGATGGGGTTTCACAATGTTGGCCAGGCTGGTTTTGAACTCTTGACCTTAGGTGATCCTCCCACCTCGGCCTCCCAAAGTGCTGGGATTACAGGCATGAGCCACCAGGCCCAGCCTCATCTAGATATTTGAAGTAGATTTCTATGTGGTCTCACTGTCCTTCTCACCCTTGACTTTCCTCAACACAGCAGCCAGAGGAATATATATATATATATATATATATATTTTTTTTTTTTTTTTTTTTTTTTTTTTTTTTTTGAGACGGAGTCTCGCTCTGTCGCCCAGGCTGGACTGCGGACTGCAGTGGCACAATCTCGGCTCACTGCAAGCTCCACTTCCCGGGTTCACGCCATTCTCCTGCCTCAGCCTCCCGAGTAGCTGGGACTACAGGCGCCCGCCACCGCGCCCGGCTAATTTTTTGTATTTTTAGTAGAGACGGGGTTTCACCTTGTTAGCCAGGATGGTCTCGATCTCCTGACCTCATGATCCACCCGCCTCGGCCTCCCAAAGTGCTGGGATTACAGGCATGAGCCACCGCACCCGGCCGGAATATTTTTAATTTGGAAGCCAGATCTTGTCTCTACCCTGCCAAACACCCTGCAAAGGATTCCCTCCTTTCACAAAGAATTAAGAGCCAACATCTTTACCATAGCTTACAAGGCCCCACACAATCTGGCTCCCATTTTGCCTGACCTCATGTCCCACCATTCTCCCTTTCACTGTAATCATTCTAGTCACAGCAATCATCTCGAGGTCCTCAAATCCACAGGGCATGTTTCCACCTCCGGGCCTTTGCACATCCTCTTCTGTCTGCCTCAAAGATTTCACTCCAGATATCTGCATCTTTACGTCCTTCAGGTCTTTGCTCCAGTATCACCTTCTTAGTGAAGCCTTCCCTGATTCTCCTTTTTGAACTTGCCACATGCTCAAATATTTTCATTCCCCTTTATCTTGCCCTATTTATTTTCCTCATCACACTTACCACCCTTTAAAAAAAAAACTACAGAAATTGCTTATATATTATGTTCAGGAATTTTTCTTTCTTCTATTCACTTATGTATTCCCAGAAGCTACGATAATGCCTGCTATTACTGGTAGACACCAAGCAAATATAAGTTATTATTATTATTATCATCATCACCATCGTTTATAAATTCCAAAGAACAGGAACTATGAGGCTTATACAGAAAGAAATTTCTTCCATTTGGAGACACTATAATTCAGAAAATGTGATCAAAGGTTTTTATAGTCAAAGATATTAAATTGGAATCCCAGCTCTGCCATTTACTTGGGACGTTGGGTGAGATATTAATATTTGGCCTCTGTGAGTCTCAGGTCTCTTGAATATAAAATGGGAAAAATAATACCTATATCACAAGACTGCAGTACTGAAGAGAGGATATAATATACAGAAAGTGTCTAGTTTGATCAGAGCACAATTAATGTGAACTCTCTCAAATTAGTAGTTTCATTTTACGTTGGCCAGATTCTTATCTAATGGTGTGGCTTTGAATACATTCCTTCCACTCTTTGAGCCTCATTCACATAGCTCTACAATAAAAGGGTCCGTTGAGGTGTTCTCTCTCAGTATAAGCCCATGACCTTGACTGGCTTGGAGGGCTCCAAAGGGGCTGACGGGAACCTTGGGCCTCACAAGACATTGCTTCACCCTTTCCCATGGGTTAGCTAATCTGCAGCTGTTCATTACTGAGCCCTTTAAAAGTCAACAGATAATAACAGGAGATAAATAAAACCTTTGTCACTTACTGCTCTACCTTGGTTTTACACAAGTGCTGCCAGAATGAGTTGCAACAGGAACCTTTGAACAGACTAGTCAAATGTTATGTGCTGATAAACGTTTATTTAGAATGCAGTTTTTTTTTTCCTGGAATTTCTCAGTAATTAACCAACTGCTCTAATCAAGATCCTCTTAGGCAGCTGTTTAGAGTAGTTGTCCCCAAATTTCTCACCACTAGGTACTCCCCTTTTTGCTCCCATACCTCCTACACATAAATCCAAGTTTTCAAAGTTTTTTCTACCAAATAAACTGCATGCATCAGGTGATAATTCCTGTATTTTTCTTCAGAAAATATATTCCCTAATATGGGAAATGCCTGGAGGAAGCCTCTCTAGGTTCTTAAGGAGGGCATAGAAGCGACGAGAGTGGTGTCTTATAATTGATCTGTTAGAACAGATTGGAGATTGGAGACAGGAAGAGGAAAGAGCTGGAAACCTCAGCCAGGCTGGTACATTTATCCAGTAAAGTGGAAATGGCTCATGGTAATGGGGATAGAAAGTCACAGGTAGATCTGAGAGACATTTGGAAGAAAGAAGCAAGTCACAACCCCTGATGATGGCTCAGTAGTGTCACGGCTATAAGAAAAGGGTGGCCTTACTCTTTTGAATTAAATTGTTCTGGGTAAACACTAACATTGATCAATTTAACAAAATCTAGTGTGGCTTCCTCCAGGCATTTAAAATGGAGTTTGGGGGTCAGGTCCAGTGGCTCATGCCTATAATCCCAGCAGTTTGGGAAGCTGAGGTGGGAGAATCACTTGAACCCAGGCAATGAAGACAGACCCCATCTCTACAAAAATTTAGTCAGTCGTGGTGGTGTGTGACCATAGTCCCAGCTACTTGGGAGGCTGAGCTGGAAGGACTGCTTGAGCCCTGTGAGGTGGAGGCTGCAGGAGCCATGATTATGCCACTGCACTCCAGCCTAAGCAGCAGAGCAAGATCCTATCAAAAAAAAAAAAAAAAAAAAAAAGAAAGAAAGAAAGAAAAGAAAAAGAAATGAAGTTTGGATGCTGAAATGTTAAAAGATGTTTTGTTGGTTTAAGTGGAAAATGAAATAAAATATTTCAAATCAGAGCTTGCTTGGAAAATTCAGGAAGAATAATCGAGGTAGCAACTGCTCACTAAATCAAGTTTACAGGGCTTGTCTTGGCATTGTTCATTGTGCAACTTCCGTTTCCTATCCTCTTTGTTTCTCCTATGCCCACCCTGACAGGAAGGCCGCCTTTCCTCCACCTGTTGAAATCTTACATTCTCTCTAAGACTTAGTCCTATTTCTATCTCTTCTATAAAGTTTTTCAGGCAAGGCCAGTGGTTCTTAACCTTAGCTGCACTTTGAGATCACTTGGCACCACCAGTTTTCTGGAGTGCAGCCTGGGTGCACCCTCTGAGTGGTTCCAAAGTGTAGTTAATGTTGAGAACAATTATTATAGGCCTATTTTAGTCCCTGCACATAGAAAAAATAAACAAAACAGACAAAGCCCTAGCTTTCATAGAACTCATATCCTAGTAGGAAAATAAGCAATAAGCATATTTTTAATAAGGCAATTTCAAAGACACTTGCACTGCAGGTTTATAGCAGCAAAATTTGCAATCACAAAAATATGGAACCAGCTCAAATGCCCATCAATCAATGTGTAGATAAAGAAAATGTGATACACACACACACACACACACACACACACACACCATGGAATTTCTACTCAGCCATAAAAGGGAATGAAATAAATAATGGCATTCACAGCAACCTGGATGGAATCAGAGACCATTATTCTAAGCGAAGTAACTCAGGAATGGAAAACCAAACATCGAATGTTCTCATTTATTAGTGGGAGCTAAGCTGTGAGGACGCAAAGGCATAAGAATAATACAATGGCCAGGCGCAGTGGCTCACGCTTGAAATCACAGCACTTTGGGAGGCCCAGGCGGGCGGATCATGAGCTCAAGAGATCGAGACCATCCTGGCCAACATGGTGAAACCCCGTCTTTACTAAAAATACAAAAATTAGCTGGGCATGGTGACGCATGCTTGTAGTCCCAGCTACTTGGGAGGCTGAGGCAGGAGAATCACTTCAACCCAGGAGGCAGAGGTTGCAGTGAGCCAAGATCGCGCCACTGCACTCCAGCCTGGCCACAGAGTGGGACTCTATCTCAAATAACAGCAATAATAATAATAAAGAATGATACAATGGGCTTTAGGGACTGAAGGGAAAAGTTGGGAGGTGGGTGAGTGATAAAAGACTACACGTTGGGTACAGTGTACACTGCTTGGGTGATGGGTGCACTAAAATCTCAGAAATCACCACTAAAGAACACATCCATGTAACCAAAAACCAACTGTTCCCCCAAAAACCTATTAAAATTTAAAGATAAATAAGTAAATAAATAATAAGGTAATTTCAGAGTGATAAATAAAATAGATAAAAGTACATACAGTAATAAAACAAAAAGAAGCTAAGAAAGTTGAAGAGGCAACTTTAAACATTCTGAGGAAATGACATTGAACTGAGAACTGAATGTTGAGAAGGAGCCAAGATTTAAGGAAGGAGCACTTTAGACAGAGGGAACTGCAAGGTGGGCAAGTTTGAATAACAGAAAGAAGGCCTGTGAAAAAAAAGGATGAGTAGAACAATACAAGATTGAAAAGGAAGGCAGGCATCAGGTGATGTGCGGACTTGTAGGCCATAGTAAATCTTTGTTTTCTGTTCTACCTGTGAGGAAGAGCTATGGTAGATGGTTTGCAAAGATGGCCAAACAATCTTCGTGTCTCTGTATGGATGCTCCTTTGCAATGTGACTTTGAGGCTCCTCTAGTCAAGAGGTAAAGTCCGTTTTTCTTCTCCTTGAACTAGGTCTGGCCTGTAACCAAGAGAATGTGGAAGAAGTGACATTGAGGCCCTGCAGCTTTCATCTCTCCTTACAATGCTGCTCTGAGTCCATCATGTAAAAAAATAAAATTAGTCTAGCCAATTAGGGCATGAGTGCCATTTGGAGGAGAACCAGAGCACCATGATCAACAAATAGCATCAGCTCCCTGGGAGGCTGTCTAGTCCACCCAACCTCAGTCAAACTTGAGATGACTATAGTCACAAGAGTGACCAGGGGAGACCAGCAGACCAACCACCTAGCTGAGCCCAACCCACAGAATTGTGAGAAAATAGTTTTGTGTTCTAAAAACATAAAAACAGTGGTGGTGTGTTGTGCAGTGATAGACAAGTGATACAGGCATCTTTGGAGTTTTAAATAGGGAGCAAAATAACATTTATATGTTTTAAAGACCAATTTTGTCCCAAATACATTGATGGATTTATCCATAAGAACCATGGTCTTCATCAATCTTTCTAAAAAACATAAAAATATTATAGCCTCCATTTGAGACAGTGCAACTCACAGGGCTGTGTTGGATTACTGGGGCTTTAAACCCTTCTCCTCAAAATGAAATCTTGTCCTCAAACATATAAAACTGTGTGAAACCACGAACACTAAATTAAAAAGCCAAAAGTCATTTGACTTTCTACCTCATTTTAGCTGAGAATAGAACTTTTGAAATCTGATGAAAACCAGGATCACATTTTAGGCCAGAACTCGTTATGAAATATGTTCCTAAAGAAGATTAAAAAGGAAGTATCTGAGAACTCTAAACTGTGTTATTCTATGTTCTGCTGAAATAATCAAGGAAGCATTACATCATTTTTTAAAATGTGAAAGATTGAAAACTGATCTTTCAGTTGAAACCACTAAAAAAAAAAAAGAAATTAAAGATGATGATCTTTGGGCATGCAATCTTGGAAACAACTTTAAAACAACCAGCACTCTGAAAACATAAAAAGCTATTTTGTCAAAAAATTCTGTAGTTAGCAAAAGCCAAGATGTTTGCCCTTGCTGTGCATAATTATTTGATTTTCAGAAAAATGAGATTCACTTTGGTTATATTAAGTAGCATTATTTTTTAAATAGTTCTTTAAGTAACAAGATTTAACCAGCCTTTATGGCTATTTATTCACAGTATTCATAGTATTTCCCATTAATTTCTGAAGGATGTTAGCATTATCCTTCTGGGGTGTTCATCACTGTGCTTTATAATATATTATAGTCAGATGTTACATGGCTTGAGAGGAAACTATGCAGACTCTTTCAAAATGACTTTACCTATTTAATTCTAATATCTTATATTCACTATTTAGAATGGTGGGAAAAGATGAAAGAGGAATCAATCGAAGATGTTCTCACCTACCTGACCACTTCACCACTATAAGCCAAACTCCTCTGGTTATCTATTGCATTAGAGAAAGAAAAAGAGAGTTATGGAGAAGGACAAGAAAGAAGACAGCTCCAAATGAAGGAAGGAGACAGGTGAAATATGATAGAGAATAAACCAAGGCAGTCAGATGAAGAAAAAAGAAAGTGAGAAGAGAAAGTCAGATGCTTAAGCCAAATAATTAGGCTTTTTCAAGGGCATCTCAGGCAGTGGTCACAAAGCCACTACATAATTATTAGGTTTCCTTCAGCTTAGCACATTATCTGTAGCTCATTCTGGGCAAATCTTAGCCTCTTTTGGCCCTTGGATAACTTTGAGAATATGGTGACAGCTACAAAATACAGTTGACCCTTAAACAATGTAGTGGTCAGGAGCACTGACACTCACGCAGTCAAAAATCTGCATATAACTTTTGATTCCCCAGGAACTTAACTACTAATAGCCTACTGCTGACTCAAAGCCTTACCAATAACATAAACAGTCTATTAATGCATATTTTGTACATTACATGTATTATATACTGTGTGTATATATACATATATATAATATAGAGGAGAAAAGTAGAGAAGAGAGAGCAGAAGAAAGCTAGTATAAAGTAGCTAAAGAAAAAGAAATGTTATTAAGAAAGTTGCAAGACAGAGACAATTTATTTACTATTTACTATTTATTAAGTGGAAGTGGATCATCATAAAGCTCTTATCCTCATCATCTTCGTGTTGAGTAAGTTGAGAAGGAGGAGGAAGAGGAGGGGTTGGTCTTGCTGTCTTAGTGGTGGGAGGCAGAAGAGGTAAAAGAAGTAGAAGAGTTAAAGGGGAGGCAGGAGAGGTAGGCACACTTCATATAACTTTTTTTTTTTTTTTGAGACGGAATCTTGCTCTGTCACCCAGGCTAGAGTGCTGTGGCACGATCTCGGCTTACTGCAACCTCTGCCTCCCAGGTTCAAGCAATTCTCCTGCCTCAGCATCCCGAGTAGCTGGGATTATGGGCGTCCACCACCACGCCTGCGTAATTTTTGTATTTTTAGTAGAAACGGGGTTTTGCCATCTTGGCCAGGCTGGTCTCGAACTCCTGACCTCGTGATCCACCTGCCTCGGCCTCCCAAAGTGCTGGGATTACAGGCATGAGCCACCGCGCCCGGCTGATATAACTTTTATTGAAATATATGTGTGTATAAGTGGACCCATGCAGTTCAAACCCATGTTGTTCAAGGGTCTACTGTGTAGACAGACCCTCTTCTCAGAAAAATGTGCACATATACCCTTAGGTTTAGTTCATATTTTCTGAGAGTTTTCTGGAGACCCTTCCCATGGACCCCAAACTGAGAATTCTAAAGGTCTCACCTCAAGGCACTTGAGATAGCTACTCCCACACCAACACTATCCAGAACAACCATGGCTTCTCTGACTTCATGATCTCATTATAACAGCTCCTCCTTCCCCGTGACAGTCTTTCCATAGGAAATGTGTGGCAAAGAGGGAGGAGGTTTACCGGAAAAGCTCTGCCTCCTTCCCCGGTTTTGATAAGGGAGGTTAATCCTGCTCTGCCATGAGCGCTGGCTGAAAGGGCCATGCCTTCCAGCCCCACTGGGGAAAGCTGAGGAGGAAAGGGAAGTGGATTCACCTGGCAGTTCCTCTCAAGCCTGGCTGCCATGTTTCAGCAAATGCTACCACACAGATGGCTGAAAGAGTCAAAGTGTGTCCGGAATTGGTGGGTTCTTGGTCTCACTGACTTCAAGAATGAAGCCGCGGACCCTCGCGGTGAGTGTTACAGCTCTTAAGGTGGCGCGTCTGGAGTTTGTTCCTTCCGATGTTCGGATGTGTTCGGCGTTTCTTCCTTCTGGTGGGTTCGTGGTCTTGCTAGCTCAGGAGTGAAGCTGCAGACTTTCGCTGTTAGTGTTAGAGCTCCTAATGTAGCGCGTCTGGAGTTGTTCCTTCCTCCCGGTGGGCTCGTGGTCTCGCTGGCTTCAGGAGTGAAGCTGCAGACCTTCACGGTGAGCGTTACAGCTCATAAAAGCAGTGTGGACCCAAAGAGTGAGCAGTAGCAAGAGCTATTGCAAAGAGCGAAAGAACAAAGCTCCCACAGTGTGGAAGGTGACCCGAGCGGGTTGCCCCTGCTGGCTCGGGCAGCCTGCTTTTATTCTCTTTTCTGGCCCCACCCACATCCTGCTGATTGGTAGAGCCCAGTGGTCTGTTTTGACAGGGCGCTGATTGGTGCCTTTACAATCCCTGAGCTAGACACAAAGGTTCTCCACTTCCCCACCAGATTAGCTAGATACAGAGTGTCCACACAAAGGTTCTCCAAGTCCCCACCAGAGTAGCTACAGAGTGTCAATTGGTGCGTTCACAAACCCTGAGCTAGACACAGGGTGCTGATTGGTGTGTTTACAAACCTTGAGCTAGACACAGAGTGCCAATTGGTGTATTTACAATCCCTGAGCTAGACATAAAGGTTCTCCACGTCCCCACCCTACTCAGGAGCCCAGCTGGCTTCACCCAGTGGATCCCGCACCGGGGCTGCAGGTGGAGCTGCCTGCCAGTCCCGTGCCGTGTGCCCACACTCCTCAGCCCTTGGGTGGTTGATGGGACTGGGTGCCGTGGAGCAGGGGGCGGCGCTCATCGGGGAGGCTCAGGCCGCACAGGAGCCCATGGAGGGGGTGGGAGGCTCAAGCATGGCGGGCTGCAGGTCCCGAGCCCTGTCCCGCGGGAAGGCAGCTAAGGCCCGGTGAGAAATCGAGAGCAGCGCCGGTGGGCTGGCACTGCTGGGGGACCCAGTACACCCTCCGCAGCTGCTGGCCCGGGTGCTAAGCCCCTCATTGCCCGGGGCCGGCAGGGCTGGCCGGCTGCTCCGAGTGCCGGGCCCGCCAAGCCCACGCCCACCCGGAACTCCAGCTGGCCCGCAAGCGCCGCACGCAGCCCCGGTTCCCGCTCGCGCCTCTCTCTCCACCCCTCCCTGCAAGCTGAGGGAGCCGGCTCCAGCCTTGGCCAGCCCAGAAAGGGGCTCCCCCAGTGCAGCGGCGGGCTGAAGGGCTCCTCAAGTGCCGCCAAAGTGGGAGCCCAGGCAGAGGAGGCGCCGAGAGCGAGCGAGGGCTGTGAGGACTGCTAGCACGCTGTCACCTCTCAAAAGTTCTCTCAAGTCAGTAGCATGTTTTTGTGATAATGGCTTAACTCAAACTTTGTTTCAGAATCCAGACATGATGAATGGATATAAGTATGGGGAGGGAGAGAGGTAAGAAGAGAGAGAGGAAGAGAGAGGAGAAAAGAAGAGAAGAAGAGGAGAGAGCAGAAGAAAGAGAAGGGAAGAGGAAGGGAGGGAAGGGAAGGGAAAGGAGCGTGGAGAAATAGAGATACTATTACCTTGGGTTATTCTTGTGTTTGAAGTGCTTTGGAGCCCTGGAATTTCAGTCATCTGTTCACTTCAAATGTAACTATGGAAGAAATGCACATCAAAGCCCCCTTGAAATTGTTTTTCAGTCAGCTGCACTTTTACATTATCTGTTCTATTATTGTTGCTAGTAAATTTAACCAGTTACTTACTGAATGATACACCGCATAGAAATAAAAAGTCAGGCTAATTTTCCCTTGAAAATATCTCTTACAGGTGAAGTCAAGGATTTATAGTCAAGAACTTCGTTATTACTATTTATAATGGTGAAAATGTAGAAACTCTCTAAAGCATCTAACAACTGACATCTAAACATCTAACAACCAGTCTAGTTGTTAGACGTTTGGTCATTAAAATCGTGTTCTCATTGATGAGAATGTGGAGTAATTGGAACTCGAATTCATAAATGGTAGAAAAGTGAAATGGTACAAACATGATGGAAAAGTGTTTGCAGTGTCTTATAAAGCTAAACATATACCCGCCCTAGGATCCAGCAATTCTGCTCCTAAAGAAATAAAAACATGTTCATAAAAATACAAGAATACCTATATAAGCTTTATTTATAATACCCTTCCCCCGAAAAAATTGGAAACAACTCAAATGGCTATCAATAGAAGAATAAGTAAACAAATTTTGGTATACCCATACAATGCAGTATGATGCATCTATTAAAAAATGAACTACTGATAAACACAAAACATGGATCAATTTTTAAAACATTAACTGAAGGAAAGGAATAGGATTCAAAAGAGCTGATTCTGTATAATTCCATTTATATGAAGCTTAAGTTCAGGCAAAATTTATCTACAATAATAGAAATCAGAACAGTGGTTACCATTGAGGACTGTTTACATAGGTATATGTATACAAAGGTAAAAATCAACAAAGCAGTAAACCTGATTTGTGCATTTTATTGTATGTGAATTTTAAAAAATCGTGTTCTCAAAGAATATTTAAATACATGAGGACTTATTATATATGGTTAAGTGCAAACAGTAGGATAGAAAACTGTAGCTATAGTATGATCCCAATTTTGTTCAAAAATATGTGTATAGAGCAAGCTTGTCCAGCCCACGGCCTATGGGCCGCATGGGGCCCAGGACAGATTTGAATGTGGCCCAACACAAATTTATTAAAACGTGAGTTTTTCTGCGATTTTTTTTTTAACTCATCAGCTATCGTTAGTGTTAGTGTATTTTATGTGTGGCCTAAGACAATTCTTCCAGTGTGGCCCAGGGAAGCCAAAAGATTGGACACCCCTAGCATAGAGAAAAGACTGGAGGCATACATGCCTGAATGTTAAGAGTTATTAAATCTGAGGCCGGGCTTGGTGGCTCATGCCTGTAATTTCAGCACTTTGGAAGGCTGAGGCAAGAGGATTGCTTGAGGAATTCAAGAGTTATTAAATCGGCTGTAATACTAGGGTCATTTTTATTCTCTTCAATACATGTTCTATATATTGAAGCTTTTCTACAAGAAGCATATATTATACTTTTTAGACAAAAAAGGGGGAGGTTTCCCTCTCATTCTTTTTTTGAAGAGGTCAAAGGAGTCAAAGTAAGACCTCAACACGGTCTTACTTTGTTGCCCAGGCTAGAGTGCAGTGGCATGATCACAGCTATTGCAGCCTCAAACTCCTAAGCACAAGCAATCCTCCTGCCTCAGCCTCCCAAGTAGCTGAGACTATAATCACATGCCACCATGCCCAGCTAATTTTTTTAATTTTTTGGTAGAGATGAGTTCTCACTATGATGCCCAGGCTGGTCTCAAACTCCCGGCCTCAAGCCATCCACCTGCCTAGGCCTCCTAAGGTGTGGCTACAAGTGTGTGCCACCACACCCAATTAGAAAAAAAAATTTTTTTTTTAGGTTTTCTATAGCAAGCCTGTTTTCCCATTTCCATTCCCTGAATCCTAGTCTAGGCCCTCATTTCTAAATTGTTGTAATAGACTCCTAACTGACCTCCTAGACTCAAGATTCTCTCTAGCCCAATCTCTTCTCCTCTGAATGTATCTTCCTTTTTTGAAACTAGAATTCTATTTTTGTTTCAAGCATGCAGTATCTTCTCTTTGAAGTTCAGGTTTGTTCTATTCCCTGTGATACCTGGTTTCTTCCAAGTACCTTTCTTCCTGTTTTTGTTGGTCTCTGTCTTTCATATTGGAAACTTCCCCAAACTATCTGGCAATCCTTGGCTGTCTGTTCATAAGTAAGAGGAAGACAATAAAATGTTCACCCTTGATTAAACACATACTGTTCAGGATTTTTGTCATCACCACTATATTAAAACTGCCCCTGTCAAGGCACCAATGATCTCCATGTTGCTAAATCCAATGGCCCATCCTCAGTCCTCATCTTCCTTGATCTCACAGAAGCTTTGACACATGGACCATGCACTCCTCCACACCACACTTGCTTCACTTGGCCACAGGACACCACTCTCTCGGGGTTCCATCACCCCTACCCTCTATCTCCCTTTTTCTATCTCTTCTACTTGCTCCTTCTCGTCTTCCTGATCTCTCTATGTTGGAGTGTCCCCAGGGCTCAGTCATGTTCTTCTCTGCACTGGAATCTTGATGATCTCATCTGGTCTCCTGGCTTTACAGACCAACTATGTGATGTGATAGTGACTCACCAATGTACAACTCTAGCTCTGACTTCTGGCCCGAATCCTAGACTGTATTTCCACTGCCTACCTGATACTGCCACTGAGATATCAATAGGCAAGGAAAGCTCTAAAATCAAACAAGTCAAAATTCCCAGTTCCTTCCCCCAGTATTGTCCTGCTCCTCCCCAGTCTTCTGCCTCTCAGAAAATGTTCCCTCTTCCTTTGAAACATGTCCAGAACCTGAGTACTTTAAGGGACTTAGTGTTCTTTAAATATACCCATCATGTTCCCCCTTCAGGGCCTTTGCCCTTGTTTTTTCCTTTGCCTGGAACCCTTTCCCCCAAAATGCACTTGACTTGCTTCCTCACAGCCTTCAGTTCTCTACTCAAAGATCACATTATCCCTGGACACTTGACCTAACACATCATCCCTCATGTTCCCCACCCCCCTTACCTGGTTTTATGTTTGTTCTCAGCACTTAGCACTGACATACTGTGTCCTGGTTTTACTCATTAACAGCCTTATTTTTTGTGCCTTCCCCCAGAATATAAGCTCCATCAGAGCAGCGACCTATTTTGTTTACTTATTTTCTAGCCCTACTGCCTAGAACATTAGAGGTGCTCGTTACAGGTGCTAAATAGTTGTTGAACTTAGCTAGGTGTGGTGGCACATGGCTGTAGTCCCAGCTACTCAGGAGGCTGAGGTGAGAGGATTGCTTGAGCCCAGGAGGTCAAGGCTGCAGTGAGCCATGATGGTGCCACTGCACTCCAGCCTGGATGACAGAGTGAAATCCTATCTCAAAAAAAAAAAAAAAAATTGTTGAATGAATAAGTGAATGAATGAATGAATAATTCCCTTGGGCAGGGCTTGGTGGGTAGGTCCCACAGGGAGTGACTAGGCAAGGATCACTTTATTTTGATGGGGAAAGCCCCAAATGTCAATAGCTGTAAGCCCTTTTACTTATATGTGAGTTCCCACCACTGATCCCATGAATCCTATAATCTCCTGCTTAGGGGATATGATTCTGACTGGCAGCATTTTGGAAGCTCAGCCCAAGAAGGAAGCTGGAAGCTTTCAGTGTTCGTTATGCAAACTTTTGATTAATTTCCCTGTGTATAATAAGGTTCATTCATTCATGCATGCACTTGAAGAATAATTACCAGGTGGCTATTAAATGCCAGGCATCTCTAGATACTTGAGATACATCAGTAACCAAAACGGACCAAAATCTCTAGCTTTTGGAGCCGATACTCAGCTATGATGGGTGTTCTTGAATCCAGAGTGCCCCCACCCAGAAAATGAACTTCCTGTTTTCCACTAGGTTTGGGGAGGGGCAGTTTCTTGGTTGAGCTGGTGGGAGAGAGACTCTGGGGTGATAACTGCTTCTTACATGCCCTTTCAACAGCATTGCTAAATCTGATAATGATAATTTTCAACCAGTCCTTATGTTCTCAGTCCTCCTCCTCCAACCCCACTCCACTCTTCACTCTGTCCTCCAGAGGTACCTGGTGCTGGTACCTTCCATTTTAAACCTTTCTTGGGTGCAGTAACATGAAAGAGCTTTCTTCTTTTTCACTCAGTTCTGCTGAAGTCAGTTAAGACTCATGCATCCTTATTCAGCTTTCTAAACGTGATTTTTCTCCCTCTTTCACTTTGTCCTGGCCAGTTTATGTGTTTTTTTATTTTAATTTTAGAAATCAGCTAGAAATGACTGCATTTATTCCGCCATGTTTAACAAGATAACCTGAGTGCCATCACCAGCATAATCTCCTTAAACACCACATCAGATTTTGAAGATCATATTGGTTGAGCACCCAGTTTATGCAAGGCATGTACTGTGTGGCTGGATGTTTGTTGTGTCTATATTTGGGATTCCTGGGAAAAAATCAGTCCCTTGCAAACCAACCCTCACTCAACACAAACACACCCAGTAAGCGTTGGGTTCAACTTTCCTATCTTACCTATCTGCGTAGCTATGGAAATAGGGGAAATACAGGGGCCCCTGGTTCTCTGCAGTCCAGCAGTTGATGAGAAAAATGATCTCACATGTTCATCTGGCTTTTCACCTGTCCCTATCTCCTTAGGTCTAGAGTAAACTGCCAGAGCTCATTCCATCACTTTGATCATACTTCACTGAAGTAACTGGAACACTCTTGACTTTGAGAACACCACTGTCTGGAATTACTGCTAGCGAGTAGAAGCCATAGAGAACAGATTAAAGATTAAGAATTAAGATTATGATTCAATTAAGATTAGATTAAAATAAGAGTTTGATCTTAATTAGGCTTATGGTTAAAGAATTTAAAAATTAAGAATAGATTATTAGTGTTAATTAAGAATTAAGATTAAAATATGGCCTTAAGGGACCTGACTTTAAATTCTTCTCTGAAATACCATTTACTTATTAATAAATGCTTGGGAATAAATAATTAACCCTTTCTCATTGGGTTGCCATGAGAATTAAATGAGATTATGTATGGAAAGGACTTAGTATAAGGCCCAGGATACAGTACTACTTGTAATCTAAAGGAAAAGTCAACTTTTCTGCCCCTTCAGTTTGGCCCACGTGGTTATTAGTTCATGTTAGAATCAGGCCATAATCTATTTTATTCCAGGAAATTGATATTTTTAAGGCCTCTGGTCCTCCCTGGAGGAAGCTCACGGGCCCTTTCCCTACAAAGATTTGCTCCTTACAACCTAGTTCAGATCTCTCAGAATGACACATAGCAGGTTTACATCATTTATGACAGTTGGGGTTAGAAAACTATTTCAATATGCTAAGTGAGAGTTCATAAGACCCTGAACCAAGGCTAGAGCTGAATGGAAGGTGTAATTCATGCTTGCTTAGCAATCTACATGTTCCCCTTTGTTTCCTAGCCACGCTTGAAGTTAGGCTTGGGCTATGTACTAGCGTAGGTCAATGGACTGCAACCAAAAGTGATTGTGTTGCTTCCAAGTAAAGCAGTAAAACCCATTGTGCCTCCTTCTCCCTTCCCCTTTCATGGTGATATCAGAATTTATATGTTCCCAATAATTGACTACAAGATGCTGAATGGAGAAAATACATCCTGGATACCTGAGTGACTGGAATAAGCCTCCACTCCACCTGACCCCAACCAACCCACATTCAACTTGTAACACAAGAGAGAACTAAACATTTGCTATATTAAGCCACTGAGATCTAAGTTTAATTTATTATCACACTCTCCCTGAGGAGGTAGATTAGTTTGAGAGAACTTGTGAAGTTAAAATTAAAAGATATTTCAGCGTTTGTTAATGACAGACTAGGTAGTTCAGACCAACCTTCCTACCAGAAAAGCTGAACTAAAAAAAAAAAAAAAAAAAAAAAATTAATTCTGCTCAAAAGCATTGAAAAGCCAAAACAGTAGTGAAAAATACCCAGGCTACCATCTGACGTCTGACAGAAGATGAAAATCCAGAGAAGTGACTCTGACATTTGAGGCCACTTTTCTCCTGGGAGGATTTGTTAATTCGAACAAAGCCAGTGTTTGATGGCTGAGCAGTGTCTTTGATGGCCTGGTATGGAAACAAGAGTTGGACCCCGGTAAAAACATTGTAGTGTGGGTTGGGACCCTGAAGTGTTATGCTCCAGCAGTAAGGGTGAACAGGAAGTAAGAGCCTTCATACATCCTGTTGTCCAGCTTCAAATCATCTGGATGGCACAAAATACCTAAGGCCCTGCAACTGGACTAAGGTGATCCCAGACTGTTAATGCCCTTAGGCTCATGAAAGAAGCAAACAAAAACCTCCTAGAAGGACAAAAAAAAAAAAAAAAAAAAAAAAAAAAAAAAAAAAGCGGCATTATTTCGTGGCTAAAATTGCTAAAAATTATTTCTACAAATAATTTTTCAAATGCAATGTCTGATAAAGTCAAAGAAAACCAGGCATAGATGCAGTTAAGATAGTATGAATAAGGACCAGCAAAACCAACAACAACAACAACAATAAAAGAGACTAACATGGTCTCCAAATATTAGAACTAAGCAGACTTTAAAACAATTAGCTTACTATGTCCCAGAAAATAAAATACGGTATTGAAAATTTCAGCAGAGAGCTGGAAATACTTTTTAAAAGACATAGCAGAAACGAAAAAGAACCAATAAAAATTCTAGAACTGAAAATACAATCACTAAGATTAAGAACACAATGGATGGAGTTTTGCAGGTTAGACCTCACTGAAGAGAGAGAGATAAAGAACTGAAAGATAAGTCAGGAGAAGATATCCAGCATGACATATAAAGAGGCAAAGCACTGGAAAATACAGAACAGGTGATCAGAGACCTACATACAGTCTAGAATACATTTAACTGAATGCCTAGCAAAACAGTAGAGACAGAATGGAGCAAAAGCAGTATATTAAGAGGTAATGGAGAGAGTTTTCCCAAGCTGATGTAAGACATGGATCCACAGATTGAAAATTAAATTACATGAACTTGGCAGAGAAGAGAGAGAAGGGGAAAAATATTTTAAGTCAAGGATGACTCTAAGAATTCTAGCTTGAGCAAAAAGATAATGTGACTAACTGAGATAAGAAATAGAGAAAGAAAAACAGATTTATTGGGGTTGGGAGGAGGCAGAGTAAAATAGAAATACACATAATAGGTTCCAATTTTTACCTGTTGAATTTAACATCCAGACAGGGATAACAAATGGGCCATTATTTCTTTAATACTTACTTTTCTTGTCATATTAAGGAATTTCCAAAACTTTGATTGTTGGAAAGGATCATCAGATCTTTCTTGTCTCAAGAACCCTGCACCTACAGGCCTCCTTCCCTTCCTGCTAGAATCCATGGTTTGCATCCATGAATTGACCTACAAATGGACATTCGCAGCAAAATGTACAATGACTTGCAAATGGCATCTGTCTGGTGTTAAAATGTAATTATTTATCCATTGCTACCTATGCAGAGAAAAACCCATCACAACAAAATAATGTATTTTTTAGTTTTTAACACCTTGATCCATGACTTCATTTAAAAAAAAATACATATTATAAAGGCAAGTTACAGGAAAAACGTGGGTTTTCTGCATATGATACCAACTTCAAATGATGCGATAAATACAACTTTGTGTCACAATATACAATACTACCTTAAGGATTATCGTGAGTTTTTAAAATACAATTATTTGACTTTACTAACACACACACAAAATAAAACACTGGCTATCATAAATTGCTAATTTTTTATTTTTTATTTTACTTAGAAAACAGCACAACTTTCACAATAAGTTCCAGGGATAATGGATAAAAATGACATAGCATGTTTTCTTTTCAACTGGAAAGTCCCCCAAAATGTTAAAAGATAATGATGATGACAGCTATTTACGTGGGCATTTTCTGCATGCTAGGAACTGTTTTATGGGGCTTGCATGGATTCACTCATTAAAGAGATTTAAAGATGTCTACTAACATAAATTGTATGCTAGTGACATAAAGAATATTATTTAATGAAGAATCGCAATTTTTCCCCAAGATTATTCCATTTATAAAATACACTACAACTCAGCTAGTATCACTGGGGACCAGAAATACATGTGGGAGAAATTAGAAAAAAAAAAAAAAAAAAAAAACACTTTACAATAATAAGCTACAAGTAAATCTATAATTTTTTCCGTATTATATTTTTCTTCTGAAAGTAGGAATAAAATGTTTAAAATCAATGAACAGGAAAATAATTTTATTTTCAAATAACACTTTAGATGCCAATGTTAAAATTTTAAATATATCTAAAAGTATCCATGTAATTGCCTTATGCAATCAAAGGTGAATTTTTCAACAGTAACTGTAGGTCTAATTGCCCCAAATGTTTTCATTGTAGTATTTCTCTGTATAACTACTGCTATATTATTGTGATTTCCCTGAATATCATTCCAAATAGAGTCATCATGAATACTTTTGATACAAAATCATAATTTTATACAATCTGATGAAACTTCCTAATATAATCTCCAGCAGAAAAGGCTAAAGAGATACATTTTTTAAAAATAGAAAATTCTTTCAGAAGAACTTTACCTAAGAAAACACATGAACCTACTTCTTAAATTATTAAATGTCTTAAAAGTTTGTAAGTAGTTTGGGACATCATTTAGCTACATTCTTAATATTATGGAAAGTTGAAATTTAATAGCCAATCTCTTGTTTACTGCTTTCAGCTATTTTGACCATCAGATTTCTAAAAATTTGGCTCTCTTGCTTAGCTTTTCTTTAAAAACCTATTTGAATCTCTGATGTAGTCTTTGACCCTTATTACTTTAAAAACTATGGAGTCACAAAACCATTTGACTCTTCAGATAACATAGAACACTGAGGGTCTTTGAATCTAGCCTCTCACACATTTGAATCCCCTCTGCCTCATCAACCCAAATGTTTCCCTTCCCCAACACCTGCTAAAGTGGTGAGTTACTCACAATTACTCCATTTTCAGTTTTCATTATTACAAATGTCTTCCCTACACTGAATGGAAATCTTCCCTAAAACTGCCACCTATTGAGAGCTTCAACAGTCTCAGCACTGACCCTGGCAGATGACCTTGGGCAAGTTCATTTCTTGTTGCTTTAGATGCCTTGGTTGTAAAATGGGGATAAGAAATGTGTGTCATAAAGGTGTGGAGATTAAATAAGAGTGTTTATAAAGCACCTGCCACAACGTGGGGTTTATTGGGAATATGAAGCCCTCCTCTGCATGGCTACCCTAGAGATGTGGTGGCAGCTACTACTACTGTTTACATTCCTTCTGGCCAAACATCCCAATTTCCTTCAATGTTTCTTTGAACAACATGGTATTGTCTCCTTTTTCTTCTAGTCATTCCTTTCTGAATAAGTTTAGCTCTTTGAGAGAAGGGTCAACTGTCAATTCAAAAAATATGTATTATCAACTATGTTATCAACTGAGCGCAGCTCCTTACCTATACATGTCATTGAAAGATAATATTTCTCTTTTCCCTGTTGCTGGTTAGATCTTCTCCCCTCCCAATATTTGGACCTCTGGCAAGCTGGGCTACAAGAAAGGCAATAGGTATGGATACTTTCTGTTTCTAAAGTAAGGAGAAGACAGAAGTGCCTCTCAGACATTAGGATATAGTTGAGAAGTTTCTCTCTTCATTCTGGTAGGATGTCAGCTCTTCCTCATCAAGGGTCGCTCCTCTCTGTCCTTTCCATTCCTTCTTCTGGACTTCACAATTCTGGGAGGTGGCTCCATAAGACATCTTCTTTTTGGGACTCGCAAAACTCTCATGGTTGAGTTCTATCTCCTCAGCTAATTCGTCCTGGTCAATGATTCCACATTTCTCCTCAGAGAGATTCTCTGGGTCAGCCCACTCCTGTTTCTCCCCAGAAGCAAAGACCCCATAGAAGATCACACCACTGTAATGCACCAGGGCAGCTATGAGGAACACATTCTGCCATTCTTCACGGGTCTAAATAAGGAAATAAAGTGCCAATTAATGTTTTAACTAAAACTAGAGATTACCAGTATGTCCTGGAGGCCTCCACTGTGAAAAAGCACCTGCCCATTTGGAAGGTGATGCTCTAGAGGCTCCTTGGGCGGGAGGACGTGTGTCAGAAGCACCATCCGGGATTCAAACCAAATTTAAAAGAAAAACTTAAAAAATGAAAGTTAAGACAACAATGAATATGAAAGTTAGACAAAACAATAAATACGTATTTTTTTAATTTAGAAAATTCTTTTTTTTTTTTTTGAGATGGAGTCTCGCTCTGTCACCCAGGCTAGAGTGCAGTGGCGCGATCTCGGCTCACTGCAAGCTCCGCCTCCTGGGTTCACACCATTCTCCTGCCTCAGCCTCTGAGTAGCTGGGACTACAGGTGCCCGCCACCACGCCTGGCTAATTTTTTGTATTTTTAGTAGAGGCGGGGTTTCACTGTGTTAGCCAGGATGGTCTCGATCTCCTGACCTCATGATCCACCCGCCTTGGCCTCCCAAAGTGCTGGGATTACAAGAAAATACATTTTAAAATAAACAACATATACAAATATTAATACCTGCAGCACCATTGCATAGCTTTTTGAATACTCAAATGGGGTTTCCCTTCACATAGTCAGCTAAATTAAAATTGTTTTAGGAACCCACCGTTTTAAATATCAGAAGTCTCCTTCTTGCTTGTTGTTGGATACATAACAATATTTGAGCCATTAAAGTTCTCACCCTTGACTGACAAGAACTTTATAATATTTTCAGTGTAAAAAAAAGTATGTCAAAAAATAATGGGAATTTGTGTCTAAGGTTGGGGGAAGATATCTTGGATTTAATAGTCAGGTTATCAATCCTATCATTTCATGAACAGAGATGGAAAACATGAATTCTCTGCCTATAAAATCCTACCTTTTCTGTCAAAAAGTAAGAAAATTTATCTCACACTTTCTTCTGCAGGAAGCTGCAAAAACTTCTGAAGTTATATTTGTAATAGGCAATCCAACTAAGAAAATAGATGGGGGAAAAAAATCCCATGGTATCAAAGAATTCTTATTTGCAGAAAGCAGCATCTTGAGACGTTTCAGTGACAAAGATAAAGAAATCATGTGGGCTGTGGTTGAACTCTGGATGGATCTGCCTCTACCATCCACCCTTGTCTAAATTCACAAAGGCTCAGTAACAACTGGGTAGGTTATCAATGTCCTGTTTATTTTATTCTTAACAAGGAAGTAGAATAGCACTCATCTTTTTATGCTGAAACATGCTAAGCAATGGATGGAAATAGGCTATAAGGTTTAATCACTGAGAATGAGAAAACAATCTTCAGTAACTCATTTATCCCAAGTTGACTGCCTCAGTTTCTTCTTTGGGTCTCTAAACAGTTTCTATGGCCCATCCCCTCTCCCCAGACTATTATTCCTCAATTGAGAAAACATAGAACAAAACAACAACTAGCCTTGGTGCCATTGATAAGCAATGATTTGAAAATCAGAAGAAGGAAGAAAAAAAAAAGAAGTTCAGCTGACTCAGTCAAGGTCAAGGACATACACATTTACAGACTGCAGTAGAGCCTTGAAATCTCAAGTTTGTGTAGAGCTCCAGTCCTCTGATATTGTAACCCATAGCCACAAAGGAGACCTTTACCTTGTGCCTGGTCATTGCACCGACAATGAGGGGACAGACCATTCCAGAGAGGGTTCCCACTCCGTTTGAGATCCCCATGAGAATGCTGGCATAGCGTGGGGCAATGTCCAGGTGGTTGACATTAAAACCTACAGTGAAGCCAAAACCTCAAAATCAGAGTCAAGAACAGAATTTCAAATATGCTTTGGAAAATACTCAGTTGCCCCAGCCTTTACCAATCTGTTTGGTTTCCTCTAGTATATGACTAGTTTCCAGACCAAGAGGACTGGGTTCAAGAGGCTGTGT
Source organism: Homo sapiens (assembly GCF_000001405.40). Classification (NCBI taxonomy): domain Eukaryota; kingdom Metazoa; phylum Chordata; class Mammalia; order Primates; family Hominidae; genus Homo; species Homo sapiens. The sequence continues at coordinate 100,417,871 of NC_000012.12, read as the reverse complement.
CTGCACAAAGCAGCACTGGTAGACAATGCTGGAATTGATTATGGATATCTATCAAGGGCTCTCTCTATAAAGAGAATTATGGCATCTCTACCTTGTAGGTTCTGAATTCCAAAATACGGTGTTTGGCACAATATTGAAAAGCCTAAAGCCTGAATCACATTTATTCAGAGTAAATAATCATACAATCACATACAGTATGACTAGACCAAACCTTGCTTTATAATATTCCCACTCCTACCCCTGACTTACTCTTAAAAGGCAGCCAAGGGTAAGCCTACTTTATTGGCCACATGGCCACATTTTCACACAATGAAAAGGGTGCTTTTTAATGAAACATTTGCACAAACATTGGGAGAACCTTCTGTAATTTATGAAACACTTTCACACACCTACTTGATTTGGAGTCTGTAAATCTGGACTTGAATCTTATTTCTACTATGTAAACAAGTAATTTGGGGGCCTTTGTTTCTTCATCTCCAATATGAGGATAATATTACTATTCACTTCACAGAGGTGCTGTGATAGAGACTCAGGGGAAATAGGTATGTGAAGCCCTTGGCAAATATCAAAGCTATGCTAACTACCACTACTACTACTGCTACCTTCTGCTGCCATTGCAAAGTAACTCCCTCTCTTTGAGGTCTTCTATCAAAAGATAATGCTGCTGGCCGGGCATGGTTGCTCACGCCTATAATCTCAGCACTTTGGGAGGCTGAGGCGGGTGGATCACCTGAGGTCAGAAGTTCAAGACCAGCCTGGCCAACATGGCAAAACCTCACCTCTACTAAAAATACAAAAATTAGCCAGGCATGGTGGCACATGCCTGTAATCCCAGCTACTTGGGAGGCTGAGACAGGAGAATCACTTGAACCCAGGAGTTGGAGGTTACAGCGAGCTGAGATCTGACTTTGTCAATATATTGCAGGGGTGCATGTTCAAATCAGACAGACCTCAGTTCTGGCAGCTTAGTTGAGATGCAAGCCTAGACCAAGGATTTAAACTTCCTGAACCTTAGTTTCATCTACATAACGGGATAACGATTCTTATAAAATTGATGTAGGAATTAAGTTAAATAATGTATGTTAACTACATGGTGCATAGACGTGTAAACCAACATGCATGCTCTTTACAGGTGGTTAGCCATCCGTCTTGTTTACCACCATCTCCCCTGAACTAGCAAAGTGCCTGGCACATTGTAGTCACTCAATAAATAGTTGCTAAATTAATTACCAGCTTCAGCTACTGAAATTATAGCAAGGGGTTGTAGGCTTTATTCATCTTTTTGTCTTCCTTTGCTTTGCTTTTTATTTCTCTATTCTGTGCAAAAAAAAAAACTGAAAATAGGACTTAAAACATTTTTTTGTTCTAATCTGGCACACTGGTTGGTTGTCTTTCCTACTTCCCTTCAGGGAGAAATTTTGAGAAAACTTTTTGGTAATAATAAACATACCTTATCTTTCAGGTCAATGTGCCAAATGATCAGAATATAAAACAGCTGCAAGTTCATTAATCTTACCATGGATTTGAATGTGATAAACACTTTATTAGAAAAGAATCCAGAGATAAGAAGCAATTAATATGATTGTTGAGTATTATGCTCTGATACAAAGCCTGGGCATCTGCATTCAGCTAAAGATAATGTGGGAAAAGCCATTTAGGTTTCTAGCTGCACAATCCTGACATTTGGGGAGGGGGGAAAATCACTGAGAAATTGAGATATTGATAGATTTTTATAGCAGATAAAAAAATTACACATAAACTGAGAGAATCTATCTTCTGTATAGGACATTTCCCAAAACAGGCATCACTCATCTCTTGCCTATTTTTAACTTCATCTATCTCAGCAGTCTTGTCTATAATCAGCTCCTAAATTGTGCCAGTCAGTCTTCCCTGACATCTATGTTTATTCCTTTAAAAGTTGGCAGACAGTAGATTCTGAGGAATTATTGCCCCTGTGGCTGCAATCCCTCCCACAGTGTCATTGCTGGGACCAACAGACCTTTATTCCACACTCCCAGCCACTTCACTCGGCAAGTTAAACCACACTTTGGTTTCCCCACCAATAAAGTGAATATAGCAATACCTTTCTCATCAAGGTTGCAATGAGGATTAAATGAAATCATGTTTAAAAAGTGGCAAGAAGGCCAGGTGTGGTGGCTCATGCCTGTAATCTCAATACTTTGAGAGGCCAAGGCAGGAGAATCACTTGAGGCCAGGAGTTCGAGACCAGCTTGGGCAACATCGTGAGACCCTGTCTCGAAAAAATATATATATATCTGGAAGTGGTGGCACATGCCTGTAGCCCCAGCTACTCAGGAGGCTGAGGCAGGAGAATCAGTTGAGCATGGGAGGTAGAGGCTGCAATGATCCGCGATCATGCCACTGCACACCAGCCTGTGTGTCAGAGCGAGACCCTGTCTATTTTTTTTTTTTTTTTTGAGACAGAATCTCTCTTTGTCACCCAGGCTGGAGTGCAGTGGTGCAATCTTGGCTCACTGCAACCTCAGCCTCCCCAGTAGCTGGGACTACAGGCACATACCACCACAACCAACTAGTTTTTGTATTTTTAGTAGACATGCGGTTTCACCATGTTGGCCAGGTTGGTCTCGAACTCCTGATCTCAGGTGATCCATCTGCCTCGGCCTCCCAAAGTGCTGGGATTATAGTCATGAGACACTGCACAAGGCAAGAGACCCTGTCTAAAAAAAAAGGAAAACAAAAAAGCAGTTTATGTGATTTGGAGTATTGGGTTTCTCTCCTTCAGATTGTGACTTAATTGGCAATCGGGGGAAAGGAAGCAATATGAACTTGAACATTTCAGTATCTCTGGGAACAGGATATGGATCTCTTTTGCATCACAAAGTTATCAAGGGAAGGCGTTCCTCCGCTTCCTACTGGAAGCAAATCGTGATTGCTCTGCCCTTGCTACTCAAAGTGTGGACTGCCCTGCAGCAGCAGCAGCTCTGGGGAACTTGCTAAAACTGCAGAATCTCAGGCTCCACCCTAGAGCTACCAAATCAGAATCTGCATTCTGAAATATCTTATGGTGATTTCACATAACACTTTGAGAGGCACTGGGCTGGTGTGTGTACTAATAGAACAATAATGGTGAACACTCATTAATTTTGTTATGCATCTGGCACTGTGCTAAGGACTTCAAATAAATACAGCTAAGGTTTTTATTTGAATAAGTATTTCCACTAGAATGTAAACTTTATGGGGATGGACACTTTCATTTATTCACTGCAATATCCCCAGTGCTAAGAATAATGCCCAGCCCACAAGAAGTGCGGGGAAATACATGAATTATCTAAGTTTATCCTCCCAACAACCCTATGAGGTTGCTGTTTCATCTCTCCAATCTCTAGATGAGAAAACTGAAGCTTGAGAGTTTTCATAATTTAGCAAATTTTTTATTTTATAAATAGTAAATAGTAAAGAGGGCCTCAAACCCAGGTCTATGCATCTCTAAACCAAATTACTTAGCTGCAAGTTACTTTTAATTTAGACTTTTACTTTATTTTCTAATTTATTCATCAACTCTATTTATTTTGAAAGATACAAGCCCCTGTCTTAGGGCAGTTTAGACCAGAGGTTCCATATTTTTCTATTCTGGGACACTAACACTGTTTGATATTTAAGGCAACCTGGAATAATGGAAGGAGCACGGCCTTTGGGCCAGGCAGAACTGTTCTGTCATCCTTCCTTTGCCACTAACTGTGTGATATTAAGAAAGTATCAAATTTTTCTGAGCTTTAGTAAAATAGTGAAAAACCCAGTAGCATAGTGATATACTACTACTTGCTTCACAATGTTATGATATATATACAATATATGTGAAATTTTCTTTAAGTAACCATTTTTTATTTTTATTTTATTTATTTATTTTTTTCTTGAGAAGGGGTCTCGCTTTGTCATCCAGGCTGGAATGCAGTGGCACGAACTCAGCTCACCGCAACCTCCAACTCCCAGGCTCAAGCCATCCTCTCACCTCAACCTCCTGACTAACTGGGACTGCAGGTGTGCGCCATTACACTTAGCTAACTTTTTGTATTTTTTGTAGAGATGGGGTTTTGCCATGTTGCCCAGGCTGGTCTTGAACTCCTGGGCTCAAGTGATCCATTCGTCTCGGTCTCCCAAAGTGCTGCGATTACACGCGTAAGCCAGCGCACCCGGCCAGTAACCATATTCTTATTACGATGTTTTAAAGATAGACAAACAACTAAATTTCACTCTTTGACCCAGTTTTGCATAGGAAGCTTCTGATATGATTGCACTCTGGCCTTTCTCTCACATATAGTAGACTGGTTTCTGCTCCTGTAAAATGGGGATCGTAATAGCACTGATACCCAGCAGGGTAGTTGTGAGAGAGACAGGGCTTAATATATGCAGATCTCATGGAATATTCCCTGGCACAGAATCTGTGCTTGGTCATCGCTAGCTCACATCATCATTGTCATTATTCTTTACCCTGTTCAGAAAGTCACTTCCCCTCTATGGACCCGCATTTTCTTGTTTGGAAAATGAAAGCAATGGAGTAGACAAAAATCTAAAGAAGGTTTTCACTCTTAAAAAAACTTCTGATCCTATGACTGTAATGACACTCGCAGTTCTCTAGCAAGAGGGCGAGGCTTGAAAAAGTCACAGGAGCCTCTGTCAGGTAGGGTGACATGGTGCTAAAGTATGAAAGTCCACTTCACCCAGGACATATGCTTGGGCCTCTGCTCGTGTCTCAGAAGGGTCATCTGCACTTTGTGTCTTTTCCCGTAACAAAGTAAGTAGGAAAAATTCCACCTTAACTGAGCTCCCAAGCCCAGTTCTCAGTGATCTTACAAAATCACCCCCACTAGATCACATTCTCTGGACGGTGGTCCTGCTCTCTGAGAATGGACTGGCTACTGAAAGAAGGTGCTACAATATCCTTGTCCTTCCTTCTTCCTGGGACTTGTTGAATCTATAGTCAAGATCTGGAAACCCAAAGGACACATTACCTGAAATAGCGAAGCCACTAAATCCTACAGCAAGTACCAGAAAGGAGATAGCCACCCCTTTGGTATGCGAAAAGCCAACCACCAGGAGTAAGGTTGCCTCCATGCCAAAACCTGCAAATGGAAACAGCAAGGGAAAAAAATGTCATTTTCATATCGGTCAACCCAAGTTCATTTATTTATCAAATAAGAACTAACCTATAATTCCACAGACCTAAGTTTATTTTGTTTGTGTCTATGTTTTTTTTTTACTTTAAGTTCTGGAATTTAAGTTTTTTTTTTTTTTTTTTTAACTTTACTTGAAGTTCTGGGATTTAAGTTCAGGGATACATGTGCAGAATGTGCAGGTTTATTACATAGGTATACATGTGCCATGATGGTTTGCTCCACCTATCAACCCATCATCTAGGTTTTGGGCCCCACATGCATTAGGTATTTGCCCTAATGCTGTCCCTCCCCTTGCCCCCTAGCAGGCCCCAGTGTGTGATGATCCCCTCCCTGTATCCATGTGTTCTCATTGTTCATCTCCCACTTATGAGTGGGGAAATGCAGTGTTTGGTTTTCTGTTCCTCCACAGACCTACATTCTGGTACAGTGCTTACAATGCCACCCAGGACTTTCATGACTACATGACTTTGCTAATATTCCCTGGGTGTTCACAAACTTTCTAACATTATCGCGGTGCACCTTGAACACCACACGGTCCCAATAGGTTCCAATGATGCTCCTGAGATGAGGGATGTTAATTATTAGTTGCTTCATGGGTAGCTGTCCCTGCCATTGTTAAATACTAAAACTCTACTATATAACTGTGGTAATGATTCCCCTTTGACTAGTTATGGCCTTTCCCTTAAAAGTAAAATGACAACACTCTAATATTTATTGCCAAAAGCAACCAGAAAACTGTAGCAAATATCTGAAACAAAAACAAACAAAGAAACAAACAAAAACAGCACTTCACCCCTTGTAAAGCAAAAGTCAAAATTTTTCTATTTCAAAGTTCACCAAGCTCTCAGGCCTCTTAAAAAAAAAAAAAACAAACAATACATGAGAATTTTGCACAGAAAATATTGCAGAACAAAAGTACTTTCTGTTCCTTTCATTCAGAATAAGTGAGTCTAGCACAATAAAAAATAAAAAGAATGAGGAAATTATGAAGAAGTTCCTTCTCACCCGAAAAAAAAGTTCAGCTGACAACAGACAGAAAAATGATATAAATATCATTTCCAAGTATATAGAGTGCCTTAGGAGGGGGAAGAGACAATTAGTGGTGCTTCATTTGGAGACTGTCTGCTGATTCCAGACATCTCCACACAATTGTTCTACAGTACCTCAAAGGCAACATGCCCAAATCAATTCTCTCATCCCCTATTTTTATTTATTTATTTATTTATTTTTTCTTTGAGACAGAGTCTTGCTCTTATCACCCAGGCTGGAGTGCAACGGCATGATCTTGGCTCACTGCAACTTCTGCCTCCCAAGTTCAAATGATTCTCCTGCCTCAGCCTCCCAAGTAGCTGGGATTATGGGCATGTGCTACCACGCCCAGCTAATTTTGTATTTTTAGTAGAGTTGGGGTTTCACCATGTTGGCCAGGCTGGTTTCACCATGTTGGCCAGGCTGGCCACTCCTGACCTCAGGTGGTCCGCCCACTTCAGCCTCCCAAAGTGCTGGGATTACAGGCATGAGCCACCACCCCTGGCCTCTTCCCCTATTTTTTTACTCCTAAACAAACAAGCAAACCATCACCAAACCATCGCCACCACGTGCTTTCTTCTCCTCTAAATTAATCTTCCATATTCTGTGTTTAGAACCCAATCTTTAGAGTCAAACTGGTATGGGTTCACTTTCCACTTCAAAATCACTAATTTTGTGACCTTGAACAAGTTACTACACCTCTTAGATTCCTCATCCAAAAGCTGGAGATAGTACCACAGCCTTGTGAGGTATCGGAAAAGTAAATGAAATTGGTATATGAGGTACTGAGTGTGGCACATGGGCACAGCTCAACAAATGATAGCCAGAAGTCCGATGCAGAAACTTCAGAACTACCTTGGACTTCTCCTCCTGCCTGAGCTTTCATATACAAATCTGCAGGTTTGGCCTCGGAAACATCTGTCCAGTGCAACTGCCACTTTCCCCTCCCCTGTCACTGCTTTAGTTCCAGGCCCCGTGACCTCTTACCAGGAAAACTGCAATAAGCCACCTTTTTTTCTTCTTTTGTTTGAGATGGAGTCGTGCTCTGTCACCCAGACTGGAGTGCAGTGGTGCAATCTCAGCTCATTACAACCTCTGCCTCCCGGGTGCAAGTGGTTCTCCTGACTCAGCCTCCCCCGTCGCTGGGATTATAGTCCACCACCACGCCCGGCTAACTTTTTTTTTTTTTTTTGAGATGGAGTCCTGCTCTGTCACCCAGGCTGGAGGGCAGCAGCGTGATCTTGGCTCACTGCAAGCTCTGCCTCCCGGGTTCGTGCCCTTCTCCTGCCTCAGCCTCCTGAGTAGCTGGGACTATAGGCACCCACCACCATGCCCAGCTAATTGTTTATATATTTAGTAGAGATGGGGTTTCACCGTGTTAGCCAGGATGGTCTCAGTCTCCTGACCTCGTGATCCACCCACCTCAGCCTCCCAAAGTGCTGGGATTACAGGCGTGAGCCACCACGCCCAGTCTAATTTTTGTATTTTTAGTAGAGGCCGGGTTTCCCCATGTTGGCCAGGCTGGTCTCCAACTTCTGACCTCAGGTGATCTGCCTGCCTTGGCCTCCCAAAGTGCTGGGATTACAGGCCTAAGCCACCATGCTCAGCCACAATAAGCCACTTTGGTAGTCTTCCCAACTCGTCCTCCTCTGATGCATTCTCAATACCACTGTCTTTCTAAGCCACACACCTCATTATTTGCTCCTGTGCTTAACGTGTTTGTCATGAGCTCCATATCATGAGTATAGTGTTCTATAATGAATACCTCCTGCTGTTCCAGTTTCATCTTCTTCCAGCCCTCATCTCTTTGCTTACTGCCCCCATTCTGTGGATAGCCCTCTGTGCCACAGACATACTCCTCTATTAGCTGTTTTCTAACCACACAATACTATCTCATGCCTGTACATATTTTCACACATTGTTTCTTTACCTGGGATACTCTTCTCTCATCATTTTCTCTTTTTCTGGATAAATCTTACTATTTTTAAAGTCCAGATTAAATAGTGCCTCCTCTAGAAAGCTTCCCTAACAACCCTCTCCCTACCCTCAACCAATGAAGCTGACATCACCTTCTCATCATTTTATAGAACTTTTCAATATTGCTTTGTAACTTTTCATTTGTGTTTCTGCCTCTCCCACAAAACTGTATATTTAACACAGAGTCTGTCTAGCATGTAGTATGCACTCAATAAATAACGTTTGGCCAGGCATGGTGGTGCACACCTATAATTCCAGCTCTTTGGGAGGACGAGGCAGGCGGATCACCTGACGTCAGGAGTTCAAGACCAGCCTGGGCAACATGGCAAAACCCCTTCTCTACTAAACATATGAAAGTTAGCCAGGCATGGTTGCATGTGCCTGTAATCCCAGCTACTCAGGAGGCTGAGGCGGGAGAATCACTTGAAACCGGGAGGTGGAGGTTGCAGTGAGCCAAGATTGCACCACTGCACTCCAGCCTGGGCAACAGAGTGAGACTCTGTCTCTAAATACATACATACATACATACATACATACATACATACATACATACATACATACATAACGTTTAATGAATTAATGCAAAGGAAAGGAAATGGGACCCAGAAAGAAGAAAATAAGATTCACAAGCTGAAGTACTTACCGTAAATGATGGTTAAGTTATTAATATTTACCTTTTTGAACCTATTTCTTCAACACTACTATAAAGAAGGGCAAGAACTAATAATTGTTTTAAATGGCTTCTAAAGAGGATGAAATGTAATTAGGGAAGTCTTACTTTTAAAACTATAGGCTTTATATCATTGCTACTTGTTCTTAATTTTGTTTCAACATTTAAGACTACACATAGGGAAAAATAGCTAGTGTTTCATATACTAACTATATGTGTCTTAGAAGTGCCTATCCTAAATAACAAGGCATCTGGCTGAAACTTCTTTTATTTTTACACTCTGAACAGAAGCATGCAGAAAGTCAATTCCCCCAAAGAATTAGAATGATGACATTGTATAAAGAATAAAACTTACAAATGATACATCAGTTCATCTGTAAGAAAAAAAATTTTGGCCAAATAGCAGATTGCCAGTGGAAAAAAAAGCATTTAAGAGCCTAAATGGTTTCTACTGACAGTTAAAATACTAGAGACAGGGCTGCATGTTTCAGGAGCTTAAGGATAAAATTTCAACTTTAGGGGTAATCAGGAGATCCTTAAAATTGAACCTATTTAGAGTTGACAAGAAAAACAAAACTAGGACTTAAAGGCCTAAGAAATATTTTATTTCATATTAAAATAATCTGAAGTTCACACTTGCAACTGATTCAGCCAGAATAGAATTTTTGACCTCAGTTACACTTTGCATGTTCTATAGAGGGGGCAGGACAAGAATTTGGCATCTGTCTTTAAGCATCATAGACGTAGACCCTGATTCAGAATGAATTGAACATCATGTCTTAAGTGATCTGTTTTGCTTTAAATGATTTTAATGGCATATTAAAATCTATGGAAATAAAAGATGACAGGCTCCAAGATATGTGTGATCCTTCTCAGATGAGAAATGCCTTCTATATTTCTTAGTAGGAAACCAAAAAGCCAACCAAAATTCTCTGGAAGATCATACCAGTGCTTCATCATTTCCAAATCAACCTGCATTCTTCACTGATGGCACAAAACTTTGTTTTCATGTAGTTATCTCTGCTCTAGCATCTCTGTATTTAAGCAGAAAAAGTGGGACCATTATGGTCTTTTTAAAAATTTTATTTTCTATATATAACTCACTGGTCCTACTATGTCAAAATATAAAAGAATGGCCGGGCACGGTGGCTCATGCCTGTAATCCCAGCACTTTGGGAGGCCGAGGTGGGTGGATCACAAGGTCAGGAGATCGAGACTACCCTGGCTAACACGGTGAAACCCCGCCTCTACTAAAAAATACAAAAAATTAGCCGGGTGTGGTGGCGGGTGCCTGTAGTCCCAGCTACTCGGGAGGCTGAGGCAGGAGAATGGTGTGAACCTGGGAGGCGGAACTTGCAGTGAGCTGAGATCACGCCACTGCACTCCAGCCTGGGTGACAGAGCGAGACTCCATCTCAAAAACAAAACAAAACAAAACAAACAAACAAAAAAAATATATATATATATGAACATGAAAAGCCATGTGAAGAGGTATTTTTTAAAGATGGGAGATGAGGCAGAAAGATTCCACATATGCCTTCTAGTTTCTGCAGAAAAAAAACTATTTCCTCTCAACAGGCACTTTGTTAGCAATTAAACATCTTTGAAAGTTCTCATCACCACAACATAACATAATCACCACCAATTATGGAGAAACAGCAGAGGTACTGGGGCAGAATTAAATAGGAACAAGACATTCCCACAAAATATGCTCAAGAATATCCAATGCATCTGGGTTTAGAAGAGGTTGTGCAAGTAGTGTTTAAAATCCAGAAACTTATTTAAAGTTGCCAGTTTAGAAGTACATTTTTTTGTCCAAAGGAAATACAATCACAGATATTTGTTAAAGAACTCTTTGAAAAACTTCTGTGTTTTTTGTGTCTTGAACATAGGAGAAAAAAAGCAGCATTAACATTTGTTGAGAACTTTTTATAGGTTGAACACCGCACTAGGTGCATTCATACGTTGTATCATTTAACTCTCATAACTATCCTCTGAAGTAAATATTATTATGTAATTTAAAGATGAGAACTGTTGGCTCTGAGAATTTAGAAATTGACCCCCCTCTCTCCATCTCCATTGCCACCTCATTTGTCTAAGCCACCATCTTCTCTAGACAGGACAACTGAAATCACCTCCTACCTGGTCTCCCTTCTTTTACTCTTGTACCCTGCATAATTCCCCAGATTAAAAATAAATAAGCAAGGCCAGGCGAGGTGGCTCATGCCTGTAATCCCAGCACTTTGGAAGGCCGAGGCGGGCGGATTACTTGAGGTCAGGAGTTTGAGACCAGCCTGGCCAATATAGTGAAACCCTGTCTCTACAAAAATACAAAAGATTAGCCAGGCATGGTGGCCCATGCCTGTAATCCCAGCTACTCAGGAAGCTGAGGCAGGAGAATCACTTGAACCCAAGAGGCGGAGGTTGCAGTGAGCTGAGATTGCACCACTGCACTCCAGCCTGGGTAACAGAGCGAGACTCTGTCTCAAAAAAAAAAAAAAATGAGATCATATCCATTCCGTGCTTTAAATCATCTGCATCTCAATGTACTTCAAATAAAACCCAAGCTCTGCATACGCCGACAAGGCCTGCCATGATCTGACCCTAGAAAAACATCCCGATCCCGTCTCCCGTCACTCAGCCATTCTGACTCCCCTTCCTTCTATTCTCACACAGGCCACATTCCTGCCTGCCCCAGGGTCATTGCACATACTATTCCCTCTGCCTAAAATCTTTTCCTGAGAGAGCTGCAATAAGGCACCACATGATGAGTTGCCAATCTAGCCATGTGGACATATTCAGAGGGATCACTGGAGAATGGCATGGCTTTAAGGAAACATAAGAGGAGAAGAATTGAGCTGGATGTATAGAGAGGACTGGATTGAGAGGTGAAGGTGAGAACTCACAGGGAAAGAGAAAGGGAGTGGGCAAAGTCAGAGACAGAAAGATATGTTCAGGGCTTGGGTGAGGGCTGTTCAGCTGGAGCAGAATTTTATCATTAGAAGGGTGAGGCTTTGGCTACTGTATTAGTTTTCATTTTATAAATGTTTTATTTTTTAATAGAGAAAAGTTCTCACTATTGCCCTGACTGATTTCGAACTCCTGAGCTCAAGTGGTCTGCCCGCCTCAACCTCCCAAAGTGCTAGGATTGCAGGAGTGAGCCACTGCACCCTGCCTACCGCTGTGTTAGTTTTCATTTGCTGCTGTAATAAATTACCACAAACTCAGTGGCTCAAAACAACACAAATATCAAGTATCTGCTGAGGGATAGACTTAGGGGTCTTTAAGATCTATTCCAATGATTAGATGTCACCTCTAAAATACTCTCTGCACTATTGTACAGTTCTGGAGGCCAAAAATCCAAAATGGTACAGGGCTAAAGTCAAGGCAGCAGCCTACAGAGTTGCATTCCTTCTAGAGGTGCTATGGCGGAATCTCTTCTTGTCTTCTCCAGCTTCTAGGGTCTGCTTGCATTCCTTGGTTTGTGGCTGCATCACTCTGACTCTTGCCTCCACCATCACATCTTCTTTTCTGACTCTGACCCTCCTTCCTCCTTTTATAAGGATTATTGTGATTATATTGGGCCCACCTAGATAATGCAGGATAAACTCCCATCTCAAGAACCTCAATTTAATCCCACCTGCAAAGTCCCTTTTGACATGTAAGGAAACATATTCACAGCTTCTGAGGATTAGGACATGGGCATTATTCTAGCTGCTACAGCTCTCTTGGAGAGGACTTGAATGCAATGTCCCAGAGCTTCACCTCCTGCCCACCAGATAGCAGGCCTATATCCGCTAACCCTCAGTCCTCTACAAGAAAGTTCAAGCTAAGGTCAGGCCCACACATCCCTGCCTGGGACCAGCAGTCAAGGAACTGGGAGAACAGGTGCCAACAGACTCTTAGGCTTTCTTCCCGAAATGCTATGGGATCAGATCATGCCTGCTCCTGTGTCCCTCGGTATAGTCTTCACTTCTAAATGTGCCAGACCTAGCTATCTGTCAGAGCATACGCAATCCGTCCCTTTCAACTTAATATCACAGTTGTGAGCTCTTGCCCATAGGTGGCGCTATCCTCTACCTCCTGCTCGCTCATCCTGACTAGTCCTCCAGAGGGGTAGCCGCAAACTAAGAGCTTTGGCGGTAGGCTCCGGCCTACCTGATACCTTGCAGGGATCTGCTACTTGAGCAAGTCCCTTTATTTTACCTCTGTTTCCTCATTGCAAATTGCATATAGTAATAGTACCTGCTCCACATGGTGGTTATGAAGATTAAATAAAATAATGTATGTAGAAGATTTAGCTTAGTGTCTGGCACAGAAAGCATTCAATAAATGTTAATTTTAAAAGCTAAACAAAAAAGATGAGTTTTTTAAAAAGCACTCATGAACATTGTAGGGGTTCACAATTACTTTCGCCTACCTCTTTTGGGAAATCACCTAACATTCACTTTGTCTTTACAAAATTAAAACATAAAGCAGGAGCTAAATAAAATCAAGAAAGAGAATGGTGTGTGTGTGTGTGTGTGTGTGTGTGTGTGCATATATCCCATGCACAAGCATAGGCTAGGAGGAAAGACTACTTTTCTTCTGTTTCTTACCAAAACATATGGATAGGTAGAAAGGTAAGCAGAGAAGGGAATAAACTACATAAGCAAACAATAAATGTGGAAGGATGTATGGAAAGGTCCCAGCTGGATGACCTCTTGGCAGCACTGTGATGGACAACACTCAAGTGTCTGCTGAGGGACAGACTTAGAGGTCTTTAAGATCCACTCCAATGACTAAATGTCACTTCTTAATATATGCTCTGCAGTTCAGTTTACCCTAATTCTACAAAAGCTGCCTAAGCCATCTATGAAATCCACAGTACCTCCACAGTTCATGATTTTTCTGACAGCAGTTGTGGTTAAAATTTGTCTGCTTCTTAAATAATCAGCCAATTGTCCTCCAATAGGTACAACGATTGTCATAACCATGTGTGGGACTGCTGACAAGAGACCCACCTGGAAGGGAAAGAAACAGTAAGCAGTTTGTCATTATTTCTGAGAGAGGGGCCTCCCTAATTCCCTTGCCCACCTCCACTCCACAGCCCCCCTACCTACCACCACCAAATTTAAGCATCTAATTATGTGGGAGCTGGGTAGGCCTGAATTTCATAATAAATAAATGATGAATGAGCGAATGATTTTAGACCTATCTGTGTCCTCTACCAGATTGGAAGCTCCTTGAGGGCAGCGATGACTTTTATTCATCACAGAGGGCATGGCACATGGGAGATAAAGCACTTGGCACCCAGTGAGCACTGATGACTGATGACAGCCACCATTTCATGATTATGCCAGCTCTTCCATGGTCACTTCTGACAGTATCTGTAGCTAGGCAGACATTTGTGTTTGCTCGGCTGCTGTTCTTTCCCTTGTAGGAAAGAGGTTTATCTTATGATGATGGTTGATGATTCACTATCCACACCCTTCCTCCCTAAAACACAATTGGCTTGATGATAATGTCTGGGAGCATTGAAAGAGGTTCTTTCTTTTTTTTCTGTTTATTTTTTCTTCTTCTTTTTTTTTTTTAGACAGAGTCTTGCTCTGTTGCCCAGGCTGGAGTGCAGTGGTGCAATCTCGCCTCACTGCAACCTCTGCCTCCTGGGTTCAAGTGATTCTCCTGTCTCAGCCTCCTGAGTAACTAGGATCACAGGTGTGCATCACTACGCCCAGCTAATTTTTGTATTTTTAGTAGAGGCAGGGTTTTGCCATGTTGGTCAGGCTGGTCCTAACCTCAGGTGATCCGCCAGCCTTGGCTTCCCAAAATGCTGGGATTATAGGCGTGAGCCACCACGCCTGGCAGAAAGAGGTTCTTTCTAACCCATTGCAAGCAATGATTGTTACTGCTATAGCCACCATTATGGAGAAGGGGTGTTCTGCAAAATGAATGGTAAGGTTCTTACTGCTACTCACTGAGTAGCTTACAGGAAAAAAAGAAAACCCACACCCTCAAATCTTTTTATCCTTGCCTAATATGCCGTCCTTGAGCTAGCTTCAAAAACACTCTAAGATTGGGTACAACATAAATCTTTAAAGCAGCTTAATACGGCTCTGATCCTTGCTAAGAAGAAATTAAACAGCTATGCATACTATGCATAGAATGTATAACTTGTCTGACAGCCAGGCTATTAGGTGTCACAGAACTGTTATGAATTATGATCAGCAATTTAATTATTTTATCATACAAAGTTATTCTCTGTAGAATCAAGAGATTTAAAGTTCAAAAATATTTGGAGCATCTGTGTGTTTACCTTACTTATTGCAAATCCAAAGACCTCTTCAAAATAAGCAGGCTGACTTATGAGGAGCAAATAAAAGGTCCAGCTTCTGCAAAAATTTGCCACAATGATTGCATAAACCGGCAAAGATGTGAAAAATCTTTTCCATGGGGTACTAAATTTCTAGGGAGTAAAAATACCATGATATTTTTAGTAAAGATATTGACATTTTTTCTGTAAGAAGGCAACACAATCACTTATGAAAAAAGGTAAGTCTTCATCTGACTTTTTATACTTACACTTAGACTAACCACGTTGGCCCCCTCTCCTATGCTTGTCTCTATATAGGTCTTCTCCTCATTGGATATTGTTGGATGAGCTGCTGGGCACTCATAGGCCTGCAACAGCCAAAACATGTACCAAATAATCCCAAACATGCCTGCAGTTAAAAAAGAAAAGGCTGGGTTATATGGTCTCATTTTCTTCCGTTTCTAAATTTTTCAATTTTTACCATATATATTTTTTTCAGGTAAAATGGGTAATGTACCAATGTTGTAACAAGGTTTGAGGGACTCAGACATCTCATACATGCACGTGAACACCCAATTATCACATTTATGAACTACAAAAGGATCTTTACAATATTTCCAAATGGCAGTATGTTCAGCTAGGGGTAAGTATTTTGTTGACGTTCCTCTTGTTAACTGGTATTTAAAGAAAGACAATGTTCTACTTATTTTTTTAGGTCAACTTTAATATAAATATTAATCAAATCATAGATAAAGTATTCCATTTATACAATAAACTTGTTTTAGTAATCTCTATTTTGATGTAATGAACTCTGAGCCAAACCCATATGCAGTAAAATACCATCTCTATGAGTCACATGTGAACTTGTGAAGTCAAATCACTCACCATAAATATAAAAGACAGAGGACCATCCAATGTACTGCACCAACACCCCAGCCAGGGGCATGGCAACCACTGCCCCTGCATAGGAACCTGGAACAAGAAAAGATTGAGGGAATCTGACCAATCATCATGCAAGCCTTTTCAGCTCATTTAGAATTCATATGGTAAAGTCAGGAATTAATCAAACTGAGCAGGAATCAGACTGCCTCCGTGCAGAGACAGGCAAACTCCCAGTGTGCCACAGAACAGGGCTTCCAGGAGAGGAAGGTCACCAAGATGCCCTTTAACTTCATCCAGAGACCACACAGGATTTAGACAAAGATTGCTCCAGCATCACAGTTTGGAATTACATGAGAGAATGGAATCAGAAGATGAAAAAAATCTAAGAGAAATTTTGAAAATTCAACCAGGCGCAATATTGGAAGCTAAAAAGAGCAAGCAAAGGAACATACAAAATTTGCTTAGGAGGACTGGGAGGATTCTCATCCAGATCTTTAAATGAGGGACATTGAATTATTTAAAAGATCATGATTTTTAAAGTCTTGATTAAAAAAAAAAAGGAGAGGGTTGCCAGGCACGGTGGCTCACACCTGTAATCCTAACACTTTGGGAGGCTGAGGTGGACAGATCACTTGAGGCCAGGAGTTCAAGACCAGCCTGGTCAACATAGCAAAACCCCATCTCTACTAAAAATACAAAAAATTAGCCTGGCATGGTGGCGCGTGCCTGTAATCCCAGCTACTTGGGCGGCTGAGGCACGGGAATTGCTTGAACCCGTGAGGCGGAGGTTGCAGTGAGCCAAGATCTCACCACTGCACTCCAGCCTGGGTGACAGAGTGACTGTATCAAAAAAAAAAAAAAAAAAAAAGGTGAGGGGTGAACAATTAAATTCCAGATGGCAAGAGGGCTGCTGTCTCCATTCAGCTCCTGAATGGGTACATTTTTACATGTATTTCTTACTTTGTAAAACTTAACCTTGCAAATGCTTACCTGTGTGTGAATGTTTATCTTGTCTAGACAAGATAATTGTGACTAGAGGCAGTGAGCTGACCTCTGCTATCCTCTGGACGTCTGGTAGGGAAAGATGAGCCCTGTGACCTCCCATTATTGGGAGTTATTAGCTGAAAGGAGAAGTTACTCTCTGAAACTCCCCCTGGGCTGTGAATGAAAAAACTCTTGCTTCAGAAAAAGTGAGTGGTGAAAGGAAATTCTATATCCCAGAATTTGATGCTAAGGAAGATCTTTAGGAAATGGGAGGTTGGGGATCTTCCAGAGAAATAGATTAAATCACATCTTTCCAAGGTGAGCCTGACCCTCGGTGAAAGGCCCAGCCTGAGATCTGGAATCTGAACATCATGACACCCGAGGAAGTCAAGAGACTCATTTTCCTCAGAGATAAGATGGGAATGAAATATCCATCTCAAGGGGTTGTTTTGAGATTCAAATAAACTATGTATGTGAAGATGCTTTGTAAGCTATAATGGGTTACACAAATGCCAGCTATTACCGCTATTATCATGTACAGAATGACAACACACTCAAAAAACAATCTCAGGGCTCCTCAAACCAATAAGGTGAGCACTCCAGGCATGTGTTGAAAATGGGCTGCAGGTCTCATTCTGCTGTGCGTGGAGATAGGGTGGCCTTTGTCCCCAGGCCAAATACCCTGGGAGGTGGGGTGGGTGAGTCTGGTTTAGGTAATGCAAAAGAATGCCTGGGACAGGGGCAGGTAGAGAATAACCCCACCAACTAAGATGCACTGAGTGCTTTCTGGGTGCCTAGTACCATGCTAAGTATACTGTACCTATGACTTTGTTTAACTCTCCTTCAACCTGACAAGGTAAGTACCAATATGACCCCCATTTTATAAGGAGAAAGCCAGGCTGGAGGAGGGGAGGCAGATTGCCTGAGGTCACACAGGTAGAAGTGACAAGTCACAGGACAGGAGCCCAGGTCTGTGGAACCCCAAAGCCCTTACTCTTATTTAATCATTCAGTCATGCCTCCTTCACTCAAAAGCACCTAATAATTCCCCTTACATAGTAAAAAGCATTCTATCATTGGGGAAACTTTACAATGTGATATGGCTTGGCTCTGTGTCCCTACCCAAATTGCATCTCAAATTGTAATCCCCATGTGTTGAGGGAAGAACCTGGTGGGAGGTGACTGGGTCATGGGGGCGGATTTCCCCCGTGCTGTTCTTACGATAGTGAGTGAGATCTCATGAGATCTGATGGTTTAAAAGTGTGGCACCTTCCCCTTCACTCTCTCTCTCTCTCTTCTGCCACCATGTAAGATGTGCCTTGCCTCCCCTTTTGCCTCCTGCCGTGATTGTAAGTTCCTTGAGGCCTCCCCAGCCATGCAGAACTGTGAGTTGATTAAACCTCTTTCTTTTATAAATTACCCAGTCTCAGGTGGTTCTTTATAGTTATGTGAAAACAGACTAATACACAATGTGACCTAAACTACCCTTCTTTTCTATCAGAAAAAATCTTCCTCATCCTTTTAGACATTCTCCAATGTCAGTTCCTATTAGACACAGCCCCTTGAGCAAACAACAGGGCACTCAGCCCTTACTGCAGCTGCCCCCAGCTGCTCCCAGACTGCCCTGGGGAGCAGACTGCAGCTCAGTCCCCTGGGCCTCAGATGATTGTTGAATGGTATGCAAAGAAGGAAGAACAGAACTGGGGGTGAGAAAGAGCCCCCGGTTCGGCCCTCACTAGCTGTAAGAATTTAAATCTTTTTTCCTCCCTCAGCCTCAGTTTCCTCAACTATAAAACAATGGGTTGTAACTGGATGTATTAGTCTGATTTCATGCTGCTGATAAAGACAAACCCAAGTGTGAGCAATTTACAAAAGAAAGAGGTTTAATTGGACTCACAGTTCCACGTGGCGGGGGAGGCCTCACAATCATGGCAGAAGGCATAGAAGAGCAAGTCACATCTTACGTGGATGGCGGCAAGCAAAGAGAGAGCTTGTGCAGAGAAACTCCCGTTTTTAAAACCATCAGATCTCATGAGACCCATTCACTACCACGAGAAAAGCATGGGAAAGACCCACCCCCATGATTCAATCAATTCCCACCAGGTCCCTCCCATAACACATGGGAATTATGGGAGCTACAAGATGAGATTTGGGTGGCGACAGAGCCAAACCATATCACTGGATGTTTTCTAGAATCCCTTCTAACTCCAATATCTTTTGAGATTAAGAATTTATACACTCCAAGCCTGGGTTTCCTTCTTCCACATTTTCCTTTGGCTGTTCTTTGAAACCAAGGCCACACCTTAGCTGGGACATGTAATGAGGCCTGTGTCCTTGATCAGGTAACTTTCCTTGAGAGTCAAACCATTTCTTAAATCAGCCCTTTTAGGGCTATAAAAACACACTAAGAATGGGGAGTGGCTGCTAGTCATGCTCATTTTGCTGGCAAATCAAAATGAAAGGTCTTACAAATAAACCATCCAAAGAAAGTAAGGTCAAGGATCTAACAAGCCACAAGGCCAGCTGGGGTGAGTCTTATCCTCTTCTAGAGTTGGTATAAGCACAGTAGTAGGGATGGAGATGCTTAAACTGCAAATGAGCGGATGGAGATGGTTTCTAAGGACAAGAGACACTGAATATGTAAAGACATCTCAGCTGAGCATGCAATTCCCAACGAGGCACAAAGTAGGCATAGCGGTGAATACCTCACACCACATTCTCAGGATTACTTTATTATTATTTCAAGGAGGTAAAAGGCCAGCAGGAAGAGGAAAATTAAAACATATGCAGAAATAAATAGAAAGCTATCTTTCTCCCTTTAGCAAAGAAGAATATCTTAGGAAAAGTGTGCTAGTTTGAAAATCAGACAGACCTAAGCTGTAATTCACACTGCCTAGGCCACACTGTGACTTTTGTGGTCTAAGGTACTTTTTTTTTTTTTTGAGACGGGGTCTTCCTCTGTCACCCAGGCTGGAGTACAATGGTGTGATCTCGGCTCACTGCAACCTCCACCTCCGGGCTCAAGCGATCCTCCCACCTTGGCCTCCTGAGTAGCTGGGACCACAGACATGAGCCACCGCACCCAGCTAATTTTTTGTATTTTTGGTAGAGATGGGGTTTCACCATGTTGCCCAGGTTGGTCTCAAACTCCTAGGCTCAAGCAATCCTCCACCTCAGCCTCCCAAAGTGCTGGGATTACAGGTGTGAGCCACCATGCCTGGCTGGTCTAAGGTACTTTTACCTTCATGGGCCCCTTCCCCCGACACATTTACCACTGTGTTGATGGCAGCGGCATGTGCTGTTGTTGTTCTGTTGTTGATTGATTCCTAGGGACCCAGCCACACCTAGAGAGGCCTGTCCCACAGGGGTAGCTTGGAGATGGCAACCTCAGCAAGGTGAAGTTTGGAGATGCAGGAATTAAAGTCACATACTACTTGGGGGCTACTCATTTACTTTCAGATAAGATGGATGGTCTCTACTTCTTATTATCTGGGATATAATGACAAAAATTAATTTACATTTCTATATGACAATGTGTACATGGTAGGAGCGTGAAGTAAGGAAAGTTCCAGATCAACAGTCAGGTCTTGTTCTAGCTCCATGATCTTGGGCAAGTCACTGAACTTTAGTTTCATATAAAAAGAAGAGGCGTGGGATGCTTGATGATCCCATCTTTCCACTTTTGTCCTTAGCAAATGTCATTTGTTGGCTAATCCAACAACCACTTCCAACCCTTTCTCCCTTCCCCTTCACTCCTGAAGAGGCTGGTGAAGCTAGGCATCTGCTTGCCTAGCCTCCTCTGCATTTAGTAAAGCATATGATACAGTTAGGGCCAAAGAAATTAAAGTGGAAGGTTGGTAGGGGGCTTTGGGAAAGCTTTTGTTTTCCTGATGAAAGGGACAGATGGAATAAGCACAGAAGTAAATAAAAAGCTATGTCTGAGGATAGCAGAGTAGAAAGTCAGAACATGCCTAGGCCCTGGATGGATTTTTGAGCAGCAGAACCAACACTAGCCACCACTCACCTTTAGAATTCTGTTATATAAAATAAATAGACTCATTTTAAGGCCCTTAGTAGGGTTTTCAGTTGCTTGAAGCCAAAAAAGCATTCCATTTCTTTTTTCTTTTTTCTTTTTAGATACAAGGTCTCACTCTGTCACTCAGGCTGGAGTGCTGTGGCCATCATAGCTTAATGCAGCCTCAACCTCCCAGGCTCAAGCAGTCCTCCTGCCTCAGCCTCCCTAGTAGCTAGGATCCCAGGCACACACCTCCATGCTCGGCTAATTTTTTTTTTTTTTTTTAAAGACGAAGTGTCACTATATTGTCCAGGCTGATCTCGAACTCCTGGGCTCCAGGGATCCTCCTGCCTCGGCCTCCCTAAAGTGCTGAGATTACAGGCGTGAGCCACTGCATGAACCCAAAAAAAGCATTCATAAATAAAATTTGTTACGATTCTAATATACCCACCACAAAAAGAGGTTGTGGCCAGTCGGCTTCTCTCCAAAGGTGGTGCCCACTTACTCCACATCCCATGGCAGGCTGGGTAGGTCACACCCTGGCAGAAGAGTTGAAAATAGATTAGTTGATTTGACTGTAGTTTCTGCTTGTGTTTAAAATATGGATGCTGCTTCTTCACACAGGCTACAATATAAAAGCCCAATTTACAGACACTGTTGTAGGTTGAATGTTTGTGTCCCCACCAAATTCCTATGTTAAAACCTAATTCCCAATGTGATGGTATTTGGAGATGGACCTTTGGGAAGTGACTAAGTAATAAGGGTGTAGCCCTCATGAATGAGATTAGTGCCTTATAAAAGAAACTCCAGAGAGCTCCCTCATCCGTTCTGCCATGGGCAGACAAAGAGAAGGTAGTTGTTTATGAACCAGGAAGCTAGCTCTCCCAAGTCACCGATCTGCCAGCACCTTGATCTTTGACTCCTCAGCCTCCAGAACTGTAAGAAATACATTTCTAGGCCAGGAGCGGTGGCTCACGCCTGTAGTCCCAGCACTTTGAGAGGCCGAGGTGGGTGGATCACTTGAAGCCAGGAGTTCAAGACCAGCCTAGCCAACGTGATGAAACCCCATCTCTACTAAAAATACAAAAACTAGTTGGGCATGGTGGTGCATGCCTGTAATCCCAACTACTTGGGAGGCTGAGGCACAAGAATCGCCTGAACCCAGGAGGCAGAGATTGCAGTGAGCTGAGATTGCACCACTGCACTTCAGCCTGGGCAACAGAGCGAGACTGAAAAAAAAAAAAGGCCAGGCACAGTGGCTTATGCTTGTAATCCCAACAGTTTGGGAGGCCGAGGTGGGCGGATCACCTAAGTCAGGAGTTCGAGACCAGCCTGGCCAACATGGCAAAATCCTATCTCTACCAAAAATACAAAAATTAGCCGGGTGCAGTGGCATGTGCCTGTTATCCCAGCTATGCAGGAGGCTGAAGCAGAAGAATCGCTTGAACCTGGGAGGCAGAGGTTGCAGTGAGCTGAGATCACACCACTGCCTCCAGCCTCGGTGACACAGTGAGACTCTGTCTCAAAAAAAAAAAAAAAAAATTCTTTTGTTTATAACCTACCTAGTTTATGGTATTCTGTAGAAGCCCAAATGGACTAAAACAGACACTAAACAGCATGATTGAGCTATTTTGACTCACAGTACAGATGCTGAAATTCAAATACACTTCACATGTAAGCATGGTAGGAGATGGGGGAAAAGGTCTTTATATTTATATTTCATATTATCATAGACTATCAGTGTAGGAAGAGCCTTCCACAATCAGTTGGTCCATCCACTCATTTCAAGATACAGAACCTGAGACTCAGGGCTGTTAAGTGACTAAAATTTAGTCTTCATGGATGCTAATATCGTGTTCTTTCCACTACACGGGTACATCCCAAAGTGTCATATATGTCCCTCTAGTGGGACTAGAGTTGGATTTGAAATGATATAACAACTTACATTTTTAATTATAATATATATACTAGTGTATGTATATTATATACATACACTATATATGATACAGTATATATATACACTATATATATTATATATATACTATATATGTATATATTATATATACATATATACACTAGTATATATGTTATAATTAATCTATATATAATTAAATTTATATATAATTCTACTATATATATGTATGCTTTGAAAAAGATGTAACTAGTGGCTGGGTGTGGTGGCTAACACCTGTAATCCCAGCATTTTGGGAGGCTGAGGTGGGCGGATCACCTGAGGTCAGGAGTTCAAGACCAGCCTGGCCAACATGGTAAAACCCCATCTCTACTAAAAATACAAAAAATTAGCCGGGTGTGGTAACTGGCACCTGTAGTCCCAGCTACTCAGGAGGCTGAGGCAGGAGAATCGCTTGAACCTGGGAGGCAGATGTTGCAACGGGCCGAGATCATGCCACCGCACTTCAGCCTGGGCTACAGAGCGAGACTCTATCTCAAAAAAAAAAAAAAAAAAAAAGGAAAAGATGTAACTAACACATCAAACCCATGATTTCAAAGATGGTATTGCTTAGAGTAATAGGTATCTTTTGTTTTTTGTTTTAAATGAGTCGATCTAGGGGAAAACAATAGGCAAATAATAGTACAAGTTGTACATGGGCATAACAAACTGGCGAAGGTCAGAGGTGAATGACTGTGTTTGGGAAACATTGCTGTATATCGAGGGTTGGCAAACTATGGGCCAATTGGTTCACCATCTGTTTTTGTATAGCCCACAAGCTAAGAATGTTTTTTACATT
This sequence comes from Homo sapiens, assembly GCF_000001405.40. Classification (NCBI taxonomy): domain Eukaryota; kingdom Metazoa; phylum Chordata; class Mammalia; order Primates; family Hominidae; genus Homo; species Homo sapiens. The sequence goes on along the minus strand of NC_000012.12, from coordinate 100,394,118 downwards.
TTAAAATGGTGAGAAAAAAAATCAAAAGAAGAGTAATATTTAATGGCACACAACAATCATATGAAGTTCAAATTTCAGTTTGTAAAATGTTTAATTGGAACGTAGCCATGCCCATTTGTTTCCATATTGTCTCTGGCTGCTTTTGCACTATAACAGCAGGGTTGAGTAGATGCAACAGACACTGTAAGGCCTGTAAAGTCCAAAATATTTACCTTCTGGCTCCATATCATGCTGCCTCCTTCATTGAATTAAATCTCTGCATCAGACTACACCCTTGAAAATGTACAGATTTATTAATGAATCCACTTAAATTGTTTTAGTGGAATGAGCCTCTGCTATGTGAACTGTAGATTTGGGCTTCAGTTACACTATCTATTAAAATGAAGAGGGTCAGGTTAGATTATCTCTAAGATCATTATGCAAGGGTACTTTATTGTTCATAAATGTAAAATCACACAAGGCATTTTAATTAAAATTCTTGCAATTTTAGCCATTACCAGAGAATGGAAACAGCAGGAAAAGGAAGAAAATATAGAAAAAAACTGAGTAAAGGGGATTTTCTTCAGAAGGTGAATTTTCTAAAGGACTGCGCTGTCTCTAGCAATATCAAAAACTGTAAGGAAAGTATCTCCTACCTCCACTAAACCTTGCAGAATTCTGACACACATGACGCATCCGTAATGCACTCTGGCTGCAGAGGGAATAAACATGTTCAGAGTCGATGTTAAGAAGATGGCAGCTCCAAAGACCCTGGGGGACCAAAGCATTGTGTTATTCGGCAGGTCTGCTGATGGATGTGCTACTTCAGCTAAGCACCAGAAACAAACCTAACAGTTCATGAAAGATCCCTGTGGAAATCCCTGTGGAAAGATCGTACCTGTAATCCCAGCACTTTGGGAGGCTGAGGTGGGTGGATCACCTGAGGTCAGGAGTTTGAGACCAGCCTGGCCAACATGGTGAACCCCATCTCTACTAAAAATACAAAAAATTAGCCAGGCATGGCGGCTGGCACCTGTAATTTGGAGAAATAGATGTGTTAGGGTCTAGTGCACCCCAAGCTAGACTCTTGGGCTTCTTTGATTCCCAAGCTCTGGCCCCTGGACCAACTATGAACAAATTTTTGGTGGCACAGGGATGTCCTGCCTGGATGATGTCCTGAAAAGTTGGAGATTGGCCAGGTTCAGGTAAGCTTGCTAGAGACCTACCATCCTGCCTGGTTCCCCACCGACTGATCTTTTCTGACTGTTACTGTATGTTTGAGGTTGTTTCCTGCTTCCCAGAGTCAGAAACACTGACTATCCAAGAAGCATTGTATGTCCTGGGACCAGCCAAGCACAAGACAGGTTGTGTACCTGTCTTAGCTCCCATTTCCTGGCCAGCTCAGGGTGCCCTGGGAAAAGAGAGCAAGCAGCATTTTCTTCCCCTCTCACTTATGTTGATGATGTTTCCACTCTTTTTATGTGCTGGGAAATTAGATTATGTGTGATTTTTTTTCAAGGCTGAGGTGTAAGCGGTAACCCAGGAAACCATAGCAACCAATATTTTATCACTTTTTAAAAAGAATACAATAGATAACTAACAATAAATAAAAGACATAAATTAGACAAGAACCTAAATAAATATATGCTTATTCCTATTTAGATCTTATGGTAGTGGCTTCCAATTTTTTTACCTTAACCCATAAACAAAATATATTTTATATTGCAACCCAGTCCATACTCATACATACAAATGTAACTGAAACAAGTCTCAAAAACCAATATTTACCCTTATGTGCAATGCATTCAGATATTTTCTATTTTATTCTATTTGATTATCTTTTCTTCTATTTCTCTCTTTTTTAAAAATGCTCATTGGTAAATCATTATATTGTTTTCACAACTATCTAATGAGTTGTGCTTTAGAATTTGAAAAAAAAAACCACTTTTTAAAAATGGAATGCACTTCATGAAATCCATTTATGGAAAGTCATATGGGAAATACAATTGGAAGCGACCTGGAGAGATTTAGTTCACTCCTTTTCTAATACATGATACATTCTACAACATCTCCCCCAAGTGGCCATCCTCCTCTGCTTGAATACCTCCGGTGACAGAGAACTCACTGCTTCTTGAGACAGCTCACTCTGTTCTTGGGTACTTTTAATTGCTCAAACACCCACTACAGAGTCTCAAGGACATTAGAGACACATCTTGCAGTCTAGAGGCAAGCCCCCACCACTCATCTGAGAAAACCTTTATGGTACTGGGTGATATTAACCTAAGATTACAGAATGTCACTGGTCAAGGGGAACTGAAATACAATCTAGTCCAATGTTTCATTTCACAGATGAAGAAACTGAGGCCCAGGGAGGGAAGGAAAGTGACTCAATAGAGGTCACCCAGTGATCCAGTTAGGGGGCAGGAACCATTTCTCCTGACTCAGAGTTGATTGGTCTTTTTACCACATAATCACTTGAAGAGTTGCAAGGTAAATTTAATTGGATGAAAAACGAAATAAAAAGAAACTCTTGACTGGGCGCTGGTGTCTCACACGCCTGCAATCCCAGTACTTTGGGAGGCTAAGGCGGGTGGATCACTTGAGGTCAAGAGTTTGAGATCAGCCTGGCCAACATGGTGAAACCTCGTCTCTACCAAAAATACAAAAGTTAGCTGGGTGTAGTGGTGCACACTTTTAATCCCAACTGTTCAGGAGGCTGAGGAACCAGAGTTGCTTGAATGCCGAGTGGGGTGGGGGAGGGGGTGGGGCAGAGGTTGCAGTGAGCCAAGATCACACCACTGCACTCCAGCCTGGGTGACAGAGTGAGACACCGTCTCAAAAATAAAAATAAAAATAAATTAAGATCAGGGTCATTTGGGATCAGTATCTGTGAATTGCATCTATCCAGATGGCTCCTGTTTTTCATTCTGCACCCCCAAATTGAGAGCCAGCTATGCAGAATTTATAGGTACAAAGCCACATTTCATTGGTTTGTATCATGTTATATCAATTTATCTTACCTGTTAGCAGCAAACTTGTTTGAAATGAAACCACCTGGAATTTGTGTCATAATATAGCCCCAGAAAAAAGATCCATGGATAAGGCCCACTGTTTCTGGATCCCAGTTAAACTGTGCTGTCTGGAAATGAGAAATCAGATATAGTTGTGTTTGTTAGAAAAAGGCTGACAACCATTTTTTACCAATGAGCCTACACAATAATTACCTCATGAGGTCTTTCTTTTTTCATTTATTTAACACATACTTATGGAGGGCATCTTACATACTTGGGGATAGCAGCAAGCAAAAGTCCTGGGCCAGGCGTAGTGGTGTGTGCCTGTAGTCCCAGTTATTTAGGAGGCTGAGGTGGGACCTCAGCCTGGCTTGAGCCTCCTGGCTTGAGCCCAGGAGGTCAAGGCTGCAGTGAGCCAAGATAGTGCCAATGCACTCCAGCCTGGGCAACAGAGTGAAACCCCATCTTAAAAAACAAAACCGGCCGGGTGCGGTGGCTCACACCTGTAATCCCAGCACTTTGGGAGGCTGAGGCGGGTGGATCACGAGGTCAGGAGATCCAGACCATCCTGGCTAACACGGTGAAACCCCATCTCTACTAAAAATACAAAAAAAATTAGCCGGGCGTGGTGGCGGGCACCTGTACTCCCAGCTACTCAGGAAGCTGAGGCAGGAGAATGGCATGAACCTGGGAGATGGAATTTGCAGTGAGCTGAGATTGCACCACTGCATTCCAGCTTGGGCAACAGAGTGAGACTCCATCTCAAAAAAAAAAATGAAACAAACAAACAAAAGTCCCTGCTCTCATAGATTTCACCTTGTAATAAGAGATTATGTACAAATTTAAATATATATGTATTTATATTAATGGTCATGGTGACTCACACCTGTAATCCCAATGCTTTGGAAGGCCTAGGCAAGAGGATTACTTGAGGCCAGGAGCTCAAGACCAGCCTGGGCAACGTGGCGAGACCCCATCTCTACAAAAAATCAAAAATCTAGCCAGCTAGGCCAGGTGCAATGGCTCACGCCTGTAATCCCAGCACTTTGGGAGATAGAGGTGGGTGGATCATTTGAGGTCAGGAGTTTGAGACCAGCCTAGCCAACATGGTGAAATCCCATCTCTACTAAAAATATAAAAATCAGCTGGGTGTGGTGGCAGACGCCTGTAATCCCAGCTACTTGGGAGGCTGAGGCAGGAGAATCACTTGAACCCAAGAGGCAGAGGTTGTAGTGAGCCAAGATCACACCACTACACTCCAGCCTGGGTGACTGAGAGAGACTCCATCTCAATAGTAATAATAATAATAATAATAATAATAATACAAATCTAGCCAGGTGTGGTGGTGTGTGCCTGTAGTCCTAGCTACTCAGGAGGTTGAGATGGGAGGATCCCTGGAACCCAGGAGTTGGTCAAGGTTAAGGTAAGCTACAAACACACACTGCACTCCAGTGGGAGTGACAGAGCAAGCTCCTGTCTCTAAAAATACATATATCTAATGTGTGTGTCTCTCTCTCTATATATATATAATATATATAATGTGTGTGTATATATGTATATACACAGAGAGAAAAAACACAAAATAGCAATGAATGCTAAGGAGAAAATAAAATAGCTTGTGAATAAAACAAAAAATGGGGTTTTGGGGGGCTACTAAGTTATTTACTACATTATTCAGATGCCAGTTTTGTGATAGCACAAAGAGAATTAGAGTCTTAAGTCTCTCATTTCTTAATGAGGACAATAAAGCCCATTCTACCTATCCATAGGATGTGTGGGGATAAATGGCATGAATATTTCTAGTAGGTTATCTCTCTGCTTAGAGATTTTGCATGTAACAGATTAGGATAGTGACTGGCACACAGTGTAGACTCAATAAATGTTAGCAGCCATTACTGATACTATGCTGATGGCAATAGCAACAACACAACCTTCCACAACCCTTAGGCCATTGAAAATGTGATTCTCTAGGGCTGGAATCCCTTTCCTCATATTCTTTCCCAGGTAAAGTAACTCATTCTTTTTAGACTCATTGTAAATGGTCCTTCCTCAGAGGAAACTTCCTGAATCCCGAAAATTGAACTGGTCCCTTTTTCTTGGGCTTGTCTTACAGACCTTTGGTCCCACAGCCATGGCACCAACACAGTGCTGTCTTCAGTGAATGGACATCCACATGTCAATTTCCCACACAGGGCACCAAGAAACTCTAAGATAGCAGCCATGTCCTGTTTGACTTATAGTCTTAGTACCTAAATCAAACGCCTGGGAACATAGAAGGTACAAGTGTGTATTCGCCAAATGAATGAATAAATGAATGGCTTTGTAAAGCTTTTTGATATCAAAATGCAAATATGGAGTAAGAGGGTTCCTAATTATCAACATACTATGTTTTATAAATTTTCATCACTGCTTATCTTATTTTCCTGTCACAAGTTATTACATATTTATCCGCCCATCTGTTCAACGTTCGTCCTGTGCTTCCTGAATGCAATGTTAGGTGCTGGACAGTGTAAATACAGACTCAAACAAGCATTGTCTTTGCCTTCTAGGAGCTCACAGTCCAAGCCACTTTGGCCTATACTCTCTATTTCTCATTTTACGGATTAGAAAGTTGAAGCTCAATGGTAAAAAGGAACTAGCTAGCTATCATTAATTCAAATCAGCTCACCAAATCTGTATTTTGTGTTTATTGTGTAACACGCATAGTTCTATGCACTGGGGTACAGCAGTGAACAGCTGTAGTGACTCCTGCCATTTTGAAGATGCCAGTGGAGATAGCAGGTGATAAACAATTACAGGCAGAGTTAGATGGTAACCAGCAATAAGATGAAAAAATAAAGAAGGGAAGGGAATATGAAGTGTTGGATGGCAGTGTGGTGGGGTAAATTTTAGATAGAACGGCCAGGGAAGTCTTCACTGAGAAGATGAGTTTTAAGTAAAGACCTAAAGAAAGGAAGGGAGCAAGTCATATGGTCATTTGAGATGTGAGCTTTCCAGGCAGAGAAACAGCAAGTACAAGGGACCCAAGGTAGGGTTGTGTCTTGCGTGTTAGAGGAAAAGCAGTATGTCAGTACAGCTGGAGGGTAATGAATGAGGAGGAAGAGAATAGGTGTTAATGCAAGAGAGGTTACAATGATGAAGGGTTCTTTAAGACATCACCGGAACTCTGGCTTTTAAACAAAGAGAAATGAAAACCATTGGAAAATTTGAGCAGAGGTGGAATATGATTTCACTAAGGTGCTTTCTACAGATTTCCTCCTTTAATCTTTAAAACACCTAGAGGTAATTGCAAATGAGGAAACTAAGGCTTAGAGAGATTAGTTTACTTGTCCAAGGTCATACAACTATTTGCAAGGAAAAGGGGACACAAAACCTCTCATCTGCCTAACCCCAAAACACGATATTCTTTCTATTGCTTGGAGAGACTTAATTTTCTCACTAAGGAGAGACAAGACTTCTTTGCCCAGATCCACAGAATTACCTGAGGATCCAAGACAGAGGGAGAACTAGACCCTTTCTCTAACTCCCACTTCAACCAGCTGCTAATTGTCAATCACAACATCCCTTTCTCATGCCTTTCTCTCTGGGGAAATAGTGCTTCTGTCAATCTCTGAAAGAAATAATACATGAAGAAGAGCCCCTAGGCTGCTGAGAACTGACTTTCATTGTCATTTGAGACCCATTAAAACCATAATAGTGGACTAAAGACTTGAATAGACATTTCTCCAAAGAAGACCAATAAATGGCCAATATCTACATGAAGAGGCGGTCAATGTCACTAACCATCAGGGAAATGCAAATCAAAACCACCATAAGACGTCACTTTATACCTGTTAGGATGACCATTATCAAAAACAAAAGACAAGAAGTGTTGGTGAGGATGAAGAGAAAATAAAGCCCTTATATACTGTTGGTGGGAATGGGTGCAGCCACCATGGAAACAGTACAGAGGTTCCTCCAAAACTTAAAAACAGAACGAATGTATGATTTAGCAATCCCACTTCTGGGTATTTATCCAAAAGAGTTGAAATCATGATCCAAAAAGATATTAGTACCCCCATGTTCACTGAAGCATTATTCACAATAGCCAAGACGTGGAAAAAACCTGAATGCCCGTTGACAGATGAATAAAGAAAATGTGGCTGGGCGCAGTGGCTCATGCCTGTAATCCCAGCACTTTGGGAGCCCAAGGCGGGTAGATCACTTGAGGTCAGGAGTTCGAGACCAGCCTGGCCAATGTGGTGAAACCCCGTCTCTACTAAAAATATAAAAATTAGCCTGGCATGGTGGCACATGCCTGTAATCCCAACTACTCAGGAGGCTGGGGCAGGAGAATCGCTTGAACCTGGGAGGCGGAAGTTGCAGTGAGCCAAGATTGTGCCACTGCACTCCAGCCTGGGTGACAGAGTAAGACCCCATCTCAAAAAAAAAAAAAAGGAAATGTGGTATACACACCAATGGAATACTATTCATCTTTTATAAAGAAGAAAATTCTGCAAGATGTAACAACTGGCATGAACCTGGAGGACATTACACTCAGTGAAATGAGCCAGTCACAGAAAGACAAATACTGCATGATTCCACCTACATGACATACCTAAAATAGTCAAATTCATAGACTTGAAGAGTAGAATGATGGTTGTCAGGTGCTGGGGGAGGGGGAAATGAGGAGTTACTAATTAATGGGAAAAAGTTTCAGTCAAGCAAAATGAACACGCTCTAGAGATCTGCTATTCAACATTGTACTTAGAGTCAACCATAATGTATTGTACACTAAAAACTTTATTAAAACAGTAGCTCTCATGTTAAGCATTCTTATCACAATAAAATTTTTTAAAATTATAAATTTTTAAAAAAATGGCCCTGTATATGGACCATCACTATAATAAACCAAACACTGTGTCAGATATTGTGAAAGGCCAAAAAATGGCCCCCAAAAGATATCCACATCAAATCCCCAGGACCTATAAATGCTACCTTATCTGGAAAACAAGTCTTTGCTGATGTGAAAATGTCAAGAATCTTAAAATGAGATATCTGGACTATCCAGCTGGGCCCTAAACCCAATGACAAGTGTCCTTATAGGAGAAAGACAGATGGAGATTTGAGACAAAAGAGGAGACACGCAGAAAGATGTCCACGTGAAGATGGAGGCAGACATGAGAGTGACATTGTCGCACACCGAGGATCTGCTGCAGCCACTAGAAGCTAGAAGAGTCAAGGAAAGATTCTCTGCTAGAGTCTTCAGAGGGCATGAGGTGCTGCCAACACCTTGATTTAGACTTCCGGTCTCCACAGCTCTGAGAGAATAAATTTCTATTGTTTTAAGCCATCAAGTTTGTGGTAATATGTTACGGCAGCCTTAGGGAACTAATATAGGTATTTAATATAGGTTAGCTTATTTGATCTTCAAAGCAGTCCTTTTATTCCCATTTCACAATAAGGGCAATGAGGGTTAGCAAGGAACTTCTAGAAATGTCAGTTCCTGTCTGCTCACACTTCTGAGAGGATTGCACCTTCCCCCGCAACATGGGATTCTCCCCGACTGACTACCACAGCTGACTGGACACCTGAGTAGAGACAGCCAAGCCAGTCAGGTGTGGTGGCTCACGCCTGTAATCCCAGCACTTTGGGAGGCCGGGGTGGACAGATCACCTGAAGTCAGGAGTTCAAGACCAGCCTGGCCAACATGGTGAAACCTCGTCTCTATTTTTAAAATACGAAAATTAGCTGGGCGTTGTGGCATGCACCTGTAATCCCAGCTACTTGATAGCCTAAGGAGTAGAATCGCTTGAACCGGGGAGGTGGAGGTCGCAGTGAGCTGAGATCATGTCACCGCACTCCAGCCTGGGCAACAGAGGAAGATTCTGTCTCAAAAAAAAAAAAAAAAAAAAATGTTTAAGACAGCAAAGCCATAGGCTAGGCTCAGCCAGTCAGCCTCTCCCTCTCTCTGTGTCTCTGTCTCTTTCTCTTTCTCTCTCTCTCTCTCTCTCTCACACACACACACACACAGAGAGAGAGAGAGAGACAGCAACCCAAACCCACAGAGATTCTAGTTAGACAATAGTGCACTCTTGAACCCAAATAAGTCCCACGGAGTCACAGAGTCAGGGCCAAGTAAATCAGCTTCCTAGCAAGACAAAGGCTCAAGGCACTTCCACTGTGGAGGGCAGTGAGAAGCCAGGGAAGAGGAAAGAAAGCAGTCCATGAAGGACCAGGGAAAACGGAGCTGACTCCAAGAAAAGCCAATGAAAGACTCTGTGGGGCAAGCAAGCTGGAGACCTTAGCAAAGGCTTCTCTAGTTCCCACGAGGGAAAGCTCCATTCAGCACTTCTGGCAGGGCCTGTCCTGCGGCCTCAGAAAGAATTACATAAAGACTCCCTTCCCTCCTCAGGGTGGAGGACAGCCTGGGTTTCAGCCCCACCTCAGGCTGGCTTCTGCGTCCTGGGTGCAGACTGCACACATACACCACAGACCTGCTTTCTGCCCTTGGCTTTCACGAGATCCTCTTACAGCCCTACAATAATCCCCACTACCATTTTTTGTTTGTTTGTTTGTTTGTTTAGATGGAGTCTCACACATCTCGACTCACTACAACCTCCAACTGCCAGGATTCTCTTGCCTCAGCTTCCCAAGTAGCTGGTACTACAGGTGTGCGCCACCATGTCTGGCCAAATTTTTTGTATTTTTTAGTAGAGATGGGGTTTCACCATGTTGGCCAGGCTAGTCTAGAACTCCTGACCTCAGGTGATCCACCCACCTTGGCCTCCCAAATTGCTGGGATTACAGGCATGAGCCACCATGCCGGGCCCCAATAATCCCCTTTTAACTCGAGCCAGTTTCACTGCACATTTCTTCGCAACCAGCAATCTCTGACCAGGACACAAGGGCAACTTATTCAAGGTCCCAGAGCTCATTAAAACCAGGTCTGGCCAGTTCCAAAGCCCATGCTCTGAATCCTACAGGGCCCACAATCCATGGGAAGAACTTTGGACTTTTCCTGAGAGTAATGAGAAAACAAAATCACAAGTTTCTCAAACTTCGGTCATTTTATTTTCTTACTATATGCCAAACACTTTTCTAAGAGTTCACATGTTTTAACTCATAACTATTAAATTTAAAATATGGGCCAGGCACAGTGGTGCATGCTTGTCCCAGCACTTTGGGAGACCAAGGCAGGAGGATCCCTTGAGGCCAGGGGTTTGAGATCAGCCTGGGCAACATGGCATGATCCCATCTCTAAAAAAAATTTTTTTTAATTAGCTAAGAATGGTGGCATGAGCCTGTGGACCCAGCTACTTGGAAACTGAAGTGGGAGGATCACTTAAGCCCAGGAGGTCAAGGCTGCGGTGAACTATGATCACACCACTTCACTAAAGCCTGGGCAACAGAGATCCCGTTTCAAAAAAAAAAAAAAGTGTTCACGCTTTAGTTAAAATCACTCTTCATACCCCTTGTAGAACATATGCCACATATTTGAAAGATCTACCTATTCATACTGCTTATTTCTCTCCTTCTTTTGAAATAAAGATTTAAAGATATCTCAGTGCCAAATATCTAGTTTTTCCCTTAAAACAGAAAAACCAAACAAACATACCAGCCATTCAGAGCCTTTCTTAATACAATTAGCAAAGTATTTGTCATTTGGTTGAACATGCTCACTTGATATCTAAGCTTTGTTCTAGGCGGACAAGAGAAATAATCTGCTATAAATTAGAGCTGTACTAGAGTTACTGATACTAAATTCCTACTCCTGAGTCCAGAGGAAAAAAATTTAAACCATATTTCAGATTTTAATCAGTTTCTCTAAGACTCCAGAGGGCACAGCCGTAGAAACTAGAGAGCGCACACTAGCATTGTTCCTCGGGTTAATCAAAATGTCTTTTCCATATGCCTCAGAGCAGACTCTATTGACCAAGGTCTATCTTTTCAGGCAACAAACAAATGCAAAACAGCATCTCATTTTGATCTGGGCCTCAGCAGACAAGTTTTAATTAGCTGGTCTTGCTCACAAAAGGCTGAAAGAATGCATGTGATACACATCTGAAACCTTGCTAATATACATCATTCTTTATTTTAAAAACGCATGATATGCCCTTCTACCTCTATCCCCCACACCCCACAAAAGACAGGATATCCTTTTAGGACAGATTTGGCTGTGGCATCAAATAGAGACTAGTTAGGAGGATCTCCATGGTGCTGTTTTCCTCTGGCAGAATAATCTCTTGGTTTGAAAAAAGCAAAAACAAATAGCTTGCAGACCAACTAAAGACTTCTTTTGACAGATTGAAATCAAATTTTCTCAAACCAGTGCCTGGCAGGAGACTGTGCCAGATGATGCTAATAGATATGGCATGAAAGAGAGCATTCTATGATCAAGTCAGTCCAGAAAATATTGCCTACCACGTCTCCCTCTTGGAAAGTCTCATAAGACACAGCACAGTATGGGCTCCAGGTCTCGCACTGCCTTCTTCATGGCACAGCCTGCAGTGCAGTGATTTCCCAGACACTAGTTCAAAAAACTGTGATCTAAATGTTTCTTCAAATAGAGGGAGGGACCAGAGAACTATTAAATGTCTCTCTGCAGATGAACGGATTTCTGCATGAGTCATTGCAGTGTGTGAGTTTAGTACGATGAAACATGCATTTATGGGGTGTCCACTGGGCAGACATTTTTGTTTGTTTCTTTTACCCCATAACCTCAGTACTTCTCTAGGTCTATCGTTTAAGCAGCAAACCAGATTTTATGTTTCCAGTGATTCCTAAAACAATACTATTTAAGTCACTTCGAAGTATCCTTGCTTATAACTATGATGGCCTCTGAACTGGCCCTGTGGCCTCCATTCCTATCTTACCTCAATCTGGCCCCCTGCAATGGGGCAGTGAACAATCTGGAGCACAGATGTGATCATTCCATGCTTGCAGCCCCTTGCTACATGCCTACCAGGCTATGGATGATCAGCCCCCTATTTACTTCGCTGCCTCCACCTCAACGTGCTCTACCCAATCACTGGGAGTTCTCAACCTGGAGTCTGTGGATGGAATCCTGTGCATCTGAGAACTTGGATGGGAAGAAAACATGCATCTTTATTTTCACTCTTAACCAAAATTTAGCATTTTCTGCCATTATGAATGTAGGCAACAAGCCACCGTCATATGACTAGTACCTATGACTGTGTCCCACGTGGAAATAGCAAATATGTTCAAATCGTATTACAGTCATGGCCACTATTTCCAACAATGGCATACATTCCAACTTAAAATCAGAGTAAATGTTAGACCCAATACTAGATTTTGTCACTGATGTACTACTAAAGAAGCCCATATGTTTCTATGTCACAAATGTGATTTTTAAATGTTTTGGTATTTATATTTTAATATAATTGGCTTCTTTTGTCATCCTTTGTGTTTTATTTTAAGAACTTAAAACATTACTTTGGCAAAGGTTCATTAGTCATCTCCAGGAGTCCATGACACAGAAAAGATGATGAGCTCCTGTTTCAGTTCCTAAAATATACCTACATAGCATGTGTACGTTCTCTCTCTCTCTCTCTCTCTCTGTCTCTTTCTTACAGTCCTTCACAGTACCTTTTTCTTCAAACATTCTTCTTCCCACCACACCACACCCTCTTTGCCTGGTCCAGCCATCACTTTGGGAATTTGTTCACAATAGGGAAGTCTGGGCTGTGCCCTCTCCTATGAGCCCAAGAATCCTGTGTACCTCCAACGTGGCACCTACCCCCTCAAACTGTCATCACTTACTTGTCTCCATGAGGACAGGGCTCAGTCTAGGTCATTCACCTTTCTATCCCCATCATTCTGCACAATGCCCAGCACAAGTAGCCACTCTCCATTTTTGTCATATCACTGAAGGAATTGCAGGGCTTTCTCTCAAGGAGCAAAGTATTGACACAGCTGCAGTCAACAGTTTCCTCAGGATTGTAGTCTCAGCTACTGATCTGAGATGCTGAGATGCTGAGATGCTGAGATGCTGAGATGGGAGGAGCTACTTATCTGAGATGCTGAAATGGGAGGATGCTGAGATGGGAGGTTAATTTCAACCTGGCAGGTTGGGGCTGCAGTAAGCCAAGATCGTGCCACTGTACTCTAGCCTGGGAGACCGAGCGAGACCCTGTCTCAAAAAGAAAAGTCTTCCACCATGGACTGATACCAACCTGAATTTCCGGTTTTCCATCAACATATACGGTGCTATTGTTGACCATTTCCACAATGGCAACTCCAAGATTGCACCGGATCCCAAAGGAAATGCAGAATCCCAGCCCACTCATGATAGCAATGATGTAACGCTTGGGGAGGCCGCAGCAGTGGCAGTCGCAGAGTGGGGGGCTTGGCCTGGACGTCTGCACCGGCCTTCCTTCTTCATTCAGCTCAATGTTATCTTCTTCCTCAGTTGTCCCATCGATTTTTCTACATGGGAAAAAGGATAGGCAGAAAATAAAAGCCAGGATTAAAGGAAAAAGAAAGTATACTAAGCAAAAAGAAAAAAGGTACCAGCAGATGAAAAACAAAAAGGAAGACCCATAGTAGAATACTATGGAGGTATTACTATTATTATTAAAGTAAGTTATTATTATTATTAAATATTATTATTATTATTAAAGTAAGTTATAGTGGCTAAAACTACTGATGTTCTGGGTATTGTGTGGGACTTTTATAAACATTCAATCAATCATTTAAATTTTATAACAACCCCATGAGGTAGACAGTGTCATCATGTCATTTTATAGATGAGGAAACTAAGTCATTTGAGGTAGGATAGAGGCCCAAGTCCAGAGTCTATGTCTAAAACAATATGCTATACTGCATTTCCTGCTGAAAGAGCATTGACAGACTTTGTTCACATTGCTCGACCCAGCTGATACAGTTGACCTTAACCTTTCTAAGTCTTTTTTTTTTTTTTTGAGACGGAGTTTTGCTTTTGTTGCCCGTTGCCCAGGCTGGAATGCAATGGCACGATCTCGGCTCCCCGCAACCTCTGCTTCCCAGGTTCAAGCGATTCTCTCACATCAGCCTCCTGAGTAGCTGGGATTACAGGTCTGCACCACCATGCCAGGCTAATTTTTGTATTTTCAGTAGAGACGGGGTTTCTCCATGTTGGTCAGGCTGGTCTCAAACTCCCGACTCAGATGATCCGCCCGCCTCAGCCTCCCAAAGTGCTGGGATTATAGGTGTGAGGCACTGTGCCCGGCCTAATTTTTCTAAGTCTTAATAAAATACTAAGTGGAGGTGGAGAGGGACATTTTCTATCACAATGCACACCCATTTGGTTGTATATCCTTTTCTCCTTAGATGGTTCCTCTAAGGAGGTGATCATCCAGCACCTTTTATTCAAATGGTAGACCTCTATAGATTCCAATTATGGCACATTCATTACAGTGAATTTATCTCTTCTTTTAAAAAAAAAGTAATTGGACAAACGGAACCCTATCTGTCAATTATAAAGGAAGTTGTATCCTCTTACTTATTGTCATCTTTCTGAGGATACTGTCATGGCCCACTTAAGGTCCAAGTCTTTTTAAAAATAATTAAAGCTTGCAAGTTTTCATAAATATTAAATGCAGTGATAAATAGCTAATATAATGGTTAACCCAATAGTTTGGATAAAACACAAGTCATTTGCCCACAAGTTCATATGAAAGATAACCTTGGCAGGTTCTTTTTTTTTTTTTTTTGGGGACGGAATCTCGGTCTGTTGCCAGGCTGGAGTGCAGTGGCACGATTCTCGGCTCACTGCAATCTCTGACTCCCTAGCTCAAGCAATTCTCCTGCCTCAACTTCCTGAGTAGCTGGGATTACAGCCATGCGCCACCACACCCAGATAATTTTTGTATTTTTAGTAGAGACGGGGTTTCACCGTGTTAGCCAGGATGGTTTCGATCTCCTGACCTCGTGATCCGCCCACCTTGGCCTCCCAAAGTGCTGGGATTACAGGCGTGAGCCACCGCCCCCGGCACCTTGGCAGGTTCTTATGACTCAAGGAAATCAAATTTCCGGCACAAGTATAGAGAAACAAATACACTGGATTCAATTCAGTTCATCAGATATATATTGAGCGCCTACTGTGTCTCAGGTACTGGGCTAAGTATTGGGGAGCAATAGACAACGTGACATATTATCTGCCTTCTTCCAGCTCTTAGGCTGATGGGGAAGAAAGACACATATACAAGCAGCTATAATTACTGGATGATGTGGGTTTTATTGAAATCAAAGTGAAAAGCAATGGTAGAACAAGGGAAGGAGCTTTGAATTTCAACCGGTGAGCCCAGAGTAGAAGCTTAGTAAATGTGCCAGAACATTAAAGCAATTGGAAAAGAACCTAACCATTTCCCTACCAATGTACCTACCTACCTGCCGGCCTGCATTTATACTGATGGGGTCTATGCAGTTGTCCATGCTTCTAGCTAAGTCCAGCCCCTTTCCCTGGACACTAGATCTTGTCCCCTTTTATCCCCTCACGAATATTGCTCCAGAAATCCCCACCCCCACGCTTCATTCATTATGTTCTCCTCCCTAGTATAATAGATCATTCCTGTTGCCTATAAATAAGCTTTTATTCCTCCCATATTAGAATCTAAAATAAAAGACATTTTCTCTTTCAGTTATCCTCCTATTTCTCATTTTCCTTTTTTTAAGAAAGAAATGACTGTCTTCAATTCCTCTCCTCCTGTTCTCTCCTGGACCCACTCCAGCCAGGTATTCCCAACCTGAGCCCCCAAAACTGCCCTACTTAAGGTTATCAATGCCCTCCTCATGGCTCAGTCCAAAGGTCATTTTCAGTCCTCATCTGATTTAATCAACCTAGCAGCAGCATTTGATACAATTGACCACTTTCTCTTTCTTGGCCATTTTATGTTTTTCCAGGAAAACACTTGGTCATCCTCCTAATTCTTCTGTTTTATCTCTTATAGCTGATTCCTTCTTACCTCAACCTATATACACTAGAATGCCTAGGACTCCATTCTCGGGTCTCTTGCTTTCTGTCTATGCCCTCTGGACATCTAAGCAGGCTCTGGGCTTTAGATACCATGTATATGCTAACAGCTCCCAATCTTTATAACTAGACTTATCTGACATCTCCTTGGACACCTAAAAGGCAGCTTAAACTTAACATGTCCAAACTGACTTCCCCTAAAAAAAAATTAATTCCTGAAGTTATTCTCATCATAAGTAATGACAATTTTGCTACTTTGGTTGCTCCAGCAAAAATCTTGAAGCCATCAGGCTGGGCGCGGTGGCTCACGCCTGTAATCCCAGCACTTTGGGAGGCCAAGGCAGGTAGATCACCTGAGGTCAGGAGTTCGAGACCAGCCTGGCCAACATGGCAAACTCCGTCTCTACTAAAAATACAAAAATTAGCTGGCCGTGGTGGCACGCGCCTGTAGTCCCAGCTACTCGGGAGACTGAGGCAGGAGAATCACTTGAATCTGGGAGGCGGAGGCTGCAGTGAGCTGATATAGCGGCATTGCATTCCAGTCTTCATGACAGTGAGACTCCGTCTCAAAAAAAAAAAAAAAAAAAAAAATATATATATATATATATCTTGAAGCCATCTTGGATGCCTCACTTCTCCAATCTATGTCCAACTGAGGAGCTCATGTACCTTACTTTGAATGTTGAGTCGCCCACTTACTCAGCTGTGTGACTTTAGCCTAATTACTTAAACTCCCTGGACTTCAGTTTCTTCATCTGTAAGCTAGGAATTATAATAGTTTCTTCTTCATAGGGTTGTTCTTAGGATTGTCATAAATGAGTTATCAAACTTAGGTAATTTAGAACAGAACTTGCCACATAATAAAAAGCAACATATACCAGCTATTTTTATTACGTTAATCCTCACCGTCACTTAATGAGTCTATGATGCTAGACTTAGCATTGATGCCATTAGCTCTGAGAGGCAGTTGGATGATAGGACTTTATAATGGGCTGCCCTAGTAGTCTCCATGAATTTCTGGCAACCAAATACGTGTAACTTAAGTAGGATGGAAAACTGATGCTCTAGGCCTGGCGTGGTAGCTCACGCCTGTAATCCCAGCACTTTGAGAAGCTGAGGTGGGCAGATCACCTGAGGTCAGGAGTTCGAGACCAGACTGACCAACACGGCAAAACCCCGTCTCTACTAAAAATGCAAAAATTAGCCAGGCATGGTGGCGAGCACCTGTAGTCCCAGCTACTCCGGAGGCTGAGGCATGAGAATCACTTGAACCTTGGAGGCAGAGGTTACAGTGAGCTGAGATTGCACTGCTGCACTCCAGCCTGGGTAACAGAGTGAGACTCCATCTCAAAAAAAAGAAAAGAAAAGAAAGAAAACTGATGCTCTAATATTGACACATTACTATAATAGTATATTCCTAGCAGCTAAAACAAGGATAATATGTAACAACCACAGTAATATTGTATGAGGCAAATTCAGTTCTCTCCCTCTGCCCTCCTCTACAGATACTTTCATGTAATTCTCTTATTTGATCATTAATACAGCTCAGTGAGACATGGGAAATCTAATACTCCCATTTGACACAAAATACAACTGTAGTTCAGAAAGCAAGAACAAATTGGCCAAGGTCACACAGCCCTTAGTGGGTAGAGGCAAGATATGAAACCCTTCTCCTTTGCTGTCTAGGTTCCTTGGACCACTTTCCTGTGTGTTCCCAGCACACCAGGCCATGCTCCTTCTCAATGATCTTCCTGAGTCACTTTGTCATCTGTACCTGTTACTTTGTAGTCCTTGCGCAGCCATCATGACTCAGAAGAGCAGGGGAAGAGAATGGACTCTGGACTGAGAGATGCCCAGTGCTATCTCTCCCTTGTGCTAGCTCTGTGACTTTGGCTAAGTTACTTGACCTTCTACTAGTCTTCCAGGGATGCTGTAACAAAGCACCACAAACTAGGTGGCCTAAACAACAGAAATGTATTTTCCTACAATTCTAGAGCCAGAAATCTGAGATCCAGGTTTCAGCAGGCCTTGGTTTCTTCTGAGGCCTTTCTTTTTGGCTTGCAGATGGCTCTCTTCTCCCTGTGCCTTCACATAGTCTTCCTTCTATGTATCCGTGTGTCCCAATTTTTTCTTCATATAAGGACATCAGTCATATTCGATTAGGGCCTACCGTAAGGACCTCATTTAACCTTAATTACCTTTTTAAAGACCCTATCTCCAAATATACTCATATTCTGAGGTACTGAGGGTTAGAATTTCACCATAATGAATTTGGGCAGATCCATATGAAGACACAATTCAGCCCATAAGAATCCCTATCTCTAAACTGGGCTAATCGTAATGGGTATCTCATAGGGTTGTTCAATGATTGATGCATGTAAATGATTCACGGCAGTGCCTGGTACGTAAAAAGTGCTTTATATTAATAAGTGGTAAGTACTATCACTATTGCTATTAATAAAGTGTCACCAGTCATAAGCTTAGCGCTCTCTATATACATGCAGATGCTTTAGATGAAGGCTAATGAAAACTGAAAGCGCTGTGGAGCTTTGCACTGCTTAATTGCAGACAGCCCCAGCTGCTGTGCTCTGAATCAACCACCCATTTGGCGTGGGGACAGCGCCTCTTTCTCACAGGCTGTTATTCTGCCAAGAACTGAGCACCGCAGGGATGTGAGGCCGTTCTTTCCTGCCAGAGGCAGGACTCCTCTGACAGCGACTGGCTCTAGGACTCTGCACTGGCCATGCCAAAATGTCCCAGTATTGTAATATAGTCTGAAAGTCTTCCCACCTAGCTTTTCTTCCTTCCCTCTCTCCTACACAGGTAGCAGTTTGAATGCTCCCCCAGCCTCCTCCAGCTCCTTCCCCATTTTCCCTCAATAAATCTCTTGGCCAGGTGTAGTAACTCATGCCTGTAATCCAAGTACTTTGGGAGGCGGAGGCAGGAAGATCACTTGAGCTCAAGAGTTTGAGGCTGCAGTGAGCTGTGATTGTGCCACTGCACTCCAGCCTGGAAAACAGAGCGAGACCATATCTCGTATGTGCCGAGTCCTGTCTTGGTATCTGCTTTCTTGGAAGACCTGAACCAACACAAGCACCCTCTGTGTGCACAGTGTCATCTTAGACATCCCGAGACTTTCCAGAGGGAAGACATACAGTATGGGAGATGGGGAGAAAGAAGGGGAAAGTAACGATCAAAGGGAAAGCCCTGAAAGAAGGAGCTGTGGGCTCCACAAGAAGCAGGACCTACAGCTGGCTGACCTGAAGCCAGCCCCTCACAGCAGCTCTCCAGTTGGAGATGGGATATCAGGAGCTGTGGGGAGGGGTCTGAGCACAGGATCTCACTTTTCTTTGCCCAAAGTGGCAGCTGAGCCACCACTTCAAGGGATCATGGGCTCAGGAGCAAATGAGGATCAATAATTAGCAGGACCTCCTGAGTTGTTTGTGAGTCCTTTGCATAATATTGCTGTGGCAAAAGGGGAGCATCAAAATGAACAGAAATCTAACTTCCCCCAGGCAGGGGGCTCAGAGTCAGATTTGATTTGTTTTGTTTTATTTATTTTTTTGAGACGGAGTCTTGCACTGTCACCCAGGTTGGAGTGCAGTGGCGCAATCTTGGCTCACTGCAACTTCCGCCTCCCAGGTTCAAGCAATTCTTGTGCCTCAGCCTCCCGAGTAGCTGGGATTACAGGCGTAGGCCACCACGCCCGGCTAATTTTTGTATTTTTAGTAGAGACAGGGTTTCAGCGTGTTGGCCAGGCTGGTGTGGAACTTCTGGCCTCAAGCAATCCACCCATCTCAGTCTCCCAGAGTGTTGGGATTATAGGTGTGAACCACTATGCCTGACCAGATTTGATTTGTTTTAAAAGCATTCAAATAGCAGGCCATTTCTTGTATAGCCTAGCTCACAGAGGAAGACAGAACCCCCTCACCCTGTATCATGGAACACACCAGGCTTCTGGGCAGTCAGATAACCTGGATTTGATTTCCAGCTCTGCCACTGATACGCGAGCTGTGTGACTTGGGGGCAAATAACCTGGCCTCTCTGAATCTCACATATCCTCTTCTGTACAATAAATATTTATCTCACAGAGATACATGAGCCGACCCTACAAAGACTAACACATTATCACCAATAAATGAATAGACATTGCCTGAACGTTAGGGTCTCTGCCATCCCTGGTGTTTCCTTGGCATTTTATACATTCCTCTGTTAGAACACTTCTCACATGGAGTTAGAGTCATTTTCATTCAGCAGCATAGGTGCTAAGTAAATAGCCACTGATTTGGGCCAGGCACAGTGGCTCATGCCTGTAATCTGAGCACTTTGGAAGGCTGAGGCGAGAGGATCACCTGAAATTAGGGGTTCGAGACCAGCCTAACCAACATGGTGAATGAAACCCCGTCTCTACTAAAAATACAAAAATCAGCTGGGCATAGTGGCTGGCACCTGTAATCCCAGCTACTCGGGAGGCTGAGGCAGGAGAATCTCTTGAACCTAGGAGGCGGAGGTTGCAGTGAGCCGAGATGGTGCCATTGCACTCCAGCCTGGGTGACAGAGCGAGACTCTGTCTCGGAAAAAAAAAAAAAAAAAAAAAAAGTCACTGATTTGTGTCCATATATGAATGAAGGTCTCCCTGATCCCAGGACCATTTCCAACTCATCTTTATTCTCCATGTTCAGCATCGTGCCTGGAAGCAATGAATCCTTGTCCAACTGAATGGAATTGGTGGATCAATTCCAGACATCACTCCTGGCTTGAAGCACTTACAGACAGGGTTAAGGATCTATTCATCCTGCCCAGAAAAAAGGCTTTATAAAAAGGGGAGGAGACGAGAAAGTTATTTAAGAATAAGAGAAGAAAAACGAACTCATTTCTTAGGAGTTGGAGGACTTTAATTATCCATAATAGCTATTTATCCCATTTCGTTTTCCTTCCCTGCTTGACTGCAGTTGGTCTTTTAGATCAGAGAATCTTCATTCTTTCTAGAGTGACATTCTCATTGTTGTTTCTCCAAATATAGACAGCCGCGGTCTGCAGACTGCTGGCCCTCTGCACACTAGGGAGGTGCCTGCTCTCTGTTCTCAGGCACAGTTGTCCAGCAAACATCCAAGCCCCAGGGGTCTAATTGCCTAAGATATGCTAACTAGTCCTTAGGCACTTAAAGAACTATTTCTTTGCAATTCAAATGTTCCCACTAATTGCGGAAAAGGTTTTGTTTTGTTTTGTTTCATAGGTAATAAGATCAACATTTGGAGCACAAAGTGAGAGAACTTGCAGATAATTTTACGTATTTTAAAAATCCATTTACTGGCTGGGCGTGGTGGCTCACGCCTGCAATCCTAGCAGTTTGGGACGCTGAGGCAGGAGGATCCCTTGAGCCCAGGAGTTCGAGACCAGCATGGGCAATATAGAGAGAGCCTATCTAAAGTTAAATATATATATAAAACAGTATTTTTAAATCAATTTACTTGCTCACTGTATTTGGTATGAACTGAAATGTGTGACCCAAAATTCATGTGTTGAAGTCTTAACCCCCAGTACCACCAAATGTGGCTATATTTAGGATGAGGTGCTTAAGGACGTAATTATGGTTAAATGAGGCCCTTAGGGTGGGCCCTCATCTAATATGAATAATGTCCTTATAAGAAGAGGACATTTGAGCCAGGTGTGGTGGCATGGATGCCTGTGGTCCCAGCTACTTGGGAGGCTGAGGGGAGAGGATCACTTAAGCCCAGGAGTTGGACACTGCAGTGAACTATGATCTCGCCACTGCACTCCAGGCTGGGTGACAGAGTGAGACCCTGTTTCAAAAAAATACATAAATAAAAAGAGACTTGGACACACAGAGACACCAGGGATGCATATGCATAGAGGAAAGCCATCTGAGGACATAGCAAGAAGGCAATATCTGCAAGCCAAGGACAAAGGCCTCAGGAGAAATCAAACCTTGATCTTGGACTTCTAGCTTCCAGAACTGTGAGAAAATAAATTTCTGTTTGTTAAGCCACCCATTCTGTAGTATTTTGTTGTGGCAGCCCTAGCAAACAAATACAGCATTCAAATTTGCCCTCTGAAAAGGTCCCATTTAGCTCATGTTGTCTTTTACACGATCCTTGAGTTGCTATTCTACTGGAAGAAGAAAATTAACTGAAGGACGTTGACTACTTGCTACACTCTAGGGACTCCACGAGGTTTCTATAAAATATATATTATCTCCCTTAATTCTCAAAATAGTCTTGACAAATAGGAGATATCCCCATCTTACTGCTCAGAAGACTGAGACGCTCAGAAGACTGAGACACTCAGAATATTTAAAACCTTGCCCAGCTGGGCACGGTGGCTCACGGCTGTAATCCCAACAATTTGGAAGGCCAAGGCAGGTGGATCACCTGAGCTCAGAGTTCAAGACCAGCCTGGCCAACATGGTGAAAACCCATCTCTACTAAAAATACAAAAAAGTTAGCCGGGTGTGCTGGCAAGCACCTGTAATCCCAGCTACTCAGGAGGCTGAAGCAGGAGAATCACTTGAACCTGGGAGGTGGCGGTTGCAGTGAACTGCACTCCAGCCTGGGTGACAGAGTGAGAACTCTGACTTAAAAAACAAAACAAAAGAAAAGAAAACAAACAAACAAAAAAAACTTGCCCAAGGATCATCCAGCTGCAGCTGGTGAAGGGAGAACACAACTGAGATTTGCTATCCAGCCTATTGCTACCAGTGTGCCACACGAACTAATCAGAAAGCGCCTGACGAATGGCGAGTGCTTTACCTACAGAGACTTTTTTTTAAAGGTTCTGGAGGAGTATTGCAGTGGGATTCAGAGAACATGCCCTGGAGACAGACAGTACTGGGTTCAATGCTGACTGTGGTATTTATTAGGTATGTGGCCTTGAGCAAATTACCTAACTTCCCTCAACCTGAGTTCCCTCATTTATGAAAGGAAGATGGGACTACTGTGAACGTTAAATGAGACCGAGTTACAAAATGCTTAGCATAATTCCTGGCACTTGATAAATAATCAATAAATGGTAAATTTTAAAGAAAGGAAGGAGAATTTAAAATACGATCCCCAGAGCTAGTTTGAGATTTGAAATAGGATCTTATCAGCATGGATTTCAGCACACCACATTCAAAAGGAGCTCAATAAAGTGCACCTGGCCAACGCCAGCCCAGTCAATGCTCCCACAGTATCTATGTCTCTCATTTTTAAATTAATATTTGCCTCTTCCAGTAGATTATAATTTCAGAAAGTCAGGAACCAAAAATCCCTAGCACTCAGCCCAGCTTCATAGATTTTGAGGTATTAACCTATGCTGTTTTTGTTTCCTCCTGGTAATTTGACCCTTTCCTATCCCCCCATTTAAGCAGAGACTCACTGCTTCTTACCTCAGCAGGGATCATTAGATGAACAAGAGGAAAAAAAGATAGTCTCTATGGCTTTAAAAGCCTAAGTCACAGATGACAAGCTGAAAGCCCAATGGCCATATGTGGCCCATAGCCATGTTTTGTTTATCTGGTATAATGTGTGTATGGGTCTTTGCTTTTTTTTTTTTTTTTTTTTTTAGAATTTAGATTAATTGGCTGGGCACGGTGGCTCATGCCTGTAACCCCAGCACTTTGGTAGGCCAAGGCATGCAGATCACTTGAGGTCAGGAGTTCAAGACCAGCCTGGCCAACATGGCAAAACTCCATCTCTATTATAAATACAAAATTAGCTGGACATGGTGGTGCATGCCTGTAATCCCAGCTACCCAGAAGGCTGAGGCAGGAGAATCGCCTGAACCCAGGAGGCAGAGGTTGTAGTGAGCTGAGATTGTGCCTTTGCACTCCAGCCTAGGTGACAAGAGCAAAACTCCATCTCAAAAATAAAAAATAAAAAATAAAAAATAAATTTAGATTAATTGACAGAGTTTAAAAACCAAGGCCCAGCACAGTGGCTCACACCTGTAATCCTGGAACTTTGGGAGGCCAAGGTGAGAGGATTGCTTGAGGCCAGGAGTTTGAGACCAGCCTGGGCAACATAGTAAGACCCCCATCTCTACTTTTAAAAATTGTATTAAATAAATAAAAAAATAAATAAATATCAGGAGATAGCTCAAAAAAGCAGAAACAAGCAAACATATAAAACTTTGGATTTCTTGTTCATTTTGAAAAATCTGAAGACCTGAAATAATCAAGCTCTCACTCTGTCATGGCTACAATTGGCTCTCAATTTACCACAGTCCCCACCACTCCCTATTGTCACTTCCATAGTGAGCTCAGTTGCCATTTAACGTTATACTTGCACTGTTACTTTTCTAGTAGTTAAAATCAAGACATTAGAAAAATAT
This sequence comes from Homo sapiens, assembly GCF_000001405.40. Lineage (NCBI taxonomy): Eukaryota > Metazoa > Chordata > Mammalia > Primates > Hominidae > Homo > Homo sapiens. The sequence goes on along the minus strand of NC_000012.12, from coordinate 100,369,845 downwards.
GTTTTGTACCCATGTCTGTATCAAAAGTTGAAAAATAAAAATTAGACTAGTAGCACACATATGTAGCAGACAACCATCATTTATAGCTGTCCAATATCTTAATGAATTCTTGATATTTTGAATCTTGCTGGAGCAGCAAAAACAAAACAAAATAAAAAACAACAAAAACAAAAACAAAAAAAACACCTACTTTTCCTAGGCTCTCTTGCAGCTACAATGCAGGCATGAGAGGTGGACTCTGCTAAATCCAAAGCACTTGAATGAGATTTAGATACGGGACAGAACAAGAAGAGGATACAGCATGCAGGGGAATGGCAGTGCAGATGGTTTCAAATGCAACAGAGGCAACTGGCTCCTCTGTGACTGCTGTGGCAGAATTTCTGGAACAAGTCATCAATATAATCAACACTTAGAAGCAGGCAGTGGTGGCAGCTGTGTTTTATCCAGAACAGTCTAGAAGTATATGTTCTCTGCTGCTTTTTCCTGGAGAATACAGCATCCAGACCTGATCCTTCCAGGAAGTCTGAACAATTCCTAACATTCTTTTATTTTTTATTAATTTATGGTTTTGAGATGGAGTCTTGCTCTGTTGCCCAGGCTGGAGTGCAGTGGTGGGATTTCGGCTCACTGCAACGTCTGCCTCCTGGGTTCAAGCAGTTCTCCTGCCTCAGCCTCCTGAGTAGCTGGGATTACAGGCACGTACCACCATGCCTGGCTAATTTTTGTAGTTTTAGTAGAGATGGGATTTCACCATGTTGGCCAGGCTGGTCTCAAACTCCAGACCTCAGGTGATCCTCTCCCTGCCTTGGCCTCCCAAAGTGCTGGGATTACAGGGATGAGCCATTGCCCCCAGCCCAATTCTTAACATTCTTTACGAAATTTCATTCCACTTTAGCTAGAGTGTATTCTGTTGATTGCAGCTAAGAACTTTGAATGATACAACATATTTCCTTGCAGAAGTGGAGCCTATTTCTATGTGTTAATATGTAGTGTGTCTATGTCAAAATATATAATATGGTTGCTTTACTCTGTAGGTATTGAATCTATAGGCCTTACTAACCTTTAAGAAGCACTTAGAAAATTTGATTGTTGTAAAAGTACTTGGGAGAAGTTGTAAAAGGAGAGAATATAAACTTTAGATGAGAAAATACACTTTTGAGCTAAGAAAAGATACTGGGAGCAGGAGTCGTAGAATCTGATGAACATTTACATCAAGAAGCAGGAAAGTATGCCCGGGAATGGATCCTGAATGTACTAGATTTGGAGGGAGTAGGGTAATAAAGTTGGATAAGGGAGAGTTCATCAATATGGGAGGTAGATTGAATTCTGTCCTCCAAAATAGATATGTTGATGTTCTAACCCCCGATACCTGTGAATGTAGCCTTATTTGGAAATGGAGTCTTCACAGATGTAATCAAGTTAACATGAGGTCATAATAGATTGATTTCATGACTGGTGTCCTTATAAGAAGAGGGGAATTTGAAATCATAGACACAGACACCAGGGGAGAAGACCATGTGACAACAAATGCAGCAATTGGAGCAATGCATCCACAAGCCAAGGCACGCCTGGGATTCCCAGCAGCTACCAGCAGCCAGCAAGAGGCAAGCATGAGGCCTCCTTAAGAGCCTTCAGGAGGAGCTTGGCCCTGCCAACACCTTGGGTTTGGACTTCTGGTCTCCAGAATTGTGAGAGAATAAGTTTCTGTTGTTTTAAGCTACCTAGTTTGTGGTACTTTGTTACAGCAGCCCTAGGAAACTAATAAAGGGGGCATGGTCCCATGACACAGGGTCTAACATCCCGGCAAAGGCCTTAAGAGAAATGATCCTGATAAACTGCTAATACGGTTCTTGGAAACTTAAACAAAATAGATATGTCCAGAGTAGCCTGGTGACTTTTAAAATATAATTCTGTACTAATTTCTAGTCATTATTACATTATACACAGAGATACAGGATATGGCCACCATGACTTTTAAAAAAAATAACTTGAAAGCTGGGCACAGGGGTTCACGCCTGTAATCCCAGCAATTTGGCAGGCTGAGGTGGGAGGATGGCTTGAGCCCAGGAGTTCGAGACCATTCTAGGCAACATAGCGAGACCTTCGTCTCTACAGAATATTTTAAAAATTAGCCAAGCATGGTGGCTCGCAACTGTAGTCTCAGCTACTCAGGAGGCTGAGGTGGGAGGATCACTTGAGCCTGGGAGGTTGAGGCTGCCGTGAGGTATGATTGTGCCACTGCACTCCAGCCTAGGTGACAGAGTGAGACCCTGTCTCAAATAAATAAATAAATAAATAAAAGAATAAAAAATTATCCATTCCAGGAGAGAATGCCTAAGGCCACAAGAGTGTCCTTATTTTGGTTGGTCCAGGTCTACATCCTCTCTTTTCCTTCATTGTTATATAAACCTAATTTACAAGCCTATTTCATTTTTTAATGCCTGGTATAAAAATTGCTGAATTTGAACCAGTCATAGCGATGAATTACTGATAATTAAATTGGCTATCTTCTATTCCTTTAAGTAAAGTTTTGATCTCTATTATTTGGAATATAAGAATTCCATAATTGTTATATCTTTAATGTTGATCACACTCTTGATCAATTAAAAGGTCTCTCTTTAACTTATTTTCTTTAAAAATGAGAAATGTTGGGAACTGTTACAGCAGATTATAAAGAAAGATCAAAAGCCTCAAATAAATGACTATGCAGGAATGGATTTTCTATATAAGACCAGAAAACCCACAAACGAACTATATTTCTCAGGAGGCCTGAGGAATACTCCTGCTCTTAAGATAATAAGGAATGCAGTGGTGATGGGGCCACAGGCACCACTGATGCTCAGAAGCTGCTGTCCTCTTCTGGCTGAGGCTCACAGTAGAAGGTGCTGCTCCAGAACCAGTGGCAATTGGGATGATTGGGAGCACTTAACCATCATAGGTAAGGGCAGAAAATTCAGAACTACAGTTAGGGAATCAGCCCATAGGAATCTCAGAGATGACTCACAGAACATGGTGCTCCAAGGAACAAAAATAAAATGGGCAGCCAATAAGGGTATTGCTTCATATACATAAAACCAGAAAAGATAAAGAGCTGATGAATGGGCAGTAGGCTGAGGCTGGCCACCCCAGTGGAAAGTCACACTCTCTTGCCCAGTTTCTAGGCCAGAATCCAAAGACTGAAGGAGAAGACCGAAGGTTCCGTGACTAAGGAACCTGCAACACCACAGAAGGAAATGCAGTCATGATGCCCACAGTCCTTCCCCAAAGGACTCTACCACCATTAATTTGGGTAAACATACACTGAAGAAAGAGAAATACCTCTATCTTTTGCAGACTTTTGGATAAAGGGGCAAATTGATGTTGATACTCAGAGATTTATAGCACTATTCTTCCTCCATTAGAGTGGGGCTTATAAGGGTCAGGTAATAAGTGGAGTCCTGGCACAGGATCGTCTCATAGTGAGTTCATGTCCATGGACCCATCCAGTGGTCATTCCCCCATGTATAATTCCCACATGTATAATTGGAAGAGAGACACCTAGCATTTGGAAAACGCTTTCCGTGGTTCCTTGACTTGTAGAATAAAAGCTATTGTAATAGAAAAAAGTCAAATGGAAGTCCTTAAAACTGTCATCCCTGTGTAAGAAGATAAATCAAAAACAGTATTATATTATGCAGAATGACAGAGATTATTGCACCTTCAGAGATTTAAAGGATGCAGGGGTGGTAGCCCCCATTGGATCCCAAGGTAATTCACCAGCCTACCCCCTGAAAAAAAAAAAAAAAAAAAAAAAAAGAAGGGATCACGGTGGATGACAGGGAACTACCACACTCTTAACTCATGTACATAGCTTGCCTGTCTTGATCTGGTGCATTCTTTCCATATCCATTAGAAAGGAGGCTAAGAAATTCACAATGACATGAGATGAATGACAGTATATATCCGTGGATTGTTCTCTCTCATAATATAGTCAGAGAGACCTTCTGGACCTGCTGCAGAACATCACATTGATCTATTATGACCAATAGATGACATTATGTTATTTAGACCTCAGGAGCAAGAATTGACAAGTACTCTGGATGCCTCAGTAAGACATGTGTGCTCCAGAAATAATTGCTACAAAGATCACAGGTCCATCACGTGGGCGAAGTTCACAGGAGTCTAGTGTTTGAGACATTCCAGAACATTCCCTTCAAAGTGAAGGAAAAGTTATTGTGCTTTGAACTTCCTGCCACTAAGGAAGAAGCACAATGGTTGGCAGACCTCTTTGGGTTTTTGAGGCAGTGTATTCAACACTTGGGAATATTGTTCTAACCCACTTATTCCATGACATAAAAGGCTGCTGGTTTTTAATGAAATCCAAAAACAAGAAAATGTTCTGTAGCAAGTCTAGGCTGCAATAAGGGTGATCTTGCCACTAGGGCTGTATTCTCCAGCATACCCTTGGTACTAAAGTCATCTGAATAGGAAAAGACACTATATGAGGTTTCTGGCAAAACTCAATAGGAGAAATATAGCATAGAGCCTTAGGATTCTGGGACAAGGCCTTGTCATCTATAGTAGAGAAATATACAACAGACAAAAAACATCTCATGGCATGTTACTGAGTCCTGGTGGAGACACAGCATCTGACCATGGAATATCAAGAGACCATGCAGCCAAAACGACCCATCAGGAGCTAGGTTCTATCAGACCTGAGAAGTCCAACTGTCCATCATAAGACGGAAGTGGTCCATCTGGAATCTAACACCAGCAGGGCCACAGGACACAAGTAATCCCATGTCAGAGGGGCCAGTTTTCCACCTGACCTATATCTACTATACCAATGCCTCTCCATGAGCTCACACCTGTGAACAAATTACAGGAGGAAAAAAAACTTAGTTTGGTCCAGAGCTGGTCAATTTGGTATGTTAGAGCATGTTGCAAATGGACTGCTGCTATACTTCAGCCCACCCAGGGATGGCCCTGAAGGACAGTGAGGGGGAAAGCCTCCCAATAGGCAGAGTTTTGAGCAGTCTCCTGGCCACACATTTTGTATGAAAAGAGAAACATTCAAAGGTAAGGATATACATGGACTCATAGGCAGTGGTGAATGACCTCACTGGAGGTCAGGGGACATTTAAAGCAATATTGGAGGACTGGGAAAAAGATCTGGGGAAGAGATGTGGATCAATCTATGAGTGGATGCCTAGTATGAGCTCTCCTGATTGCACATTATCACATGCCACTTGGAAGAGGCACAAAACAGACGATAGGCAGGCTGACTTGGCCAGTTGATGTCAGCTAGCTTCCGTCCTCAGCCACCCAGTGCTAGAGCAGTGCACTTATGAACAGAGTAACCATGGCAGCAGGGATGGAGGCTATGTCGGAGCTCCCACTCACCAGGACTGAGCTAGCTCCTGCTGCGGTCAGCAACAAGACTAATGCTGAGCCCCTGAGATGGCACAATTCCTGAGGGGACAAACCAGTCTCTTGGTCAGAAGTTGTTTGTAACAGACCCCTTCCATCCTGGAAAGGGTAGCAATTCATCCTGACTGGGGTTGAAATATTCCATGTATGAGTTTGCCTATTCAGACTACAAGTCTCAGCCAACATCACTATCTGAGGATTCAGTGTCTGATTTCTCAACATGGGATCTCACATCACATTTTTTCAGACCAAAACACCCAATTTATGGTGAAGATGGCATAGCAGTGGGCACATGACAATGGGATGCACAAGCCCCACCATATACCACACCATCCAGAAGCTGACAGCCTGCCAGAGCTAAAGAAGCTTTTTTTTTTTTTTTTTTTTTTGAGATGGAATCTTGTTCTATCACCCAGGCTGGAGTGCAGTGGCTCTATCTCAGCTCACTGCAACCTCTTCCCCCTTGGGTTTAATCAAGCAATTCTCCTGCCTCAGCCTCCTGAGTAGTTGGGATTACAGGTGCCCACCACCACGCCTGGCAATTTTTTGTATTTTTAGTAGAAAATATATGTTTCACCATGTTGACCAGGCTGGTCTCCAACTCCTGACCTCAAATGATCCATCTGCGTTGGCCTCCCAAAGTGCTGGGATTACAGGTGTGAGCCATGGCACCTGGCCTCTGAAGAAGCTTCTTAAAGATGCAGCTGCGACATCAGCTTGGAGATGAAACCCTGGGAGGGTAAGGTGCTATCTTCCAGGATGCAGTATATTCCATAAATCAACAGTTATGCACCTGTAACGCCAGCATTTTGGGAGGCCAAGGCGGGTGGATCATTTGAAGTCAGGTGTTTGAAACCAGCCTGACCAACATACCGAAACCCCATCTCTACTAAAAATACAAAATTAGCCGGGCATGGTGGTGGGTGCCCGTAATCCCACTATTCAGGAGGCTGAGGCAGGAGAATTGCTTGAACCCAGGAGGCAGAGGTTGCAGTGAGCTGAGATCAAGCCGCTGCATCCAGCCTGGGCGACAGAGTGGGACTCCATCCCAAACAAACAAACAAAAAACCCAACAGTTATGATATGGTGCTGTGTGCCCAGTGGGCAGAACACACAGGTCAAAGAAACAAGGCATGAGAGAAGGAGTGGCCCCACTCGCCATCATTCCCAGTAACCCACCTGAGGAATATCTCATCTCTTCAGCTTAGGCTCTGAGGAGCTAGAAATCCCGATTCACAAGGAAGAATTCTTCCATTTAGGAACACAATGGAAATCCTAGTCAACATATGGTTACGACTGCTGCTCAGTCACTTTGGGGTCCTCGTGCCAAGACCAGAAGACATGGTAAGAAGTCACTACAGTGATAAGGGTCATGGATCCTAATCTTCAGGAGGAATCAGAACTGTCGCTTCATCATGGGAGCAGGAAGAAATATGTTTGGCACCCAGATGATCTGCTGGGACATCTCCTGATACTGCCTTGGCTAGTTTTTAACTGTCAGTGGGCAAATACAGCAACCATGACCTGGTGAGGTTATGTTAACCAGGGATTTAGACCTCTCAGGGATGAAGATCTGGGGCAACCCATCAGACAAGCAAACAGAAGTGAGGGAAATCAAAAAGGGGTGGAGAGGAGGGACCAGTCATCACAGTGGGGCCTGGAGTCTGTCTTAATAACTCTTCTTTGGAAGGCTCCTCAGGAATTACAACCATAGAGTCTTGGAGAAGCTGTACCTGGATGGAGTGAACTTCATGTGAGAAGCAAGTTGATCTGAGCGGTGCAGTGGGTGGGCTGTCATAGACACCATAGCACACTCCCCAGTTCCCCTTGATGGGCAAGCACACTTCTACTTCCAGAGCTGCTAGCAGGTCACGGTTGCTGTATTTTCCCATTTGCAGTTAAAACTAGGCAGGGTGCGGTGGCTCATGCCTGTAATTCTAGCACTTTGGGAGGCCAAGGCAGGAAGATCTCCTGAGCCCAGGAGTTTAAGACCAGCCTAATCAACATGGTGAGACCCCCATCTCTATTATTTTAAAAATTAAAATAAAAAAATAAATAAAACTAGCCCAGGCAGTATCAGGAGATGTCCGAGTGGACCACCTCAGTGCCAAACACATCTCTTCCTGCTCCCGTGATGAGGTGACAGTTCTGGTTCCTCCTGAGGATCAGGACCCATGACCCTTGCCACCATGGTGACTCCTTGCCTGGGCTTCTAGTCCTGGCATGAGGAACCCTGGAGAACTTCCCACTGCTCAGTGGCCTCCAAATAAACCCCTCACCCACCCCCATCAGCCCAGAGCTGATGACTGACTGAGGCAGAGATATAAAAGGCTGCCCCACTTGCCCCAAAGGAAGGACTCAGCACATCGCTTGTGCTCCAGAGCCTTCCCCTTTGGATCTGGCCACTGGGCATTGTGAGCATGCATCCTTGCTTGGCTCTTTCTCCTTTCTGTTTTTTTTTGTTTTGTTTTTTTTGGAGATGGAGTCTCCCTCTGTCGTCCAGGCTGGAGTGCAGTGGTGTGATCTCGGCTCACTGCAACCTCTGCCTCCCGGATTCAAGCAATTCTCCTGCCTCAGCCTCCTGAGTAGCTACGACTATAGGCACATGCCTCTATGCCTGGCTCATTTTTTGTCTTTTAGTAGAGACAGGTTTCACCATGTTGCCCAGGCTGGTCTCAAACTCCTGAGCTCAGGCAATCTGCCTGCCTCGGACTCCCAAAATGCTAGGATTATAGGCATGAGCCACCACACCCAGCCTCTCCTTTCCCTTCTTGTTTTACTCCCTCCCAGTTTTTTCAGGAAGAGCTCATTAAATCACATTCTAGGCTCACCCAAATCCCTGTCTCAGGCTGTGCTTTTTAGGGAACCTACCTAAGACAGAGGTGAAGTAAAGCAGGAAAGAGGGACAGAGAAGAGGGCAGGAGGAGGAGGGCAGGTGAGCTTCATGTTTAAATAGAATGGCCAGGAAAGTGGGGATCTTTGAGCACATACTTGAAGAAAGCGAGGGAATGAGCCATCAGGCTATCTGGGAGGAAAGCATTTAAGCAAAAGAAACAGGGCGAAAGCCGGGACAGGAGTGAATCTGGGGAGTTCTAATAAGAGCCAGGAGGCCGGTGAATCCAGAGTAGAGTGAGGCAGGAAAATGTCACAGATGAACTCAGAGAGCCTTCCAAAAGTCCTAGATCACAGAGGACCTTGAAGGCCATTGAAAGGGCACTGGCTTTAACTCTGAGTGAGGTAGTTTTGAGCAGGGGTGAGATGTGATCTGACTTGGTTTCCTAGAGTCACCCCATTGCAGCCAAGTTGCCTGAGGTCATGCAGGCAGGGAAGTAAAGGATGTTGCAGCAGTTGGAACCCAGGATCACCTGATCTCAGAGCAAGCTTTAACACACTCACCTTTGTTGATGGAGCAGGAAGTGCATATCTGGCACACTCCTGAATGCTGAAGACAGACACGATGCAGGGACTAGTTTCATTTAAAGGGAAGATAGACATACTTGTAAGGAGACCAGACTCCCCTTAAGCCTCCCTTGGAGAAAGCCTTCAATAAAGATGCAACTGATTAGGAGAATAGCCCACACTTGACAGCAGATCCAGAAGTTGCTGGCTACATTGCAGTCCAAGTAGACCTCCCTAAACCTAAATAAGTGGCCCAATATCAAGACAGTGAGTGGGAAGAGGAAAGACACTTGATTACAGGGGTAACATAATGTAGTGATTAAGAATGATGGGCATAGAACATCTGGTTTGAAACCTAGCTCTTCCATTTATAGCTGTGTGACCTTGGGCAAGCTACTTAACCTCTCTGTGCCTCAGTTTTCTCATCTGTAAAATTATTGCTAGATGCTGTGGCTCATGCCTGTAATCCTAGCACTTTGGGAGGCCAAGGAGGCAGTATGGCTTGAGGCCAGGAGTTTGAGGCTGCAGTGAGCTATGATCACATCACTGCACTCCAGCCTAGGCAACAGAGTGAGACCCTATCCCAAAAAAAAGAAAAGTTGTAATTATAGTAATCCCCTCTTCATGGGGATTTTAATAGAATTAAATGAGTTTACAGTGTCTGAAAGATACTGTTTTGTCACTGTTATGTTTTTTAGACATGAACAATTAAAGGACACATAAATTGTAATTTAAATTGAACAAATCTGCATGTCACTTTCTGGACATTAGTTTCCAAGTTTAATGCTTTCTATGTCATCTATATAATTCAATACTAAACTATAAATGAGTGCATCTTCTTTCTTCCTGCACTTCTAAAATATTATTTTACCTTTAGCTGATTAATTGCTCAGCTGCTTCTTATCAATGACTGTTTTCCAGGAAAGCTAATCATGCCTGACTGTAATCAAGCCTGTGTGCGAACTCTCAAATGCTTCCCTGTGCAATTGCCACTCCCCTGACTGTGAGGAACACTGTGATTAAAAAGCATCTCAAGAATTCCATTTAGATGATGACCTCAGCCTCAAACATTATTAGACAGCTGTGATTTACATTGCCTTCTAAGTTACAATGTAGGGGCTTCTAGCTTCCAAAAGCTCCTACAAAACAGAAAACAGTTCTTTGTGATTTTTTTACATGGGATTCTGTCAACTGGTTTTACGTGAAAAGCAGTGAAATGAGAGGGAAATGCCCAGTATGTGCCAGGCTCTGGGCAGGGTCATTTACATACAATTACCTTATACACCTGTGATTAATGCCAAACACGTGGCAGAGCTGGTCTTGATAATTCCTCACTAGAACTGAGGATCAACTTGGATCACCGCTCAAGCAATGTCTGTTTTCGTTTCTTCTGCCAATAATTTCTCTCTATAGATCACTGAAAAAAGGGATTTGACCTTGGCTTTATTTTTTCTAAAGCCATTCTACAATTAGGACAACCATGACAATATCTAGCATTTGTTTAGTGCATTCTCTGTCCCTAGTACTGTGCTAGCTGTTTTTCTATTGTTCTGAGGAAACTATTCAAACAGTCCTAGACACATAGCCCAATTTCTGGTTGAGGTCACACAATTTGGAAAATCGCCAATTTTGTTATATCCCTAAGCAAATCAATTTTGTAAACAAAAAGATCTCCATGTAGCTCCTCCAATCAAACATAGCAAAACCGGCTCTTCGATCAATAATTCCTATTGAAAAAAGCAATCAAATTTCACAAAAAGCAATTAAACTTAAGGTTGAAAAGAAAATTCCTAAGTATTTTTATATCAAATATTTTATAAATGAAGGCAGAGTTTGCTGTTTATAATGGTGACTATGGCCCAACGTCATAGGTTTTTAAATTTATTTTATTTTTTTATTTTTTGAGACAGAGTCTGACTCTGTCACCCTAGCTGGAGTGCAGAGACGCAATCTTGGCTCGCTGCAACCTTGAATGTCTGGGCTCAAGCAATACTCCCACTTCTTGGGAAGCTGAGATGACAGGCATGCACCATCATGCTGGCTAATTTTTTGTATTTCTGTAGAGACATGGTCTCTCTATGTTCCCCAGGCTAGTCTCGAACTTCTGGCCTCAAGCGATCCTCCCACTTCCGCCTCCCAAAGTGCTGGGATTACAGGCGTGAGCCACTGCGCCCGGCCTATGGTTTTTATTCTTGACTTTGCCAGATTCCTTTGTCATTACTTGAATAAGCCAATTAAGCTATCGTGCTTATTATGCAAAAATTATTTTTGCGTTTCTAATCAAATGAACGCCAACACAATAAGACGTTACCTGGGGAGTGCTCAACGGAAGGATAAAACACTCTGAAAAAAATGTTATTGTAATTTTTTCTATATTTGGCTGGTTTATGCTGCTGTCACTGAGCTAGGTTTTCATCTAGACATGCTAATTCAGTGTAGGTCTGATTGAAGCTTTTTTGTTTCTAATTACTAAAATAATAAGGTGTCCAACTCTTTTTTCTTATTAGGAAAGTTAATATTAACAGTGATACCATGGAAAATTTAACACTGACAGGAGCATATGTGTTTTAAAACACAAGAAATGGGATGAATCTCAGATTGCCTGGAAATAGTCATTTAAATGAAAAAGTTTTTAAATTTAAGAGATAATAGAAAAGTTAAAAGGACACACCAGATGGCATTTTCACTCACCAGGATTAGAAATAATCATCCAAACAAATAAAAAGTGTATCAAAGTTATTTTTCACATTTATTTATATCAGAGAGATAAAGCAGTCATTTTACCTTGCACATAAGGACCACTTATGAAATCATTTATATAATTTGAGAAGGCATTTACTATGTCTATAAAAATTCATAAATTAAACTGTCACATTAATTCAATCATTTATAGCAAACTCTCCTTCCATTAATATATTTTACTTTAAAAAATATTTACTTTTTGGTTTGGACTAAAATCTCATTCAATTCAGTGATAGTACTTAACATTTTCCCACTGCAATTATGTGAGATTTTCTGCTTCAAAGACATTTTTTAAGTTACTTCCTTCAAATTAATGTGTAACTATCCTTCTCTTTGCAAACTATACAATCAGGAACCACTTTATGTATTTTATTAAATAAGCTAAAAATTGCAAATATTTAATTTTCATTTATAGTGGATTCAGTGAAAAACATAAAAATTATTTCAGTTCAAGGCATATTTGTCATTACTAATGAGTTAACATAAAATATTATCTCCCTAAATATTTTCTAATTCAATGCCAAACATACCATATGCAATATCATCATCTCCAGAAAGTGCTAATCCAGCTATATAAACAGCATATTTGTCTTGATCTTTTCCTAATACAACCCAATACTATTCATGCATCTGTTTTTCCTCCAGGCATAGACTACTGGAGCTAGAAGGGGCTCCAGAAGGATCTAATCTGACCCATCCTCTCCTCATTAAAGTGTGGTTTTAAAAACGTGATACCAAGTCTCTCACACATTGGCAATACGAAGCTACTCAGAAAGGAACTAAAGTTCGCATTCAAACTTTACCTTTGTAAAATTCCCAAAGAATCTCCCACGGCGTTCTTCACTCCTTCCTTCCCAGGTTTCAGAATTTTTTCTTTGAAGGTATCAAATGCTTTAAAAGGCATTTTGAATGAGGGGCACCTCTGAGCCGTTAACAGTCAGTCTCAAAAACTGTCATCCTTCCTCATTTCCAGTGTGAGAACCACCTTGTTTCCCTTGGTGAACACCTGGAAGTCAGTTCTCGTGGAGGGAACTACTCAAAATCAAAAAGGAGATGAAACCCAGCTCGGATCTTCCAAGATAAGACAACTCCCTCCTCTCTCTGCTCCCCACCCCTCCAAAAAAGAGTCCAAGGGGTGTCTGGCTGGGAATTCAGTCCCTTGCAAAAGCTGCACGCTCTGCAGCAGCCTGTGGCAGCTGTCTCAGGCAGCCACTCTCAGACTGAGCGCAGCCTCTCTCCCTCCCTGGGCTGCAGCTGGGGACGCTAACATGAGCTCCGGACCACCAGGAGTCCTGAGACCAGCAGCAGTATCCGTGGCCTAGCTCCAGCCCCTCCAGCCAGCCGCGTCCCCCTCCTGCCCCACCCCAGCTCGCCTGCCGCTCTCACCAAGTGAGACTTTCCAAGGTGATGCTATAGTAACCGGCACAATACCTGCCCCTCAGCCGCCTGGGCTTATGAATGGGCTCTCAGCCAGAGCAGGCACCCAGAGAGAAATTTATGAAACATTTACAGCCCTTTGCTTTTCTGAGGTCTGGCCCTGCAGACAGGCTCACAGCCACCACTCCATGCCTTTTATTCCCCTCATGAGAGTCATGAAGCCGTTTTTCAGCCAGCCACTAGCATGGATGTGGTCCCACGAGGAACTTGCATTTGAGTAGCCCAAATGCAAAACCCAGGCCACATACATCCAGGAGGACATTTATTTGCTCCTAATCAACAGAGCAGGCTCTCTCAAAGTATGATACGTAGATGCCATTTGGGACCATCTAATTGAAGATTTCTGAGCCGGAAGATATCTAGAACCTGCTTAGAACTCTCCACTGACTCCTCATTGTCCTCAGGATAAATAAAATTATTTTTGTTTTTTCCCCTTTTCTCCCTCTAGATGGACTTTTTTTTTTTTACTTTAAGTTCCAGGATACATGTGCAGAACATGCAGGTTTGTTACATAGGTATACATGTGCCATGGTGGTTTGCTGCACCTATCAACCCATCATCTAGGTTTTAAGCCCCACATGCATTAGGTATTTGTCCTAATGCTCTCCCTCTCCTTGCCCCCCAACCCCTGACCAGCTCCGGTGTGTGATGTTCCCCTCTCTGTATCCATGTATTCTAATCATTCTACTACAAAGACACATCCACACGTATGTTTATTGCAGCACTATTTACAATACAATTCTTTATCATGGCACACAAGGCCTTTCCCTGGGACCCTAAGTCTTTCTTCTTGTCACTCTGCTTTCCACATCCTCATTTCACTGAACTCAGCAAGCTCCCTATTGCCTCTGGGCTTTACTCAAGCTATGCCCTCTGCCTGGGTAACTCTCTGCACCCCTTCAACTGGGTAACTTCTAGGGGTTCTAAGGTCATGCTAAGATATCAATCCTCTAGAAAACTGCATGGGCAAGGTGAGATGTCCCTCCTCTGTGCCTCCAAATCACCTGTCCTCTGCCCTAGCAGAGCCTGGCAGGGAGTGGGCGTTACCTAAATACTTGTTGAACTGGGGCTGAAACGCTGCAAGTTGTGGCCACATTTATGGGCAGCAGGATGACGCCTCTGTAAATGCTGCTGCGGTGGAAAAAAAACTCTTCATCTTTGAGGCTCCTGTGTTCCAATCCTCCAGTCTGCATGCGACTGACAAATCATAGGCTATAGGCTCTCAGGCTCCCCAGGAGTCATTTCCACAAGACCAGTCAATATCCTCTGCAAGCCACTGTCCAAATTATCCAAAATTTGAATTAAGTTCAACTAAGTCCGTGCTGAATCCTTGGTAGGCTAAATATTGCTAATATCTTTTGAGTTCTTTCTAGGGTCCTGGCTCTGTGTTAAGCACTCTTTAAGTATCACCACAATCTTCCCAGCAAGACTCTGTGGTAAATAACTTCTTATTTTCCCCAATTTTACTGGCAGGAAACTCAGACAAAAAGAGGTTAAACTTACCTGAGATCATACAGCTAGTAAGTAGCAGAGCCAGGTTTCAGATCCAAACAGCCTGGCTCCAACCTTTTCTCTCTCTCTCTCTCTTTGTCTCTCTCTCTCTCTTGCTCTCTCTCTCTGTCTCCCCCTCCCTCCCTCCCTCTTTCTCCCCACACATACTTTACTGAGACATATTTTGCATTTCAAATAATTCACCCATTTCAAGTGGACAATTCAGATTCTTATAAATTTACCAAGTTGTGTAACCATCACCAGAAAGCAATTTTAGAATATTTCCACCCCAACTAGATCCTTCATTTTCACTGTTAATCCTCATCTCCTATCCCATATCCTGCAACAACTAATCTACTTTCTATCTCTATAGATTTGCCTTTTCTGGACATTTCATGTAAATAGAATCATACAATCTATGGTTGCTTGTGTCTGGCTTCTTCCACTCACTATAATGATTCTGAGGTCTGTCCATGTCATAGCATGTATCAGTAGTTTGTTCCTTTTCTCTTTTTTGTTGAGTAATCCTTCGTTGTAAGGATATAACACAATTTTGTATCTCCATTGACCTGTTGATGGACATTTAGGATAGTTTCTAAAAGGACATTTGTTTCTAAAAGGACAATTTCTGGTCACCAACCTTCCCATCATAACCCCTCAAGACTGAGAACAGGAAGGCCCCAGGAATACGCATGTCTAATCATTCCACCGAGTATTTGCCTGTCCTCAAAAAGCTCACTTATTCATTAAAAGCAAATACAATCACAATAAACCATGATAGACATACTCTCTTACCGAAAGCATCCACTGGTGGAGCTTCTAACCCATTCCTCCAGCCCAACATATCCTTATGTTCCTTATCTCTTAGAGCACATAACGGAAGAAATACTAGGCAAAAACCACATCCATCTCTCCTGAGGCTCAATGACTTCTGAGAGCACTAACCATTCCTGCAGAATGTATTGCTCAGGAAGCATACCTAGATCTGCAGTTTCTTGTGGTGATTTAGATGTTTGATAATAATAATAACTAAGATTTATAGAGAATTATCTACATGCCAGACTTTAAGCACTTAACATGCACTAACTCATTCAATTCCCCACAATGACCCTGAGGTAGGAAGTGTCATTATACCATCCACAGATGAGGAGACTGAGGCACAAAGAGGTGAAGTAAACTTGTTCAAGTTCACACATCTAGGAAACTGAGCAGAGACAGGATATGGACCCAGAAAGTCTGACATCAGAGCTTGTGCTCTTACCTTCTACAGTAGAACTGTTGATAATAGGGACTAGAAAATATAAACCAAGACTATATAGAAGTGAGGCTCATTTCATTCATTTATTCATTTCTTCCTTTTCTTGAGGACCTACCTGGTAGCAGGCCCTTCTTAGGCACTGGTGATATAGGTTGAACTGTGATATTCCCCTTGAAGAAAGAAACCAACCAGAAAATGAATGAGTCCATTACAGTGCAGTGAGTCCCACAAGAGAGGGCCGGGGGAGCACAAACAAGGACACCTACCTGAGCCTGCAGATGGGAGTGGGAGAGGGCTTCCTAGATGAGGGGAGGATAGTATAAACCTTCAGGGAGGAGAAAGACTGAGGCAAACAAAAGGAAAAAACGGGGGAACAAAGACATGCATGAGACAGCATGGCATTTGGGGAACCTTGCATAGCGTTAGAGAGTCAGGTAGGAATGCCCATGCAGCAGAAAACACGACTGGAATGATGATCTTGAACACTATGCAGTTCAGTTGTTGCAGAAGAGCACTGAAACATGTGCTTCCCTGGTCACAACAGCAAAGACATGGAATCAACCTGCGTGCCCATCAGTGATAGACTGGATAAAGAAAATGTGGTACATATACACTATGGAATACTATGCAGCCATAAAAAGAGCCACATCATGTTCTTTGCAGGGACTGGATGGAGAAGGAGGCCATTATCTTTAGCAAACTAACACAGGAACAGAAAACCAAATACCGCATGTTCTCACTTACAAGTGGGAGCTAAACCATGAGAACACATAGACACAAAGAGAAGAACAACACACACTGGGGCCTATCAGAGGCTGGAGGGTGGGAGGAGGGAGAGGATCAGGAAAAATAACTAGTGGATACTAGGCTTAATACCTGGGTGATGAAATAATCTGTACAACCAACCCCCCATGGCACAGTAACACACCTGCACGTGTACTCCTGAAGTTAAAAGTTAAAAAAATTAAAGGAAAAAAGCAATGACAATAATTCAACAAATAAGGATCTCAATAAAGACAAAACTTAAAAAAAAAAAAAAAACCATGTGCTCCCCATCTCAAAATCTCAAATATAGCAAAGATAGGAAATTATGTGCAGTGTGGAATTCTCTGTGGGGGGGTGTGAAACAAGAGCCTGGGTCTGTGCTGGGGATATATAGACTGTAGATACAGTAGAAAAAAAAACAGCCATTGATATATATTTAATGACTTCCCATTGTCCTGTACTAAAAATGCCTCTTCCCTTAGGGAAAATAATGTAACTAAGGCATCTTTAGGGGTGCTTTCCCAGATCATAGCAATTCTTCATTCTCAGAGAACTTCCAGGGTCCCCTGCCCCCTCCCTCTCATAGTGACAGGTCTCCAAAAGTCCTGTAGTTAACTATAATGTTTCTCATCCCCCTGAGCACTGTTGAATGGACCGGGGTAGACACCTGGACCAAGCTGAACCAGTCAGATGTGAGATTCTCCTACTCATTTATTTATTTAATTTATTTATTTATTTGAGACAGAGTCTCACTCTGTCACCAAGGCTGGAGTACAGTGGCACAATCTTGGCTCACTGCAACCTCCGCCTCCTGGGTTCAGGCAATTCTCCCACCTCAGCCTCCTGAGTAGCTGGGATTACAGGTGTGTGCCCTCACGCCCAGCTAATTTTTTTTTTTTTTTTTTTTTTTTTTAGTAGAAACAGGATTTCGCCATGTTGGCCAGGCTGGTCTTGAGCTCCCGACCTCAAGTGATCTGCCCGGCTCAGCCTCCTGAAGTTGGGATTACAGGCGTGAGCCACTGCACCCGACCCTCCTAGTAATTTAAATTTGGAATTACAAGACTGCTAGTTAATCTTGCAGGACTCTGGAATTATAACTATAAGGTGGTTACATTAACTTTGTGGTGTAGAGATGCAGAGAACACTGGTCTTGGAAAAGATTGAGAAATAAGACAATGAAACTATAACAGGGCGAGGGTATGGGGTGAGGATATTTCTCATGGCCTTCCAGGCCTCATCTTCCTAGACTCAGTTGTCCTTTTACCCTTGGGTTTCACAAAATACTCACATCCTTACAATAAATTGCCCAAGATAGTTTCTGCTCCTTACAAATAAAGAGTCTTGACTATTGCGATGATTTAAAACCCAAACCCTGTAACGCCAAGCATTTCTCTAGCTAACACCAGATTGGTGAGCCTGACTGCCCAGTTTGGTGATATGGAGGACTCCAGTCTGCAGCAACAAAACAAAGAGAGCTCATAGGCTGGTCCTGAGCCGGGTTGTTCTAATCTGCCACCTAGACAAAAAAAAAAAAAAAAAAAAAAAAAAAGGAAACCAGCAAATCCCAAACAAGCAACTCAAATAGTTACTACAGAAAATTATTTCATCAAATCCAACCAAAGTATTAGATGGAGAATTTTAACCAGGTAACCAGGATCAGAGGTAATGACCAAATGATTCACCCTTTCCATAAGAGACTTCATAAGGAAACAAAAGTAATGAAGAGAACTGGTCATCTTGGAGTTCTCCTAAATTCCTAAATTCTGTGGCAGCTTTTCCAGCCAACCCTATTCCTTATCCCAACTCCATACTCCTCCTTCTCACCCCCATAACATCCTGAGACAAACATAAAAATTTCTTTTATGCAAGACTTCTCTCAATCCTTTAAAATTTGTATATTGTTAACTATCAGTAGTATTAACCTATATACATATATATATCTCAATTTCTTTCATTGAACTCCCATATTTGATATTAATTCTTCTATTGATAGTCAAGCTTATATACAAAGCATTTTCAAATATCTCATTTGATTCTCACTATAAACTTATGAAACAAATAAGCAGATAAAGAAATAAAGATGCAAATTTTGCCCAAGGTAACCTGGCCAGCAGAATTCAGAGAGCTGGGACTAGGTCCTAAAGATCATTTCCTGAACTTGTACCACCATGGTACATGGTACACTGTGATCATATAATCTTACTCTGAGTAGTAAAGAGTGTCTTTGGTGTAACTCAGGAAAGATATACTCAGAATCTTTGAGCTTTTAGAAACATTATTGAGCACCTAACTATAGGTATGCTTGTCCTAGCTACCATGGAAATTTTTAGAATAAAGTATGAGTGGGACACAGTGGTGTGTACCTGTAGTCCCAGCTGCTACTCAGGAAGCTGAGAGGGGAAGATCTCTTGAGCCCAGGAGTTCAAGCACAGTCTGGGCAACATAGCAAGACTTCATCTCTAAAATAATAAAATAGGCTGCTGGTTTCTAGGGTTACATATTATCTATCTTTCATTAAAATGTTCCACTGGAAATTAGGGCAAATTGACAGCAGAGTGAAGAGAAATTAGTATCAAACACTGATATACTGGCCTCTGGATTAAGATTGCCACCATCCACCCCATTCTAGGTAAGACTCCCCTTCTAAGGGAAGGCTAGTGGGAACCTTTATCCCATTCTATTGTAATTGCTTCCGTATCATCTTTCTGACTTGAGTTTCATGATCACATTTTATTCTCACACAGTAGAATAAAAAAGTGTATATGACAAAGTAGAATGGCCAAATTGATATTATCCCCATTTTACATGTGAGCAAACTGAGGCTCACTCAATAACTTGTCCAAAATTACATAGTTATTGGTGGAGCCGAGATTTAAACCCACCTGATTACAAATGTCACTTTATTTTTACATGCTGCTTCCAGTCCATAATAAAACACTGTTAGTCCCATTAATTTCAGCTCACTGTAAGTCAGCTACTCAGTTAATTTGTAGTTCAATTAATTTGACTCTAGTTTCCTAAATTACAGGATTTTTACACTATATGTAAAAGACATCTCCATAATACTTTGCAAATATAAACATGCATACATGGAGACCCTGGAAACATATCAATTTCCATTTTCAGTCTGTCACTGTAACTGCCTAGATATTAGGTGTCATTCATTTTCTTCCCAAATACATTAAATGAAATTTGAAAAGAAATGGTCAGATAACCAAAATACAGAACTTTAGGGTGTTTTTATACAGCATGGAATCAATCATTCATTAAGTATTTCACACATGATAAATGTCAAGAATTTGCTTTGAACATGAATTCCTTATATTTATGAAGAACTTTTAACTTCATTTTCACTGCTCCTTTGAGCCTTATAACTACATATAGAAAGAACTATGTTGAGCCAACTACTCCACTTTATTGTTGAAGCCCAGGGCATGGAGAAGGCCAGTGATACTTTGAGGTATCAGGCAGAGATGCAACAAGAAGTCACACTCATGTGCTCATTTGCTTGCTGCCATTGCTTACCTATAACAAATTATTTCTCATTTCATCTTGGAGGGTATCTCTCCCCAAGGTAAGGTATCTCATATTGGGGTATCCCAACATAAGACACTCAATTATCAATTTTTTAGTCTGTTTTCTGGCTGTAAAGACAATAACATTATTATTATTATTTAAAACAGAGTCTTGCTCTGTCACCCAGGCTGGAGTGAGCGCTATCTCAGCTCACTGCAACCTCCACCTCCTTGGGTTCAAGCAATTCTCCTGCCCCCAGCTTCCCAGGTAGCTGGGATTACAGGTGTGTGCCACCAGGCCCAGCTAATTTTTGTATTTTTAGTGGAGATGAGGTTTCACCATGTTGGCCAGGCTGGTCTCAAACTCCTAACCTTAAGTGATCTGCCTGCCTCGGCCTCCCAAAGTGCTGGAATTACAGGCTTATTTTTTAAACATGTGTTATACTACCCATATGCTCCGAAATCTCCCCTTGCGAAGAAATGAGGAAAGCTGGATTCCTTTCATTTGGTATTACTGCAGTGTGGAAACACTAGATTTGCTTTATGCACTATGCATGGTGACTTGCAAAAAATACTCAGGGATATACTAGAAAATCTGATAATCTGTTAAATACAGTTGTATTGTAATAATGCAAACTGAAATGTTGAAAGATCAAAACCAGAGATAATATTTTGAAGGATTTTTTTACCACCTTCATTTTTCTTGAAGGTGCAGATAGAACCCTGCGTGTCCAGATAATTTTAACACATAGAGCAGTGAACAAGGATGATATTTGGGGGGTTAAGGGTCACGGCAGAACAAACCCACACACCGTTCACAAGTATTTCTCATGATCCCATCCTTTTGTAGATGCTACACCAAAAGGCAGATATTCTTCCCATTATCTTCCCTAGCCTATTCATGTTAAAAAAAATCACCTGTAAAGGGGCTAATGTAATGGATGATTACTTGGGAGATAGTGACATCTTCTGGTAGTTTACAGACTAAATATATTTATGGCAGACATTTCCCCCACAACCCCAAAATCCAGCCACGGTTTTAAAAGATTTATTCTATATACATTAAGCCCCCAAGTGTGGATTCTTAAATGTATGAAATATTCAATAAAATATAAACCAGCTAAAAAATAACATTATAGCTCACTTATTCTGCTCCTTGCCTTGCTGTCATCCCTGGCTCTAATAGAAATGTTTTAATCAGCTAATATTTTTTTCTTTTTGGTATTTCTCCACATGTTCTAATTTAGGCAGCTAGCATTAATTCTGCTTTTCTTAGTCATGAAAAATTGACCAGATTTCCCTTATTTGAGAAGTTTTCATAAAATCTCAGAATTCAAAAGGACTTTGGCAGTTACCTGCTCTAATCCGCTCCCTAGTAGTTCAAACTTAATTTGAGAAAATGTGACCAAAGTAATCATTTGGTAGCATAAAAAAACAAAACAAAACAAACAAACAAAACACAGAAAAACAAAAAACAAAAAAACAGTAAAAAACTTTACAAAAGCTCTGTGCAGCTGAGCTCGGGCCCTGTCTCCTTTAAGCCTTCCCGACTATCTAGATTGCGTGTCCCTCCTACATGGATTTTGCTCATAGTGTGTATCACACTGTTCTGCACCTGTCTGCTTACTCAACTACCTTTATAACTACAGTGCAAACCCCCTGAGGGCAAGGCCTATATCTCATTTCTATTTGTGTCCCAAGAATCTCACAGTGCCAAGCGTATAGTATTTTATAGCTTAGTTTTATTTATGTATTTATTGAAAAATAAGTGCATTCAAATGGTGCCAGATGGTTTTTTTTGTTTGTTTTGCGACAGTCTCATTCTGTTGCCCAGGCTGGAGGGAGTGCAGTGGTGCGATTTCAGCTCACTGCAACCTCCGCCTCTCGGGTTCAAGCGATTCTCATGCCTCAGCCTCCCAAGTAGCTGGGGTTAGAGACGTGCACCAACACGCCCAGCTAATGTTTGTATTTTTAGTAGAGATGGGGTTTCACCATGTTGGCCAGGCTGGTATCAATCTCCTGACCTTTAGTGATCCATCCACCTCGGCCTCCCAAAGTGCTGGGATTACAGGCATAAGCCACATCGCCCAGCCAGGTGAAGTATTTGTTTTTCATTAAAGCAGAGTTTATTTTAGAGATCTATATCATCACAAAGTGAGTGGAAAAATCTATTGAGCACCTACTATGTGCCAGGAGCTGTGCTAGGTGCTTTGCACACTTTGCACACTAATCCTAATAGGCCTGTAAGGTGTGATCTTATTTCGTAGCTGAGAAAACTTATTCTGGTCAGTTAAGTGAAAGAGACAAGATTTACACTCATTCAGTCCGTGTAACTGTTTATACTCTACCTGATTCCAAAAGAGGATTTCTATGAACATAGATAAAAAACTTATTTTAAAAGGAAATCAGAGCAAATGAGAAATAAGGATTTTTTAAAAATCAGATAAAGCCAGAAGGTACGCATTGAATATTGCATACTATTATTATCCTATACATTTGCTACAGGTAAACAGCACATTTGGCTGAATCTCTTAGCTGTATTACCTAATCTGTTACTTTATGCGGACTTTAAAAGGTAGAAGCAGGCCAGGCGCGGTGGCTCACGCCACCCAGCACTTTGGGAGGCCAAGGCGGGTGGATCACCTGAGGTCAGGAGTTCGAGGCCAGCCTGGCCAACATGGCAAAACCCTGTCTCTACTAAAAATACAAAAAAAAAAAAAAAAAAAAAATCAGCCAGGCGTGGTGGCTGGTGCCTGTAAACCCAGTTACTTGGGAGGCTGAGGTACAAGAATCGCTTGGTCCCAGGAGGTGGTGGTTGCAATGAGCCGAGATCATGCCACTGCACTCCAGCCTGGACAACAGAGTGAGATTCATTCTCAAAAAAAAAAAAAAAAAGGAAGGGCAAACCACTTGCTTAGAAGCACATTGACTCCTGAACTGAAACCTGAAACCTCTCCAGTGGGTCCTCAAAGAAGCTATTTATGTGGGAGTGAACCAATGTCATCCCTGGCGTAAATACAAGTTCACAGCATAGTCAAAAGCTACCAGTGATAAAAGAAACCTGATGCATGGAGAAAACAAGGCAACCCAGGCACAAAGGTCTCAAGAGTGGGCTTAATTCAGAATTTCTAGAGAAAATGAATGGATTACTCAATTTTTGGCCTCCTCAATAAACATCTCTCAAAAACGAGATTTTGCCCATTGGGCAATAGAGAGTTAAATGTTGCTCTCTGACAAGTGGCTGGAGTACAGGTACCATTGCTGATTGAGGGCAGATTCACATAACCACTGTAGCTGGAGACAGACGTGACAACCTCTTATAAAATGTGAGCAGTCTAATGAGGACACCCACCTCAGTGAAAAGCCTTTCCATCTCTTTACAGATACAATCTTAAGAGTGCCAAATGTTAGAGACAAGATTTTCTTAAAAACAATTTTGGGGCCGGGCACAGCGGCTCACTCTTGTAATCCCAGCACTTTGGGAGGTCAAAGTGGGTGGATCGCTTGAGCTCAGGAGCTCGAGACCAGCCTGGGCAACATGGTGAAACCTTGTCTTTACCAAAAAAAAAAAAATTAAATTAAATTTTAAAAAATACAGAAATTAGCTGGGTGTGGTGGTGCATGCCTGTAGCCCCAGCTACTCAGGAGGCTTGGGGTGGGAGGATTGCTTGAGCCTGGAAGGTGGAGGTTGCAGTGAGCCAAGATCATGCCACTGCACTTCAGCCTGGGTGACAGAGCCAGACCCTGTCTTAGACAAAAAAAAAAAAAAAAAAAAAAAAAATTGGATCTGTTACAACACGCAAATGTGTAAAGTACCCTGCCCCACGTCTATAAAGTGTGAGTACTACAATTTTAGCCTGAAATTTTTTTAATAAAAGCACCTTTTTCTGGCTCCAAACTTCATACACCATATGCTTCTAGTGTGACCATGGATATGCCTCACATTTGAGTTTTGACTGATCATTATGTTCAAAAAGACTGGTAGGCTGAGGGGCATAGACTTGGGGCAAATCTATGTTTATTCCTACAATCAAACTACAGACATTAACGTCTCTATCTCATTTACCTTTATATAAAAGTCAAACACTGCCTTTACTAGCAACCAAGGTCACCACACAAAGGAACATATCCAAAACACAGGAGGAAAAAAGACAAAAATTGGAACTGCATCCAGTAGGTATAATTAAAGTAGCCAAACTGTATTTCTACTGTGGGAACTTTCAAAAGAACTTCCATAAAGTTTTAATATAGGATAGGTAAACACAATTCCAATGGCTTTTGATAGCAGTATATATTTATGGCCCCATTTTAAAATGACTTATTATTGGATTCAGGCTCTATCAGTGAGGGTAAGTAAGGAGACAGAAACCCCACACCAGATACTTGAACAGGGAAGTTTTAATATAATATTTGCTAACTAGTAGAAGCTGGTAAATTATTTGTAGGGGCAAAAGAGGACTCTAAGGGGCACAGAAGTAGCAGGTAAAAGGCAAATACTGCCTCTAGGCTGAAGAAAAGTGAAAAAAAAAAAAAAATGAACTAAAGACCAGGAGAGGCTCTCTTCCCCTACTCCACTCCCAAGCTGAGATCAGACTTCTCTGGAGAGGGTGTGGTTTCTACAGGAACATTCAGCCTGCCATGGTGAAGAAACTTGTCCGAGGGAATGGGCCACAGAATGGAAGACAGTTGCTTGATGGAGTGGCAGAGCTGGCATGGAAGCAGCCCATGGGAGCTGCTCCACAGTGGCTCAGGGTTGGGAGAAGGTAACCTGAGGTGCAGCTGGAGCTCCTCTGTTTGGACTGCTGGGCTTCTATGGTGGATAATAATGGGAGACCCACAACCATAAGTAAAGTATCTTCTTGCAGCTCTTGCTTTGCAGTGCCACTCTGGGGCCCTCATTTTTCCAGCTGGCAAAGGAAAAAAACAGTACAAGGCAAGGCAAAGGATGGGTTTGGAACTGAAACCATAAGTTGATAAATGCCATCATTCACTCCTTTAGTCACCGAGCTTCCATATACATCCACATTGTCTTATTTATTTTTTAGATGGAGTCTCACTGTCACTCAGGCTGGAGTGCAGTGGCACAATCTCGGCTCACTGCAACCTCCGCCTCCTGGGTTCAAACGATTCTCCGGCCTCAGCCTCCCAAGTAGCTGGGATTACAGGCGCCCCACACCTGGCTAATTTTTGGTATTTTTAGTAGAGACAGAATTTCACCATGTTGGCCAGGCTAGTCTCAAACTCCCGACTTCGGGAGCCGCTGTGGCTCAGGCCGGTTGCCGTGGCACTCGGGGAGGCGAGGCTACACGTTCGAGGCCAACCTGGTCAACATTGATTCAAACTCCCGACCTCAGGTGATCCACCCGCCTCAGCCTCCCAAAGTGCTGGGATTATAGGCATGAGCCACTGAGCCCAGACTATATCCACATTATCTAATGCAGCAGCTACTAGCCACGTGGCTCCTAAGTACCCGAAATATGACTAGTCTGAAGTTAAATGTGCTAAGTGTAAAATACACACTGCATCTCAAAGACTAAGTACCCAAAAAGATGTAAAATGTGAGTTTTTTATATCAATTCCATGCAGAAATATTTTAATTTTTTTTTTCTTAGATAGGGTCTCACTCTGTCACCCAGGCTGGAATGCAGTGGTGCGTTATCGGCTCACTGCAACCTCTGGGCTCAAGTGATCTTCCCACCTCAACCTCCCAAGTAGCTGGAACTACAGGCATATGCCACCATACTCAGCTAATTTTGTGTATTTTTTGTAGAGACGGGGTTTTACCGTGTTGCCCAAGCTGGTCTTGAACTCCTGGATTCAAGCTATCCACCCACCTTGGCCTCCCAAAGTGCTGGGATTACAGGCATGAGCCACCATACCTGGCAATATTAAAATATAATAAAATCAATTTCAGGGCCTGGAGCAGTGGCTCATGCCTGTAATCTCAGCACTTTGGGAGACTGACGTGGGCGGAGCATTTGAGGTCATGACTTCGAGACCAGCCTGGCCAACATGGTGAAACCCTGTCTCCACTAAAATTACCAAAATTAGCTGGGAGTGGTGGCGGATGCCTGTAGTCCCAGTTAGTTAGGAGGCTGAGGCAGAAGAATCTCTTCAACCTGGGAGGTAGAGGCTGCAGTGAGCCGAGATCGCTGCAGTGAACTGAGATCACAGCACTGCACTTCAGCCTGGGCGACAGAAGGAGACTGGTCTCAAAGGAAAAAAAAAATCAATTTCACCTATTTTTAATGGGATTACTAGAAAATTTTAAGTTACATATGTGGTTTTTACCCCTGGTAGTTAAATCCTTTCTGAGTGGCTGGAGCAACTTTGCTTCTTTGGACAGAAAAAGTTTCTAAACTTCAACAAGTTCCATCTTGGTGAAATGGCTTTTTCTTTTCTTTTTTTTTTTTAATTATACTTTAAGTTCTAGGGTACGTGTGCACAACGTGCAGGTTTGTTACATATGTATACATGTGCCATATTGGCATGCTGCACCCATTAACTCGTCATTTACATTAGGTATATCTCCTAATGCTTTCCCTCCCCCGCCCCCACAACAGGCCCCGGTGTGTGATATTCCCCCTCCTGTGCCCAAGTGTTCTCATTGTTCAATTCCTATGAGTGAGAACATGCAGTGTTTGGTTTTTTGTTCTTGTGATAGTTTGCTGAGAATGATGGTTTCCAGCTTCATCCATGTCCCTACAAAGGACATGAACTCATCCTTTGTTATGGCTGCATAGTAGTCCATGGTGTATATGTGCCACATTTTCTTAATCCAATCTATCATTGATGGACATTTGGGTTGGTTCCAAGTCTTTGCTATTGTGAATAGTGCTGCAATAAGTCTATGTGTGCATGTGTCTTTATAGCAGCATGATTTATAATCCTTTGGGTATATACCCAGTAATGGGATGAGTGGGTCAAATGGTATTTCTAGTTCTAGATCCTTCAGGAATTGCCACACTGTCTTCCACAATGGTTGAACTAGTTTACGGTCCCACCAACAGTGTATAAGTGTTCCTATTTCTCCACATCCTCTCCAGCACCTGTTGTTTCCTGACTTTTTAATGATCGCCATTCTAACTACTGCACTCCCTTCTCCCCAAGTCTAAAAGCTTTAATTACGCTATATGTCTGGGTACTATAAACACTGCTAACCCAGATGCCCCAACTCTCCTCACTCATATTTCAAACCAGCAGCCAGAGGCTGATTTTGACTATGTACATTTCTGTCATCTCAACTCTCCCCTCATAGCCATTTTTTCTCAATGTAAACATATTTATGATACCCAATAAGTACTGAACACCTACTTGCTACATGTCTGTCTTAACAGAAGCACTTCCAGAAGAATTCATACAGTAACAGATGCAAGGTGGTAGAGAGCAGATTAGGAAAAAATCTAGCTTCTATTCCAGGCGCTGATTTTTTCGGGTTAAGCCATGCAAGCCTCAGGCCCTCTGTTTCTACCTCTGCTGGGAGAGATAGGGCTGAATTACTTTATTTTTTTTTTTTTTTGAGACAGAGTCTTGCTCTGTCGTCCAGGCTGTAGTGCAGTGGCGTGATCTTGACTCACTGCAACCTCTGCCGCCCAGGTTCAAGCGATTCTCCTGCCTCAGCCTCCCGAGTAGCTGGGATTACAGGTGCATACCATCACGCTCGGCTAATTTTTGTATTTTTAGTAGAGACGGAGTTTCCCCATGTTGGCCAGGATGGTCTCGATCTCTTGACCTTGTGATCTGCCTGCCTCGGCCTCCCAAAGTGCTGGGATAACAGGCGTGAGCCACTGCGCCTGGCCTACTTAGTTTTATTCAAACTAAGTCATGAAATCCTTTAGCAATTGTAACCAACTTTTTAATTAATAGAATAAAAAGAGTACACTACACCTATTAAAGACGTTTTCTGAAACTTTTGTTTCAGGTAAATATTTTATATAGCAGTTGTAGGGTAAAATGTCTTTCTTATTGAGTGTCACAGTTAAGAGTTTGAAAGCCACTGATGTAGATAATCTCTCAAAATCCTATATAGTTTGAATTCTTACAGATTCATTTGTTCCAAAATTATTTTAAGACCAGTAATCACAAAGTATGAAATCACAACTTAATATGGAAAGTTTTATCAAAGCTAAAATTTATTTGGTGCATACTCCTCTTGATATCAGGTATGTTCGCATATACCTTTTTCTTTCATGTGTAAAAACAACCATGTGAGGTATTTTACAGGTCAAAAGAAAACAAAAACTACTTCCTTATTCAGTGTAAAGGAGGCTTATAAGCATTCCAAAATAAAAACAAACAAAAACCAGACAAGTACATAGTCTATTTCCATTTCCTTTTATACATCCTCTCTATATATCACACATTTAGCAATAGGAGAATAGAGAACTAATTCAAATGCAAGGGAATCTTTTTTGTAGATTCTGTTGACAGATGCTCTTTAACCTAAACATTTTCTACTCTAAACATAACGGACTTAATTGTCTTCAGTACGTGAAATAATTTTAAGGTGATCTAGTACTTTGAAAATTTCATTCACTTAAGAACACTTAAGCTGAAAAATAGCACTATTTTTCAGAGGCAATTTCTCAACAGAAAAAGGCAATGGTAACAGTTCAATTGATGGAAATGGTTGAAATAAAATACCTGAAGTAGAAAAAAGGTGTAGGAACAATTTTGTAAAAACATAGCACCATTACCTCAACGAATGAACAAATTTTACATACTGTATTTTTTTCAAATGACTTATTTTCATATTTAGTAGTTCAAGTTCTATAAGCTGTTATATTAAGCTTTCTTTCTGTTTAAGAGTTCAACACTAACATCATGTTATTTTACAAAATAAAAAACAATTTCTCAATAAACAGTGACTACTAAATTGTTACAAAGAAAAATTCTTCAATACTTATTTTATTCCATATGTAGGCTTTTTCCCAAAAGACATATTAATATTGCATTACAAACAGGACAGCTAATCTGGTCAAGTTGTGAATATATTTGACAAAAACATTTGATCTTCCTACTGTTTTTCATTTATTGGATGCATTTCTTTAGCAATTCTGTTAGTCCTTTTTCTAAAATCAAGTTAACCAAGTACAGCCCATACAGAAATCAGATGTGAAAGCTGACTTCTATTTTTTAAAGTACCCTCTTAACTGAATGCTGCCAGCAATAATATAATTAAATTACATTTTGTAATCAAGTGCTGTGTATTACATATATTGTGTATATATTTTCAATGAATATTCATATAAAATGAATAAACAATACCAGCATACTAAACTTAATATGGTTTATTTTAAATGATTGCTGGTTCCAGATAATTAAAAACCATCAACTCTATGGCAGCAACTATAATACATATATAGTTCGTTGAAAGATGGTTTTAAAGTTTTATGAGTGGAATATTATTTTTTAAAATACAAATGACATTTATAGCATAAGGCTCTGTGGTTGAATAATCAGCAAATTAAAGAAAAATATCAGAGAAAGGTTTTGAAAAATAAAGCATGTTTCCTGTTAAGAGAATTGATTCTTTCCTTCCTAAAAATGGCTAATAGAAATTAAAATATTTAAACAAAAGGTTCCTAAAATTCCTAGAAAAAAATTGAACTTCAGTAGCAGTAATTAATGAGGTCAGACTATCATGGCAAGCTGAAAATCTGTTGGTGGTCAGAAGATACAACTGCTCAATTTTTACAGAAGTAAAGTTTATTACATTTGAAACAATACAGCAGAAACCTCAAAAGTTTACTCATAAATATAGTTTAATTCTTACAAATCTTCTTTTGAAAATGCAATTCATATATGCTGCAACCTCAGAAGTTTGAATTTGAAATGAAATATGAAGGTAGTAGTCAGGGAAGTCACATCAGAGTGCCTTGTCAAATATCCAAACAAATCAGCACATACCTCTTCCTTGATACAGGAGGAAAAAAGTGATTCTAAATATATCCAAGTGAATGCAGAAAAATACATTACTATTTGAGGCAGACCATGCTAAAATATAATTTACAATGATTAGTTTGCACTTAAGATGGTTAATAACGCATTTAAACCAATGAAATGAAGGTTAAGTTGAATTTTGTAGTATTTGCTCAGTCTCTGTACTAAACAATAGTTCATCTGAAAAGTTTGGAAAAAGCAAATAACCTGATACTTCTCTTTATGCTTATCATTTTCTCACTGTCAT
The DNA here is from genome assembly GCF_000001405.40 of Homo sapiens. Lineage (NCBI taxonomy): Eukaryota > Metazoa > Chordata > Mammalia > Primates > Hominidae > Homo > Homo sapiens. Next base: position 100,339,640 of record NC_000012.12, on the reverse strand, counting down.
CTTAAATGCAAACAAATCAATACAGCATCAAGATTTTTTACATATTAAAATGAAGACTAATGACTCATAGACTGTGTACCATATAGTACTTAATAGATGAGCTTGCAATGACCATCACCTCAATTTTTTAAATAACACCAAGATCCACAAGCCAAAATAAACATTTGATTAAAAAGTTATGTTATTCAAGATAACTCAGTTTCCTTTTTCTCTTTGAGATTGGGAAGGGCTGGGTCTTTAAAAACCTGAAGAGGAGTTGGTAAGAGGAAAAAATCCTCAATGCTTTAAAAAACTCAACTGGTTAGAAGTCCATACAACTACTATGCTGGCATGGACAGAGATGTTTCCTGTCACAGAACTGTTCACTTTCCCATAGAAGTACTTCCTCCAAGCCAACTATATAAAGATGTAAATCAGCTCACCCATGATTGAAACTGAAATAATCCTTCAAAATAGAAGTAAGACACCTCACCCAAAAAGATCTTTTAAATCATTGCTAGCTGAACTGCTATTGGTCATAGTAGTTGGTGGCTGTGCAAAGTTCTGTGGGTTAAAGAAAGGATTACCCTGCATACCAAAAGCAGATTGTCCTATCACGTTCATCTGTGTCCCCATTACTGAACTGCCCATAGTTGGAGAACCTTGAGGAGGTACAAACTGATTAAGCCACTGATTTGGTTTCTGTTGTGATAACTGGTTCATGCTAACTTTGGGTTTCTGAGGGCCAAAGAGATTATTAAGGGCAGACATATCTGTGGGTCTTTGTTGGGTCTGCTTTGCACCAGCAGGAGGAACACTCAAAGCATTGAAGTTTGGCAAAGTGGGAGGTGTTCCCAGAGTCATCTTGGTCACTCCAACTGTGCTTGGACTACTGTAGAAGTTCTGGTTTGTATTAACGGGCATGTTGAATCCTGAAGTCTGAAAGCCCATATTGGCATTTAGGCCATTTGTCAAATTTCTCTTTGTATTATCAGTTGGTGTAGAAAACATCATACCAATGCCCATGGAAGGAACAGAAGTGAAAGTACTTGAAGCAGAAGATTTAGGGGTACTAACAGAAAGGCTGGTCAAGGATGACATATTATCCATCAGTGTGTCTGTCAAGTCCTTAGTCTGAAAAATATGAGAGAATTACTTTATCTCTAAGAAATATAAATTACTTTATAATTAGTAAACATTTGACAGATTAAATTATAAAGGACAAGTTAGAATTAAGCTCAATGGTCTACACCAAATTAGCAAACTATAGCCTGCCGGTCAAATACAGCCTGCCACCTATTTTTATATAGTTTTTACAGATGAATATTTGCAATCGATTTGATGATAGGGAACACTAACTGTAAACTCCAATTAAGCAAAATATTATCTTGTCAAAAAAAGAATCGCATTCTTCTTATTCTATATTACAAAAAATACAGTAATTTTTTACTATTATTTGTATAGTTTGAATTTCATCAAAACTTTATAGGAATTTGTTTCCTCTATTCTTAAAAAAGTACCTACAAAATATTCTCAGTTTTGCCTCTTGGCCCACAAAGGTTTTTCTCAGAGAAAATGTTAGTGATTAAGAGGTAACAAAAAAATAGTTTAAAGAAAGCTTTTAAGATAAAGCTATCTCTGAAACCAGTAACAGTGTAAACTCTCTACAAGCAGGGCCCTTATTCACTGCCATAGCACCAATACCTGGAACAGTGCCTGGAACACAGGAGAAAACAAATACTAGCCAGGTCATGTAGGTACATCTTAAATCAAGTTACAAATCTAACTATAATTGAAAAGTCAAACACAGAAAATAACTTCAGCTCAAAAATATGTTAAGAGCATGAATATAATATTCTGATCATTTCAGAGTGAACAGAGTTGAATGAGTACTATGAGTCCTAATCTCTTTTAAGAACCCTTCCTATTCTTCTAGCTTCTTTTTTACTGGTAACAAGCATTGTCACAAAACATTATACATTAGGCAGGTTATAGCTGAGTTGGAAAATCATTTATGCCCATACTTCTTAGAAACCACATATTAAGGTATTATTTGAGATATATTTTTATACAAATACTAGTAGACTAAGTTCTATACCACCTTACTCCTTAACAGTCGTATTCTGGAAATTACACAAAAGAAATGAACTCTGACCTGTTTAACAGTAGCAACAGGTGTGTGCACTTGGGGTTTAAGAGGCTGCTGGCTTTTCAGCTTCTGTGCCTGCTCTTGTTCTTTTGCTAATTTTTGTTTTTCTTCAAGTGTAAGTGATGCCTTAAAACAAAATAAAGCAAAAAATCAACCGGCAATTTATTAAGTCCATTTGTAAAACAAAAGATAATCTCTTCGGGTAAAGTACATCTTACTACTTCACTGAAAAGCAAACTACTCTTGTCTTGGTGATTGTCACAGTAAGCTGTATTTCAAATTACTATATAATTTAACTTTAGATAAAAACTCACAGGATCTGTGCAAAAGTATTTCCAGCATGAAAATAATAATTATTTTAAAACCATTCATTAGAATCACTTTTTTCCAGACAATGACAATAAGATTTAGTGATTTCATTCTTGAAAATTGGGAAATCTATTTAAACTCTAATCTATCTCACCCCAAGAATATTTTAGGAACTCACAAAAAGCAAAGAATGAATGAAACAACATTAGCAGTTCTTTCACTGCTGATGTCTACAGCAAATTTGATGTCTTGTCTTTTATCAACTTTGCTAAACTAAAAGCTCACAATGTTCTCTTACAATTTTGTAAACTACTATGTCCAGTAGTCCCTTAGCTTTACACATACAGTATTCACATTTATGAATGAATAGAAGAATGCCCTCAGCAGAAGTCACAAACTGACTTAAAGTTTTTTTATTGGATGCTAACCAAGAGAAAAGTATCCTATTATAGTTTCATATTCAAAATCAGAGGGGGAGCAAAATTTTAGCAAGAAATAGAGAAGAAAAAAATGTGCTCAGATTTTTTATCTACTTATGAGATGGAATCAGATCTATTTTGAAAATCCTCTTTAAAATATTGTTGGTCTGCCATTAATAAGTCATGTATACATCATGTACCCCTGCTGGAATAAACCAAGAAGGGTACATCATCACTTCTGTAGTATGCCTGCCAAAAATGTACAACTTTAATCCAATTATGAGAAAACATGAGACAAACTCAAATTGATGGCCATGCTACCAAATAACTGACCAGTACTCTGTGAAAGTGTCAAAGTGAAAATCTGATGGACTATAAAAGTTGACACCATGAAATGACAGAAGATGAGGTTGCTAGGCTCAAAAAGAATGGAAGGAGTTTGGAACTCAAACTGTTGGGAATGTAGTGAGTGGGAGAGAAATTAAAATACTGAAGAGCAACAATCAGAGACAGCCTAGGATAGCTGGACAGCACAAATCTATAGTAGAATCCATCAACACAGGAGCAGAAGCAAAGAGAGACAGTGGGATTCACCAAGGGGTGTGACTGGCAAAGTACAAGAGAAAGGACAAAGGAGTCAAGGAGTCTATAAATATTACCTTGTGGCAAGTCAAGTAATAATGGAAGCTAAAAATCTTAAGTATGTTTATTCTCAAAATGGGTTAGGGTCATGTTTAACTGATAAAGGAATTTCAGAAAGATAATTACAAATGTTTCTTGTTAAGCTGCTGAACAGTATTTCCCAACAAAAATCTGTGGTTTACAGGAAGTCCTACAGCATAAAATAAGAGGGCTGAAAGAACAGTAAGGAAACTCACTCTTTTATGTTTATTCTGTAACCCGTCCTCTTTATTTTCGGACTCACTGCCAGTCAGAAGGTCTGCTCCAATGTTGTTAAAAACTTTGTCAATTTGCTGAAATAGAAAAATGTCAATAATTTAAATAAGTTCAATAAAAATGTGATTTTGCTGCTTAAAGATTAAAAGCCCTCCAGATGAAGCATACTTTCTGCAAAAATTAAGCTGCTTCTTACCTGATTCCCAATATTTGTAACTTTCATCTCCTCAGAAACATTCATTTGATTTCCTATATCCAAAGATCTGTAGGAGAGTTGAATTATGATAAAACAATAAAAAGAAATGCATATTTTTAAATACTCATGCCAAAAATTATTTATTCACATGGAATTTATTAGACCCCAATTAAACTCTTTAAGAAGAGTCATCTTTTCCATTATTTTCTACTGTTAATGTCTGCTTGCCCCAAAAATAACATTTGTATGTAAGTCCATTTCTTAAACTCAACATTGGGGATTTACTGGAGAATTTATTCAAGGTGTCATAAAACCAGTCAAGCATGGTTCTCTTGTCAAAGAGCTTAACATCTCACTCAAAGACAAGATATAATATGGGGAATTCAATGTGATTAAGTTCTGAGTCTGTGATACTAACAATGAATGCTATAATCACTGTTATGTGAGCCAGATCTATGTCCTGAGAAATAGGTAAGATTTAGATAGGAGGAAGAAAAAGGAAGGGTTCATTTGCCAACTCAAATATAAATACTTGTTATTAAAAATTTATTTCTACCTATAATGCATTTTAAAAATTATTTCTCCAGATTTTTATGTTAACATAGTCAATCCATCAAACACCACATACATACACACTATAGAATACTTCAAGCATACAAAGGGCTATTTCACCTATTTCTATACCATGTGTATTTACTTTAAGTCTTCATCTTGTGGGCAGAAGCTAAAGAGTTTCTACTTGGGGACCTTGTTCATGATTTATATCAATTTTACTGATTTTTAGATGTTTTTTGGTTCAGGATCAAACTTTAATAGGTATCCTAGATTCATGTGTTTTACTCTGGAGCAAAGAATATAGTGGGGCTTCGATTTTAATAAACTAGATTCAACAGTCAACGATTTCCATCTTTGCCTTCTTTGAATACTAGTTTTCTGCAAATAATTTAGAAAATCCTCCCTAAAAATAAAACCAGGTGAATGTTGTGATGCTAAATATGAAATGAATGCTCTCTAAATGTTTGTGGGGCTGGAGAAGAGAGAATGAAAAAAAAATCAAAACACTAGAAGTTCATAAATTTAAAAAATTTTCCTAATTGGTGCTTTTAGTTTTCAGCAACCTGAGTTTACAATGCTAGTGGCTACTGCTGACAAGAAATTTTTCAGAAACAGAATTTTCTTTATGTAGATAAAATGCTAAAATTATACCATATTACACTTTTGTACTCAGAAGTGACACTAGATTTTTCAACCACATTCTATTTTAATTCAGTTCAACTTATTAACATGATGGTAAATTTTGAAATGTTTTACATGTGGTCAAATTTAAATCCAGCAAGTTTTCTATTCCATATTCCAGAAAATCAATCATAAGACAACTATAATTTCACTCCCGGACCACATATAATTCATGTGCAACCTACTTACTTCTGCTGTTCTTGCATTATATGAAGTTGCTCCAGTTTAGTCTTATGTTCAGACTCCAATCTATTAAGCATTTCTTTTATGACGGAAATGAAAGAATTGAACTGGTATAATGAGAAATTGATATGGTTACAATGTTTCAAGTTAGCAGCAAATGTAATCAATTAAGATAATTCAGTAAATTAATCATAATATTCTCCATTTTTACCAGTAGAATAGGATCCAGTCACAGCGCTGATATTCAATAAGAATGATACATTTAAATTCGGCATATCATAGCAAGCTTTTATAATATCTTTGGTGATGATATGATAGTTGATGAGGCTTTTAAGTTCCAGAAAACATGTCTCAATAATGAGTTTTACTCCCGGAGTTGTTTAATAGCTATTATTCAGGGGCCTTGTATAAATTCACCCTTAGCAGTTATATATTGATCTTCTTGGGATAATTCAAAATTAACCATCTGAATTTGTGCCTTCTAGAAATAATCCATTTAATAGGCATAGAAAATTCCTGCTTATTCAGATTGCAATGACATATCTGGCTAAAATAAATCCTGTTTTCTGACAGTTGAAAAATTAAATGTACATAATCCAACTTTCAAATAATTAGATTTCATAAAGCATACCTAGCACTATGTCTTAACATAGTTTAAGCTTTGGTTAATTTTGGTCAACTGCTGATCATTCATCCCTATGGTACTTCATTCAGGATCATCATAAACAACTTATTTGAATAACACCACGTTACAGGAAGAATCTAGAAATGGCTCTCCTCCTTTCCCCAAATTTTATAACTACATTTTTGTGTTGAGTGTTTATACATACACTATTTTATTAATCCTCACAACTCTTCAAAGTAGGTTCATTAATATTTCTAATCTACAAATGAGGAAACTCAGGCTCAATGAGAGGTAAAGGAACTCAGAGATGCTAGAGAGCTCATATGGCAGAGCTAGAATTCATTCTAAGCCTGTCTCCAAAGTCTGCACCCTTTTCTACTACGTTATACTGCTTTTCACCATGCTCTATCAGCAGCAGCTTCTTCATCTTATGAGAAAGTCAAAAGGCATGTTTCCAAAGCAGTTTACTATGATTGACTTTCCACTGATTAGGGTTCCTAAAACTTTTTATTGAAGTATACTAACACAAAAGTCTACATGTCAAAGTGCACAGACAAAAAAAAAAAAAATTCACAATTCACACAAATTGAACACACCCAATGTAACTAGTAGCCAGATAAAGAAACAACATCGGTCCAGGCATGTGGCTCACACCTGTAGTCCCAGCACTTTGGGAAGCCAAGACAGGAAGATCATTTGAGCCTAGGAGTTTGAGACCAGCCTGGGCAACGTGGAGAGACCACATCTCTACAAAAAAATACAAAAATTAGCCAGGAGTGGTGGTACATGCCTGTAGTCCTAGCTACTTGGGAGGCTGAGGTGGGAGGATCACTTGGGCCCAGGAGGTCAACGCTGCAGTGAGCTGAGATTGTGCCACTGCACTCCAGCCTGGGAGACAGAGTGAGACCCTGTCTCAAAAAAAAAAAAAACAAAAATAAAAACAAAAACAAAGCAAAATCATTGTCAACATCCCAGAAGCTTCCTTATACCCCCTTCCAGTCATTTTCCACCCTCATACTCTTTGGGTAAACTTTATTCTGACTTCTAGCAGCATAGTTTAGACTATTGTACTTTATATAAATGGATCATTCAGCAGATCCTCTTCTATGCCTGGCTTCATTCACTCAACATGTTTGTGAGATTCATCCGTATTGTTAAATGTAGTTTGTGCAGAAAACAGTTAACATTGTAGGCCTAAACTGCTATCCTCGAAAACTCCTGCTTGCAAAATTGGCCTTTAGCTGATGTCTGGGAACTCAGATTTCAGAAAGGTTCCTATTATTAACTGGTAACAGTGGTTTACTTGCCTAAACTGTTTGTACAAAGAATATGTTCTATGCTGTACACCTGCCTTCCTTCTGGGAGTTTGGAATTTGAGTACATGCCAGGCAGAGGGTGTTACTTGATCAGACCTCATTGAAAACTCTGGACACTGAGTCTCTAATAAGTTTCCCTGGTTGGCAACATTTCACATGTATAACCACAATTCATTACAAGGGGAATCCTGCGTGATTTCACTGGGAAAAGACTCTAGAAGCTTGTGCCTGGTTTCCCTAGACTTTGTCCTATGAACCTTTTCCCTTTCCTGATTTTGCTTTATATCTTTTCACCATAGTAGAGCACAGCCTGGGCATAACTATATGCTGAGTCCTGAGTCCTCCTACTGAATCATCCATTCTGGGGGTGGTCTTAGAAACCCCCCTCAAACACAACTGATTGATTATTCAGTGTACTGCTGCAGGGCATTTGCTGTTTTTTATTCAAATGCTGAAAATGTATTTTCCTAAGTTACTTATCTTTGTCACTTAATGTATAATAGATTTAAATCATCTTAAATCAGAAAGGAACTAAGAAGGCAGTCTTAAATGAGAAACACTGACCATGAAACAAATGGGAAGGCAGACCACATCCATGCTAAACTACTGTAAAATACAAGAAGATATGAATCAAAATATTTGTTGATGAAAATAGCCACTCCCCCCACCCCAAAAAAAACCCACTAAGCTGAAGTAAATTAACACAACATTTCAAACAGAATTAGAGACAGGGTCTTGCTTTGTCATCCAGGCTGGAGTGCAGTGGTGCAATCTCAAATCACTGCAACCTTCACCTCCCAGGCTCAAGCAATCCTCCTACCTCAGCTCCCTCTGGTAGCTGGGACTACAGGCGCACACCACCACACCTGGCTAATTTTTGTATTTTTGTAGAGAAGGGGTTTCACCATGTTGCCCAGGCTGGTCTCAAACTCCTGAGCTCAAGTGATCCACCTACCCTTCCCTCCCAAAGTGCTGGGATGACAGGAGTGAGCCTATATATCCTAAAATAAGCATTTGGGAATATTTAAAAACTCTAAATCAGAAACATGAGAACTAAGAACAGAAATGACAAAAAGCTGAAGGCTGTTTTAGGCATATTATCCTATTCCTCCCCAATACTCACTGTCTCCCTTCTTGCCCACCCTAACCTCAACTCTGCTATCCAAGATATGAAGAAATTACCAAACCAAAAATTAAAATCTAGGGGGCCAGGCATGGTGGCTCATGCCTGTAATCCCAGCACTTTGGGAGGCCGAGGCAAGCAGATCACTTGAGATCGGAGTCTGAGACCATCCTGGAACATGGTGAAAACCTGTCTCTGCTAAAACTACAAAAATTAGCCAGGCATGGTGCCTCATGCCTGTAATCCCAGGTATTCAGGAGGCTGAGGCATGAGAATTGCTTGAACCAAGAAGGCGGAGGTTGCAGTGAGATGAGATTGCTCCACTGCACTCCAGTCTGAGTGACAGGGCGAGACTCCATCTCAAAAAAAAAAAAAAAAGAAAAAAAATTAAAACCTAGGAACAAATTTTCAGAGGCTTACCCTATTACTTCAAATGAAATGTTCATTCTGATTAGTTTTATAAATTTCTCTACCTCCAAAACTCTGCTCACTCAGCACTCTCCCCAATGCCAAACGCTCTCAACTTCCAGCTTTCTGCTTCCCTCATTGCTGTAATTCACTCTCAGTTCTAAATCCTCCCTGCCTATCCATCTCTGATGCTCTCAGTTAAACAGTAACCCAACTCAGTCTTTTCCATTATATTTCATTAAATACTAGTTCTGTTGTGAACAAAAATGACTCGTCTCTATATCTCAATTTTCTCTCAATTCAATTAATATTTTTGCTTCTGTCATTGCACTAAGTGCTGGGGCTATAATGAAGAATAAGCTCTAATAACCAGTCTTTGAGGAGTTTCTAATCTTCAGGAAGAATCAGTCACATAAGAACACAGCTGTGACAAACAGCGATAGAGGTATGCAGAGAGACAATTCCATAATAATCTTTGGACACATTATTCCTTTACTCAAACATTTACCACACCTTGAAAGTTCAAATACCTAAACCAGACAGGCATTTAAAGTCTACCTATTCTAGTCTCAATTTATCTTTCTCCCATTATTCTCCTACTGTATTATATATATCTGCCAATCAAATTGAATTATTCCTTCCCAGTGATATATAGACTCTTAAAATGGTTCCCAATTATCTCCTCCTCCTGCCATTCATGCCCTTGTGGAATCCCCTATCTTTGAGTGTGGGCTGAACCTGTGACTTGTTTCTAAAGCAACAGACTATGGCACAGGTGATGGGGTATCACTTCCTTGATTACAAGGGACTATAATTTCAGTCTTGCTAGCAGACTCTCTTTTGCAGGCTTTGATGAAACAAGTTGCCATGTTGGAAAGTCCCATGTGGCTAGGAACTGACAGTGGCATCCAGCTAATAGCTAAGAATGGAGGCCCTAAGTACAACAGCCCAAAAGCAACTGAATCTTGCCAACAACCACGTAAGTGCGCTTAGAAGTAGATCACTCCATAGCTGGGCCTTGAACGAGCCCCAAGTCCTTTACTACAGCACTGTGAGAAACCCTGAGCAGGGAATCCAGCTAAGCCATGTTCTGGCCTGACCCACAGAAGCTGTGAGATAATAAATGTGTGTTGCTTTAAACCCTTAAGTTTGTGGTGATTTGTTCTGTAGCAATCAATAAATAATGAATATACTCCCCAAACACATTCTATAACTTTGTTCTTCATTCATGTCAATTTCCCAGCCCCAAATTTAAAGTAGTCCCAAATCCTACATATTTCTCAACATCCTGCTCATTTACTATTTACCAATGACGTCTTTAACAATCTATCCTTCCACCCACAAACTTTCTTCATTTAGTTCTGTGGCATATTCTCCCCTCACCCTTTTTTTTTTAACCAATCTTTGTAATATATTTATATATCTAATGCCAAGAAAAAAGTAAGCTGAATAAAATGAATAAAGCACAAAAATACTCCTACCTGATTAAGATTAAGATTGTTTTCAATACTCAGGGGAATAAGATGAGGCAACACTTTTCCGGCCAGCTGCTCTTTGGTGATTCCCAACTTCTTATGAGTAAAAGTACATTTGTAAATACCTGATAGAAAAGAATGTGACAAATTTTATAAGTTAACACCATAAATTCATAGAAATCATGAAAATAATATATGTATACGAAATCCCTTGATAATCTGTGTAGTACAAGTTTTTCCCAATCAATGCCTAGAATAATGATGTTCTTACATATGAATCAGAATGATTTCAGCCTTTATCATCAGGCCAGATTTAAACACCATGACATATTTATCCTGTGTTCTTTTGGTTTAGGAGTACATTTAATGATAGCATAACATAAGAAGCTTATCAGAACCAGGTTCAATTCTTATTGTGCAGCAGTAAGGTTACAGAATGGCCTTCTATTCTGAAACATCTAAATATATATTTCAGAAATCATACTCAAGGCATCTATTTCAAAGGGTATAGTATAGGTACAGTCAAAATATAAGTCCTACACCTTTATTCACTTCTTCAGCAAATCAAACTCAACATGTTTGAAATTTAATAACTGAATTCAATTCCACAAAATCCTTCCCTATTGTCTCACCTATTTACTCAATCTTCAAGACCCCACTTGTTACATCTATCCACAAAGCCTTCATTTGGTAAACTGAGTACATTTCCGCCTCATTCTCTGAATGCTTTTGAGTTCTAAGTGTTTTGTATATAATCCAAAGCTTTGTGAAATACCATCCCCCATTATTCTGTTAATGTGCACATGACTTATATACCCAAAGAGTAACTTTATTGGGCACCTACTAAATGCTTATTTGCTGAGCACTATGCTTGTTACTTTCCCTTTGTTTCAGTGAAGTCTCACAAGAATCCTAAAATGACGTTAGTCTCATCCTCATTGGATAAATAAACTTTTCAAAGTCACCTCAAGAACTGACAGAGCCAGGATTAGAGCCAGGGCTCAAATTTCTACTATGCCAAACTCCTGCTCAAAAAGACTTTTTTTTTAAGACAGGGTCTTGCCCTGTTGCTCATGCTGGAATGCAGTGACACGATCATGGGTCCCTGCAGCCTCAACCTCCCTGGTTCATGTGATTCTCCCACCTCAGACTCCCAAGTAGCTGGGACTACAGGCGCATGCTACCACACCTGGCTAATTATTGTATTTCTAGTAGAGATGGGGTTTTGCCATGTTGCTCAGGCTGGTCCTGAACTCCTGGGCTCAAGTGATCTACCCACCTTGGCCTCCCAAAGTGCTGGGAATACAGGTGTCAGCCACTGCATCCAGCCAAGAAGACAAACTTCTTTCTGCACAAAAGATTCATGCGATATCCCTAGAGTACCTTCCATGTCTATAGAGGTCCACAATAAATACTTGCTAACCATTCCCACAAATATTTACTGAGCAGTTTCTGCAGGCCAAGCACTACATTAGGTGTTAAGAATACATGGATGAATAATATAATTTTTCTTAAAAATTAACAAAGAACCAGGCGGTAATCCCAGCACTTTGGGAGGCCGAGGCAGGTGGATCACAAGGTCAGGAGTTCAAGACCAGCCTGGCCAAGATGATGAAACCCTGTCTCTACAAAAAATACAAAAAAATTAGCCATGCGTGGTGGCAGGTGCCTGTAATCCCAGCTACTCAGGAGGCTGAGGCAGAGAATTGCTTGAACTCGGGAGGCGGAGGTTGCAGTGAGCTGAGATGGCACCGCTGCACTCCATCCTGGGTGACAGAATGAGACTCCATCTCAAAAAAAAAAAAAATTAGCAAACAACCTTAAATTAAATAAAAAATGAACCTGTTAAATGTTTTTGTGACTCTATAGCTATGCCTATTTTATTAGTGCAGCAGACCCCTGGCATTTTCAGATTGGACTTCTATAACTTTAACTATATATAAATGATTTCAGAGTTTCTTAGTAATTTGTAATTATGCTGAGAGAACAGAATGTCCTATAAGGTTAACATGCTTCATCAGCATATCACTTAGCCACAAAATATACTAATTAAGACTTAAACATATTAGAAAACCAGCTCCTATCACTTACCACTTATATGATCTTGAATCACTTATTTTACCTCTCTGAGCCTCAGTTTCCTTATAAAATAGAAACAATAGTACCTATTTAATTGAATTTGGGGAAGAATAAAATAACATAACGCAGAGAAAATACTTTGCCTCTTACAAATTGAGTATCAAATAAACCTCAGATATTACTACTAAGACCAGTATCAGCATTTCCAGTAGCTTTGTTTGCCTCTCTCACTTTGTACCATTTTATGGGGAAAACTACATGCTATCATGATATTCGTAAAGCTAGAATTCTTAAATATCTTATTCCTTTATAAATGTCAAGATTCTACTGCTTTTGCTAAACTTAAAGAGAAAAGTTATATTATGGTATTTATCACATCATTCTTCAATTATGAAATGCTATATACACGAAAGGAGAGTATAATTGTTTTATAGATTGGAAAATTTATTTGCATGATAAAATAGCATCAAATGACATTAAATTTTCAGCTACCTAAAATTCCCATGAGGACCGCAGGTTCCTTGGATGGAATTTGTTGTAAGAAGGGTAGGATATCATCAAGTACAAACCACTTATCCAAGTATTCCAAAATCTTTCCTAAGCACACTAATGAATTTACACGAACCTATTAAAAGAGGTAAATTGCATTAGTCATTAAAAGTTTTCAAAATCTAGAACAAAATATTTAAGTGTAAACTTAATCTTCATATAAATATGTTAAAGTCTCAAGAATAAATGTAGATTTAGAAGCTCTCATCCTTTATCAACATAGGAAATTCACTTATTTACTAATTTTCCTGGCTTGTTTCACAAAGAATTTATGATTGCTTCACCAGGTCACTAGTGAGCTAAAGTCAAGGAATGACTACAATCTTGTAGCATTTTAAAGTGATTAGAATTTGAGAAACTTTTACTACATTATGTGTTACTATCATAAGAACACTCCTTTGGGGACATTTGAATAATAAAAAGGACTACATTCTTTGCACCAAGTGATCATTTTCACCCACATTCCAGTATTTTACTCTAACTTGGGTTCAATTCATTTTTAAACTAAATATTTTAACATGTGAAGGTATCCATATATGTGTTTTCTATTTCCAAATATACAGTTATTAAGACCTCTTATTTAGAAGCTTTTATCAAAATTCCATATGCACTTGACTATTTGATAAATACATCATACCCTACTTCTATTTGGAATTTCTTAAGATAGAATATCTTTAAGTCAGGACTATAGTATTAATAAAACTCCAGTTTTCAAAAAACAGTAAACCAACAAAGGCAGAAAATAATTTTGTTGGCTAATAAAGCACCATAGTTCTACAGGAAAAATGGGGAAAAATTTCCATTTCTAAAAAACAATGTACAATTGTTTTCTGAAATTAAAACACAAGAGATATTATAAATTCAAAAAGGTATCTGAACGCTTAACTTGTACTCATAATTCGTTTTATAAAAGGAACAGCTGCATTCTACTGAGATATATATATATTTTAAGCAAAACCGAGAATACTAATTTTATTTACTTTTAGGATATATAAAATATTAGTCATGTAAGTAATGAATAAATATAGCTCTTGGAGGATTTTACCTAACTCTGTGTAGAATTTTTAAAAATTTTATTTTCAGGGAAGAGTATTAAGACACAATACTAACTCACGACTCAGGAATTTCCTAGTCAGAATTTTAAACTTTTAGAGATAGAGGACTATGAATACAATTTGGGAATTCCTATTTGCCACTCTGAAGGTAGGCAGAAGCACTGAAAGTACTATCTAAAATCCACTTAAAAGGTGACATATAAAATGTAAATCCATTCCTAGTTACTGTTCTAAATATAAATACATTCATTATAACTTCTTGTAAACAACATGCCTTAACGGCCAGTTGGCATCTTAAAAAGAAACATACATATAACTGGGCAGCAATTCACATCATTTAAGTATCCATGTTTCCCATTTCTACATACCCCTACATATGCTCAGAACTGAACTAGAACAGGTACTCGCTTTGCTTTGGTTTTGGATTTTTTTTGGGCGGGGTGGGGAGCGGCGGGGGCTTGCTCTGTCACCTAGACTGGAAGGAGCAGCACAATCACAACTCACTGCAGCCTCGACCTCTTGGTCTCAAGTGATGCTCCCACCATGCCACCACATCCAGCTAAATTTTTTTATTTTTAGTAGAGACGAGGTCTCGCTGTGTTGCTCATGCTCGTCTTGAACTCAGTGCTCGAGATCCACTCGCCTCAGCCTCCCAAAGTGTTGGGATTAAAGGTGTGAGCCACCATGCCCGGCCTACAACATGTACTTTGAGAAAATGTATGTTAATATAAATTTATGCTGCCATAAAATAAGGTACATAGTATGATTGTAAGATCTTTAAAAGGGCATTTTGAAAACTAAATTTTAAGCTGTATATTACTACCATCTATTTTAAAAATTCAATTGTAAAATTGAGAATTTTAGAGAAAACAGCTACTTTTAATGATAGTGAAGACTCAGAGAGGCACAGTGACTTTTCAAGGTCACAGGGGTTGTTAGTAACAAAGTGAGAATAAGAACTAAAACTTGACTTTATTTCATTTCATACTTGTTTGTTTCAGTAATGATTTCTTTTTCTACTTTGGTGTTACATTTTCCATTTCAAAGCCTTTCAACCAAGAAATGAACTAAAATAGATTCAATGGCTATAAGATAAAATCATATCATTCAAATTACTTTTGCTTATAATTTTATTAAGCTGTTTATTTTTATTTAAATTCACATTCCACCAGATAAAGACGGGATCTCCAGAGAACTAGTTTTACAAAATGCAAATTTAATAATATGTCCGTTATCAAAAATCAATATCAAGAACTGGTCAGGCAAAAGAGAACATTTCTCCCTCTTTAAAGCTGCTATTTTGAAGACAGCATTCAATATTACTTCTATAAAGAAATATAAATGTGATAAACTATTATATTTAGTGTTAGAGAAAAGGCTGGGGACATTTATTGCTTTCAATATGAGATAATGAAAACTTTGTTATTAATTCTACCTTCCTTGACTAACAAGTAACTGAATGTTAAAATTTTGTATTCAAAGAAGGTAACTATTTCCTTGGTCTACATTTTTTAGCACAACTATTTATCCTACTTGTATTCACATTAATTTATTGCTTTCTTGTACTCTACTTTTTTAAGAAGTGGGCAAGTCAGTGAGAAATAAGACATTTAGAGACCAATAACTAAAAATAAAGGCTATTTATAAAAGGAAACTTTTCAACAAGTTTTTACGCTTAGATACCAAGTTAAACTCTCATAATATTTTTAAACTAACAACAAAATAAATTCAGTTAAAGCAGAAAAGGATTAAGAAAAAAATAATCACCCAACTTTTTTACTGAAGCACTCAAAGTAAAGGGACAGCAAGTAAGGTTAGGAATGCAATATTATAAATTATGTATCAAAGAAAACTACAGCTCATTTTTATAGTACTATATACAAGTTATCTACAGCCAAGATGAAATACATCAACAATCTATAAAAGGGTTATTAAACAATAAGAAAATGATTTAAAGCACTGACAAGTGAAAAGAAAAACAAAAATTAATATGCAATTACTTACCGCAAGGGAAGATGTTTGTAGACAAGCATTTTTAATTCTTGGTATCAAAGCGTTTTTCATGGATGGGTAGTCTATAAGATTTGCAAAGGTTGGAATGATGTTTAGACAGAGCTCCTATAAAGAAAATAAACTGAATCAATATTAGGGAAAGACTCATCTTTTCTCTCTGATATTACAAAGTTTTGCATTTGCATGGCTAAACTGTCATATAGTTTGAAACAAATTTTCATATATATTATTTGGTCCTTTCAACAACTCTTTGAAAAATGAATGGTTATAATCACTTTTCAGTCTTACAGATGAGAAAAAAAGCTCAGAAGACATTACTCAAAGTCATACTAGGTCATAATAACTAGTGTATGACATCCAAACTCCCTGATCTCATTCCTAATCTCTTTCTTTGATAACACAAGTCCTCGTTTATCTTTAAATAACAACACATAAGTTTTGCTATCTCTCAGAAGAAGGGAAAATCAAGTATGAAATCATGTAAAAATACTCCTCTCAAGTAATTCTCTTAGCTGTTACATATATCCATATGATAACATACAACAGTTTTTTAAAACAACATACCGAAAGGAGTGTTTAATTTTTTTTTTTTTTTTTTTCTTGAGACAGGACCTTGCTCTGTCACCCAGGCTGGAGTGCAGTGACGCAATCATAGCTCACTGCAGCATCAACCTCCCAGTCTTGTGGGATCCTCTGGCCTCAGCCTCCTGAGTAGCTGGGACTACAGGTACACGCCATCATGCCCAGCTAATTTTTTTTTTTTTTTTTTGAGACGGAGTTTTGCTCTTGTTGCCCAGGCTGGAGTGTAGTGACATGACCTTGGCTCACAGAATCCTCCGCCTCCCGGGTTCAAGCAATTCTCCTGCCTCAGCCTATCCAGTAGTTGGGATTACAGGCACATGCCAACACACCCAGCTAATATTTTGTATTTTTAGTAGAGATGGGGTTTCACCATACTGGCCAGGCTGGTCTCAAACTCCTGACCTCAGGTGATCCACCTACCTTGGCCCATGCCCAGCTAATTTTTCAATTTTTTGTAAAGACAAGGTCTCACTATGTTTCCCAGGCTGGTCTCGAATTCCTGAGCTCAAGCAATCCTCTCACCTTGGCCTCTCAAAGTGCTAAGATTATAGGCATGAACCACTGAGACCAGCCTTAAAAGAGTGTTTAATAATTTTTAGAAGAAAATTGAGGACAGAGTATTACATAATCCCAATTCTTTTTTTTTTAGTTTTCTTTTTTTTTTTTTTTTTTTTTGAGACGGAGTCTCGCTCTGTCGCCCAGGCTGGAGTGCAGTGGCGCGATCTCGGCTCACTGCAAGCTCCGCCTCCCGGGTTCACGCCATTCTCCTGCCTCAGCCTCCCGCGTAGCTGGGACTACAGGCGCCCGCCACCACGCCCGGCTAATTTTTTGTATTTTTTAGTAGAGACGGGGTTTCACTGTGTTAGCCAGGATGGTCTCGATCTCCTGACCTCGTGATCTGCCCGCCTCGGCCTCCCAAAGTGCTGGGATTACAGGCGTGAGCCACCGCGCCCGGCCCTTTTTTTAGTTTTCTTGGGTTTTTTTTTCTTTTTTTTTTTTTTTTGGAGAGTCTTGCTCTGTCACCCAGGGTGGAGTGCAGTGGCAAATTCATAGCTCACTGTAGCATCCTGGGCTCAAGTGATCCTCCTCCCCAACTCAGCCTCCCAAGTAGCTGGCACTACAGGCATGCACTGCCATGCCTGGTTAATTTTATCATCTTTTATTTTTGGTACAGACAGGGTCTTACTATGTTGCCCAGGCAGGTCTCAAACTCCTGGCTTCAAGAGATCCTCCCACCTCAGTCTTCCAAAGTGCTCAAATTACAGGTGTGAGCTACCGCACCTAATCCCAAGTTCTAAAATGTGTAGGTACCTGTGTCTATCCATAGGTTTAGGAAAAAAGACTAGAAGGATATATATGAAAATGTTAACCATCGTCATCTGTGAGAGCGAATTTTAATTTCTTTTTTTTGTTATTTGTAAGTACTTCCAAATTCTGAAACTTAAAGCAAGCATAACTCAGAAATGGGGGAAAAAAAGATTTAAAACATTCTTGTTAACTAATGTGGTGCCATAGTAGAAATGATAACTGGCAAATTCTGGGAATAACAGGAAAACAGAGGGATGACTGGGGGCTAGGGAACTAAATGAGAAAATGAAAAGAAGAAATGGCTTGAGAACTAACTGGCTAAAGTACACACATCTCAGGCAGTTTATGAGAGATGATCCTTGTAGCAAAGCATAAGAGAAGGGATCACTGAGGAAAACGGAAGCACAAATGTGAATTAGGAAGGATACTACTGAAAATACTGGCAAACTTCAAGACATCCATTTATAGTTAGAAGACAGAAATAAATTAACTACTAAGAATCTGTTATCAGAACACTGGATATATTTTATTTGCTTTAACTTATTCTTAGGCTTCCAAAAGGCAAATGTAAGAGAGTTAATTGTTTGTATCCACTCAGAACTATTAATAATTAAGTGATTGATAAAATTTAAAAATGAGCCAGGCATGGTGGTGTATGTTCCTGTGGTCCCTGCTACTATGGAGGCTGAGGGAGGATCACTTGAGCCTGAGAGAGCGTGGGAGGTCAAGGCCACAGTGAGCTAAGATTGTGCCACTGCACTCAAGCCTGGGCCACTGCACTCAAGCCTGGGCAACAGAGTGAAAGCCTGTCTCAAAAATATATAAATTAATTAATTAATTAAGGACCACAGATGGGAGAAGAGAATGGGCAAGTGTAAGCAGTCAGTGGGACACTATGTTCCTATGTTCCCGTAAGGAGCTTCCTTACAGAAGATCAGGCTTTAAGACAGAGAGACAGAGATAGGCAGACTTACAGGAAAGGACCCCCTAACACCTGTATTATTAAAAAGCGACTGGAAAGTGCCATGCTGTCCAATCAAAGTCATAGCAGGAGGTTACAAAGAGGCAAATCTTAAATTCTGTCTAAATCACTTAGCTAACATAGGGAGAGCTCTCTCCCGAAGAGGAGACAGGATGAGGAACTTTATTTATTTATTTATTTATTTATTTATTTATTTATTTATTTATTTTTGAGACGGAGTCTCACTCTGTCGCCCAGGCTGGAGTGCAGTGGCACGATCTCAGCTCACTGCATCCTCCGCCTCCCGGGTTCAAGCCATTCTCCCTGCCTCAGCCTCCTGAGTAGCTGGGATTACAGGTACCCGCCACCACACCCAGCTAATTTTTGTATTTTTTTAGTAGAGACGGGGTTTCGCCATGTTGGCCAGGCTGGTCTTGAACTCCTGACCTCAGGTGATCCGCCTGCCTTGGCCTCCTAAAGCACTGGGATTACAGGCATGAGCCACCGCACCCAGCCCGGGATGAGGAACTTAATAACAGCCGGGATGAGGAACTATTTTAATAACAGGAGATTGCAAAACACAAAATCAAACCTCAAAGGAGTCTAATTAGCAAACTCTCAGAAACTTCTGTTTATTTTACACTTTATAATGGGTGGTGGGTGGCGGTGATGAAGATAATTTCGATATCCATTTAAAAGGTAAATTAATTTTCAAAAATTGTGTCTGATACACGTTTATAATGCCTCTTTTTAAGAATCCTACCTTTTGCAAACCATCTTCTACCCGTCCAAATGTTTTCAGAACCATCTGTAGCCTCTTAAATATTTCTAATCAAACTTAGCTTTAAAAATTTCAATTTAAAAATGAATTTCAGATGTTACTTTCTAGCCTACTATTTGCAAGAACCTGGAGGAAAAGATTTCTTATTTCTTGCTTTCTCTAGGATTCTCCTAATTGTTTAGATATGCTTTATCAACTAAGC
The DNA here is from genome assembly GCF_000001405.40 of Homo sapiens. Lineage (NCBI taxonomy): Eukaryota > Metazoa > Chordata > Mammalia > Primates > Hominidae > Homo > Homo sapiens. Next base: position 100,319,795 of record NC_000012.12, on the reverse strand, counting down.
AGTGCTAATTTCATGACTAAAGACTTACACTGAATGATACCAGAAATGCTGGTTTCCCCAACCTGGCCAACATGGTGAAACCCCGTCTCTACTAAAAATACAAAAAAAATTAGCCAGGCATGGTCGCCCATGCATGCAATCCCAGGTACCTGGGAGGCTGAGACACGAGAACTGCTTGAACCCAGGAGGCGGAGGTTGCAGTGAGCCAAGATTGCGCCACTGCACTCCAGCCTGGAAAAACAAAGGAAGAAATGCTGGTTTCCAAATCTTAGCAAAGTTACAAAAGTCAATCTGAATTATATACTACTTCAATAAAATACTTGCTGACACTTATTGGTCAAATTAACTATAAAGAAAAATGGATTTCATGTCACTTAATCTTCCCCTCCCTCTTCTTTAATATCACTAAATATAAAACAAGTTTGGCTGCACAGAGCCTGTGGGAATGTTTTGTGAGGCTATAATTCACAATTTCTTTAAAAAGAACTAAGAAATAGAGGTAGACACACCTTCCCCACTCATCCATGTCATTTGGACAAAGGCAGCATACCCTCACCTTTAAGAAGGCAAATCTAATTATAAGGAAAAAAATGTTAACATCAACCTCACAGCCTTGAACAAACGAAATAACTTAGCAGACAAAGACTGAATTAAGTCCAAAAAGTGACCTTAAATATGTAGTATTAGGTTCATATTAACTTTAGAGTAAATAACTTAAAAAAATCCTATTTTATTAAAATGTTTATACTAGCAGAGACTATAAGCTTTTACTACAAAACCATCCTGCAGTGAGATGTTCTTAACATAAGTATGTATTTTCAAAGTGAAAAAACTAAATTACACTTTTAATAGTGATCCAGAATTTCTTTCAGACAAAGAACTCATAGAACCAAAATTTTAATCGCAAAGACTACAAAACTAACAGTCTGGCAAAGTATATGGTGTTTTAAGATGGCCTTTGTGGAACAAAAGTTATAACTATACATGCATTAAGAATGGTCACACTAAATTACTGTCTGCTTTTCCATCTACCTGCTGTACAAATTAACTTCATTGCAGAAGAAACAGCATCTCTACATAGAAAACTGAGTTACCAAGCAAGAAGGAAAATTATGAGTATGGGAAAATACCTACTCAATGTTTTCATGAGAAAAAGGCACACGTGGCCACGCCCAATGGCTCAGGCTTATAATCCCAGTACTTTGGGAGGCTGAGGCACGAGGACCACCTGAGGTCAGGAGTTCGAGACCAGCCTGGCCAAAATGGCGAAACCCTGTCTCTACTAAAAATACCAAAAATTAGCCGGGTGTGGTGACAGGCACCTGTAGTTCCAGCTACTAGGGAGGCTGAGGCAGGAGAATTGCTTGAACCCAGGAGGCGGAGGTTGCAGTGAGCCGAGATTGTGCTACTGCACTCCAGCCTGGGCGACAGAGCAAGACTCAGTCTCAAAAAAAAAAAAAAAAAAAGAAAGAAAAGAAAAAGGCACATGCATCTTCGGAATTTTTGTTCATAATTATCAGTTTAGAAAGAAGCAGAAAGATGAAGGTATACAATAATACAAACTACAACATATCAAATCTTCTTCCATAATAGTACATTTCTGATAAATAAAAGCAACAAATCTACCTCATAATGCAGGTATTATGTACACAGACTGATTACTTTTTTCACTTACAATACACTGATTCTTTAAATTAGTTAGGAGTGAATATATTTTAGTTACAGTATATCAATAATGTGATTCAAAAGATAAATATATTTACTATTGAGTTATGTATTTTATGACTTAAATCCAAAATGTACTTTATACCTCTTCTTCTGCTTTAAGAATCAAAATCATCATTAAAGAAAAACAAATCAGATACTGTACCTGGATCTGAATGGAAGGAGCTTCTAGTGCTCTGTAAACCATGGGTAGAACACTGTTCTTTATCTCATCAGGAGGGGTTTTGGTTAGTAGCAAATCCATTTTTTGTAGGAAAATTAACAAAATCTGTTTAGAAAACGGAAACAATGTATTAAAACCTGGAATCTTTAAAAGATTCAATATATGCCAAATGTAAAGCTTCTTCAAAAGAATAACTCATATATTTTGACACTCACCATGTTGCTAGCCTGAATGCGTGGAAGACAAAAACACACAAATCAAGTCTCTTACATTTCTGGAGGCACAATATTTAACATCTGCTCTGAGTTTAAATGTTAATTAAATAAAGACTAATCTCCTCTCACATATCTACAGTAATCTATCACTTGCCCACACATACCAACTATCTGGAAAGCTACAGGGTGAAAAAAGCCAGTAAAGTGAGATATCCCAAAGAAGTAAAGTCCATCACTTGGCTTCTATGAAGCTCAAGAGAAAAAGAAAGTACAGAACTGAGAGGGAGTATAAGAAAAAATTCTAGACGCCAGGTGCAGTGGCACACACCTGCAGTCCCAGCTATTTGGGCGGCTGAAACAGGGGAATTGCTTGAGCCCAGAAGTTAAGTCCAGCCAAGGCAACATAGCAAGACCCTATCTCTTAAAAAAATTTTTTTTATTTTAGAAAAAAATGTTTTTAAGTTGTCCCTGGTCATTCTTCCACATACCTAAATTATAAGGAACATACTGCCCCTTCTATTTATACAGAAATTAGTTTTGCCAAGACTCAGGGAAGAATATTCGGAAGAAATTTTTTCTTTTTTTTTTTTTTTGAGACAGGGCCTCACTCACTCTGTCACCCAGGCTGGAGCGCAGTGGCGCGATCATAGCTTACCGCAGCCTCGACCTCCCAGGGCTCAGGTGATCCTCCCACCTCAGCCTCCTGAGTAGCTGGGACCACAGGCAGGCACCTGGCTTATTTTTGTATTTGTTTGAAGAGACAGGGTTTCACCATGTTGCCCAGGCTGGTCTTGAACTCCTGGGCTCAAGCAATCTGCCTGCTTTGACACGACAAAGAACTGGGATTACAAGCGTGAGCCACTGCACCTGGCCCAAAAGGTATTTTTAACTGGACAACTAAGAGAAAAAAGAATGGAGGCAAATAAGAATTCAGATTATAGGATCCTTAGGGTACTATCTTGACTGATGCATAGCTTAGGGAACAGTGGCTCCACCAACTTTCCCTCATGACACCTTGACCATTTGGGGGAACCCTGCTTCACAGGCTACAGCTCCCTCACTTGTTCTTTCCCTAATTCACAGAAATTCTCACCTTACCACCACATACTTCCTTCTGTTCCCCTCCTTTCAAGGGAAGGACTACAAAGAATCATAAAACCATTAAATTAGATAGTTGATATATAACTAATAAGCTATTCCTATACAATGCTACAAACATGTAATAATACCTGCTATGTGCCAGAAAATTTCATTTAATCTCAACAATCCTTTTCATTTTAGAAATGAGGAAATAGAAGCTTTAAGATGGCAACGACACAAGTCATACTTCAAGTAAGGAGATAAAGAAGCCCCAATTCAACCCAGGTGTGTGACTCTACTGCTCTTAAATCCAACATTACCTTCAATCTAGCAAATATATATTATATACATGAGAGACTGATTACTTTTTTCACTTACAATACATATACACATTATTCCCATGGTGCTGTAAGCATTTTCCTATTCTAGTGGAAGTAGTTATTAGCAATAAAATGGAGAGAAACAACTGGCACAAAGCACCTACATATTAAAGACTTAAATAACAAAATAATCAAAAATACTTCAAATACTTCAAAGTGCAAGAGAAAAACAAGTATTTATTTTCCTAAACCTGTAACTTTCTACAAAGTATATATATGGTACATAAAGAACAGTATAACACATGCAAAATTTCATTGCAGTTTATCTTCTGAGATAGTAACTTATGGAGAGCTACAGACATTTAACTGCAAAGTTCAATCATAATTTTAAAAATAGTTTGGTTCAAACATGTAAAGCAGCTTTCTGACTAATGGAAAAGAAAGTCTCATACACTTACCTCAGTTTTTTTTAAGTCATATATTCATTCCTTTTGTTTTCAGTGATAGTCACAATCATAAATAACAGTAGATAAATACACAAAAATATCTATAACATACCTGGATTGGCTCCTGCTGCTTAAACACAGGGCCAAGTTCAGGAAGAATTAATTTGACATATTCTTCTTTGGTGCATTCCTCAGCAATAAGTAGAACATTGGGCAAAACAAAAGGTACCATGTCAGGGTTTACAAATTCTGAAGTCAAACAAGGCAAAATTCTCTGCACAATGACACGCTGAAAGGCAAAAATGTTTTTTAAAAAAAAAATAAAATTTATTAAAGGTTTTTAGTATTAGTTAACACTAAGGTCTAAAACCTCTAATCCCTTTAGGTAACGTGACGATACAATTTATGGTTGAAACTGGTATATTTTCAGAGTAAAGTGGGATGCTATTGCTAATTATGCAAGGATAAATAGCATAAACTGGAAAGGTCATGGGTAAAAGGGGACACACGGTCACCCTACCTGTAGGAAACTTACCCTAATTAGTCTCCACCGCTATGTTTGTTTTTCCTCTTGATTCCTTCATTACTTACGATTCATACCACACAACATAAACACTATCATGTACTGTTAACTGTTTCACACGTTAACCCTAGCTACACTTACTATAAGGGCCTGAGAGCAGGGACAGTATTTTATGCCTCCTCTTTACTCTCCATAGCATCTAAGTAAAGAGTCAGACAAACAGTAGGTAACTAACGAATATCTGATAGATTAAACACTGGAAATGTTTTTACAACCAGGAATTATTAGTATTCCAACCAGTGCCTCTTCAGCATTCACCAACATTTTAAAAACTGTATTACACTCATCATTTAATAAGTCAGAAAAGGAGTAAAGGAATTGGAAAGGCTAACATCAACAGAAGTACCCCTTTAACTGCTGGTGAGACAATGAACTCCACATGATAGCTTATGGACTCTTCTTCTGACCTTTAATATCCAACTGCTGTCTCTGCCTAGTTAGTATCCTTCTAAATTTTTTAGCCTATTTATTTTTGGACCACGCAAAAAAAGGTCCACTGAACTTTTGGCTTCAGTTGGCAGTGTTTTATAGTCATTTATGTACCTCAGGCAAAGTTATATTATTTTCTTGGAAGAGTTATGGTAGTAAGTCAAAATAAACTTTAACTTCTAAAATCCTGATTATTAATAAGAAACTAACAATAACAAACCTTGGGCAGTTTTGGTAGAACCTTTGGCAGTCCTTTGAAAAACTGTGATTTCTGAAGATTATCTCTTTGGAATAAGGTATCAAAATATTGCAGTGTTACTGCACCAACATCATCAAAGAAGGGAATCTAAAAAAAATGGAAATAAAGTATTTTGATAAATGTTAAATTGAAAGTACTTCTCATATCTGAAACTGTCACAATATGGTAAAAAAAATACTCAGAAACATTTAGCAAAATGCTGAAGATCACCTTAGAAATTCTAATTATAAAACTCTGAATAAGAAAATAAATGATTTTTCAAGTTCAAATCTTTGGAATCTGTACCTGTGAATTGGCTGGGTAAAAACTTTCTTTTATGTAAGTCTAAAATATTGAAAGATTAAATAAAATAATTTGAAGGCATAAAAATACCAGTTATTAGTTAAAATCCATGGTTGGCCCGGGCACGGTGGCTCATGCCTATAATCCCAACACTTCGGGAGGCCGAGGTAGGCAGATCACCTGAGGTCAGGACAAGACCAGCCTAGCCAAAATGGTGAAACACTGTCTCTACCAAAAATACAAAAATTAGCCAGGTGTGGTGGTGGGGGCCTGTAATCCCAATTACTTGGGAGGCTGAGGCATGAGAATTGCTTGAACCTGGGAGGTGGAGGTTGCATTGAGTGGAGATCGTGCCACTACACTCCAGCCTGGGTGACAGAGTGAAACTCTGTCTAAAAAAAAAAAAAAAAAAATCCATGGTTATATGAGTGAAATAAAGGACTATGAATTCTCTAAGAGTCTAGAACATCTGTTTACTTAATTGTGACTGTTAGCACTCTGCTTATTTGAAATCTTAATTTTCTATCAGAGCAATTACGTACATATTTAGCTGTGTAAGATTAAGCAAAATTGAATATTTAATACACTCAAGGATACAGATGTTATTTGGGGCTGTATCTGACTGTTGCTTTAGAAGAACTTAATCTCAGAACAGGGATCCCTGGGGAAAAATATTTTTTTAAAACCCAAAAACTTAATCTACTTCAACTCATTTTTTGTTCCTCCATCTTAGGCAGAAATCCACATGTACTCACCTTTGTCATTTGATCTGCATCTGGTCTTACAGTCGGAGTTACATTTAACAGTAGCTTTACATGTTCACGAACTTCCTCAGGTATATTTGTAAGTGAACTAGATCCTAAACGACTCAACTATTCAAAAGAGTGATAACATTAAATGAGTATAAAATATTTAAAAAGACATATACATTTAAGAAAACATTTAAAAATTTACTCAATATTTTACTACAAATATACTGACTACATTTTAAACACACTGTTAATTCTATTGTTGCAAAACAAAACCCTTATCTTTAATACCCAAAATTGTTTCTATTCCTACAGTAAAATGTTCCAGTATTTATATTTACTCAAATGCCATGACTAAAGTTCTGTAACAAATTTTAACTAGTCCTCTTTATTTATTTGAAAAAAATATTTTTTTGAGACAGGGTCTCACTCTGTCACCCCAGGCTGGCATGCAGTGGCACAATCATAGCTCACTGCAGCCCCAAACTCCCAGGCTCAAGTGATCCTCCCACCCTGATCGGCCTTCCAAGTAGCTGGGACTACAGGCATGTGCCACCAAGCCCAGCTAACTTTTTGTATTTTTTTTTTTGTGGAGAAGTGGTTTGGCCATGTTACCCAGGCTGGTCTCGAACTCCTGGACTCAAGTGATCCACCCGCCTTGGGTCTCCCCAAGTGCTGGGATTACAGGCGTGAGCCAGAGCACCTGGCCTAGTCTGCGTTACTTATAAATTTGTTAAAATAAAAATATAATAAATTATTAAGCTGATCTTATGCAAACTTAAAATGAGATACTCATGTCATTTAAAGAATTTCCTGAACACATTTTGGAAAAAAATCAAAGACACATTTAATAAATTTTTTAATGCAAGCAAATTATTTATAGGCAAATACCTGATCCAACTGCCTACTGAAACTCTTGTAAATATCTTGCTTGTTGACTTCAAATATAGGTTTCCCTTTATTAAATACAGCATACATAACAGTTCCTAAAGAATACATATCACTGGCTGTTTCACAGCTCACAGAAAGTATGTATTCAGGAGCCAAATATTCAGGATTTGGAAGACACAATGAAGGTAAATTTGGGTCCCATTCTTTACAAGGAAATTTAGGCTGTAGTAAGAAAAGGAATTACATGGGTTACTTCAAATTCAACCAAACAACTATCAAGCAGTAGTAATCTATCTTTAAATTTCTACTCGGTCATGCAAGTAAAAATGCCATCACGCCTTCAATCCCAAAATTCCCAAATTCCCAAATGTAAAAAAGTCCATGCAACAAAATGAGAAATAAGAACCGTTACAACTGAGATTACTGGAGTCTCTTCCGGAAGACAAATTATCACTGTAATATGTAATATGAACATGTGAAGGTCTGGCTCATGTTTTATGATACACAGGCTTCAAAAGTTGTATGAGCTCAGATAGAGACTGTTGTTTGCAATTTGTTCTTTCACTAATTAGCTATGTGATTTAGTTAAAAAGTTCAAAAGATTGTAGTAACGATTAAACAAATGTGTGGAAGTTTGACCTAGCAGTGTCTGACCCACTCATGATATATATCCAACCAATACTAGTTAGTTCTGATTACCTTAAAACTGGCTGCTCAACTTACAAATCTTAGGTCAAATCACAGGCCCTCTAACGACTACATATAAGAAAAACCTATCACCAACGATCATAAGGTGCCATATCACCAAGGATCTTCTATGCCATGCAGACCCAATCAATACAAGGCAGAATTGATTTAATACAGTGTTTCTCTAAGTATGAATAGGCAGGTATCCTAATCATTAAGAAAAGGTGCTTTGGAAGCAGAAAGGCTGCGTTCAAATTCTGGCTCTATCACTTACCATCTACCTAAATTTAGGCAGTTCTTTTATTCTCTGAGCCTACTTAACTTATCTGTATTATTCCTATACCCCACTGAGTTATTGTGAGGATTAAATAAGTACAGAGAAAGTGTGTGGAAAAGTGCTTCAATAAGAATGTTAGCTATTGCCACTGCTATTATTATGCTCCCTAAAGAATATTCCATGACCCAATAAACAGGAAACACTGCTAGAGAGTCACATGTGTTATTGCATTTGACATCCTGAGGAAAAAAAAAAACCCTATTTAATCAAATAATTCTTAAATTTATTTAACTCTGGCATCCTTTTCTCAAATAACATTAACTACTGTGGTAGTAATGTGCCGAAGAATACTCTTAAGTGCAATGAACACTATAAATTTTCTATAAAGCTGTATATCTAAACATACCACTGTACCACATAGCCTATTTCTAGTCCATTCCAGATGCAATCAAAATTTCCCTGGCCTCAAAAATTAGAAGACTAAAACTTTCATTACCTCTTGTTCAGAAGGATTGGTTGATGATACACAAAAATCAAAACCCATTATTTTCCAGGCTCCACTTTTATTCAAAATTATATTTTCAGGAGTGATATTTCCATGCACCATTTTCACACTGCTATGCAAGAATGACAATCCTTCAGAAACCTGTAAATGGAAAAAACACATTTTACACTAAATAAAACTCCTTTCAATTATAATAAAATGTCTCACAAAAATAATAATTATTGCTACTCTTCACAATAAAAGTTTTGCGTGTCAGCTAAAAATCAAATTTCATCATAAATACCAAAGTATACACAGATGTAGTCAATTGCCAGAACAATCTGAAGATTAGTGAGAAAAATCTAGTTATAAAACCAGAGTACACCTATTTATTAAGTTCCTTCCTATATGCATATAAACAGAAGAAAAGATAAAGAATCCTTTGATGTCCAAATTTATTCAGTTCCTGAGTTTGAAAAGTGAGGGAATCTTTTATTCTTGAGTTGCAGACAGTGAATATTAAGATTTTTATATACATACACTTCAGATTGAAATTCAGTTTTCCTGAATAGCATTATACTCAGTTTTCAAATATTCAACTGAAGTTCACTTATTCTCACAGTGGATTAATATTTGGTAATTTTTATATTTGTCCCTGACATCACCACGGAATGTGTCAACCAAAACTAAAGGTTAGATTTCTGTTTCCAAGGAGTAGCTTTTGGCAAGCCAATGCACACTGACTTCCAGGACTTGAACATACATTCCAAAGAAGACATATGAATGGCCAATAAACACATGAAAAGATGCTCGAAGTCACTAACCATTAGGGAAATGCAAATCAAAACCACAGTGAGCTCTCACCTCACATCCATGAGGATGGCTACTATTTAAAAAAAGAGAAAATCCAGGCTGTGCACAGTGGCTCATGCCTGTAATCCCAGCCATTTGGGAGGCCGAGGCAGGCGGATCACAGGTCAGGAGTTCGAGACCAGCCTAGCCAACATGGGGAAACCCCGTCAATACTAAAAACACAAAAATCAGCCAGGCATGGTGGCGCGTGCCTCTAGACCCAGCTACTCGGTAGGCTGAGGCAGAAGAATCACTTGAACCTGGGAAGTGGTGGTTGTAGTGAGCTGAGATTGTGCCACTGAACTCCAGCCTGGGCAACACAGCAAGACGCCATCTCCAAAAAAAAACAAAATAAAAGAGAAAGAAAAAAGAAAATCCACATCTTTACATACCATGGGATAATTAAAATAGAGAGAGAGAAAAAAATAATAACTGCTGGTGAGGATATGGAGAAACTAGAATCTTTGTGTACTGTTGGTGGGAATATAGGTGCTATGTAAAACAGTATAATTGTTCCCCCCAAAAATAGAATCAGTGTATGATCCAGCAATTCTATTTCTGGGTAGATACTGCAAAGAACTGATAGCAGGGTCTTACAGAGATGTTTGTATACTCATTTGCACAGCAGCATTATTCACAATAGCCAAAATGTGGAAGCAATTCAAGGTCCATTGACAGATGACTGGGCACATAAGCTGCTTATAATGTGTATAAGCAACTATCATCTATCAATGGACACATGAATTGCTATGCATATACATATAATGGAATATTATTTAGCCTTTAAAAGGAAGGAAATTCCAACAAATGCTACAACATGGATGAACCTTGAGAACATTATGCTAACATAGGCCAATCACAAAATAACAAGTACTGTATGATTCCACTTACACGAAGTACCTAGAGTAGTCAAATTCATAGAGACAGAAAGTACAATTGTGGTTGCCAGGGGCAGGAAGGGAGGAGGAGTTGGAGGAATAAGGAGATACTGTTTCAGGGGCAGAGTTTCAGATTGCTAAGATGAAAACAATTGTGGAGATGTATGGTGGTGATGGTTCCATGACAATGTGAATGTACTTAATGAACGGACTCAAATGTACACTTAAAAATGGTTAAGATGGAAGAGGGCAGAGTAAGATGGCCAAATAGAATCCTACACTGTATATCCTCCCTGCGCAGGAACACCAAATTTTAAAAACTAGCTGCACACACGCGCGCGCACACACACACACACACACACACACACAAATCAAAATACCCAAAAATCAGGTGAGCACTCACAGTACCTGGTTTTAACTTTGTATCACTGAAAGAGGCACTGAAGAAGTGCTCTTTCATGGCTGGTTAGCAGTCAGTCCTCAATTGCCTACACCATCTCTCCCCAGTCCCTTACTGGGGATGTACAGCATAGAGACATAATCTGTGCACTTGGGGGACAGTGTAGTGACTAGGAGACTTTATATTGATCTCAGTGCTACCCTGTAACAGCAGAAAGCAAAGCTATGCTGGGCTCAACTAGCACACATGCTCTAAGGGAGCATTTGAACGAGACCTAGCCAGATGGGAATCACCCATCACAGAGGTCAGAACTGGAGTTTCTTGGCAGGCCTCTGCACCATGGACCAAAGTGTTCTGGGGACCTAGATAAACTTGAAAGGCACTCTAGGACTACACAAGGACTGCAATTTCTTTCTTTTTTGTTGTTGTTGTTTAATTATTACACTTTAAGTTCTGGGATACATGTGCAGAATGTGCAGTTTTTTTTACATAGGTATACACGTGCCATGGTGGTTTGCTGCACCCATCAACCAGTCACCTACATTAGGTATTTCTCCTAATGCTATCCCTTCCCTAGTCCCCCACCCCCGGACAGGCCCCAGTGTGTGATGCTCCCCTCCCAGTGTCCATGTGTTCTCACTGTTCAACTCCCACTTATAAGTGAGAACATGCGGTGTTTGGTTTTCTGTTTCTGTGTTAGTCTGCTGAGAATGATAGTTTCCAGCTTCATCCACGTCCCTGCAAAGGACGTGAACTCATCCTTTATTATGGCTGCATAGTATTCCATGGTGTATATGTGCCACATTTTCTTTATCCAATCTATCATTGATGGGCATTTGGGTTGGTTCCAGTCTTTGCTACTGTGAATAGTGCTGCAATAAACATACGTGTGCATGTGTCTTTATAGTAGAATCATTTATAATCCTTTGGATATATACCCAGTAATGAGATTGCTGGGTCAAATGGTATTTTTGGTTCTAGATCCTTGAGGAATCGCCATACTGTTTTCAACAATGGTTGAACTAATTTACACCCCCACCAACAGTGTAAAAGCATTCCTATTTCTCCACATCCTCTCCAGCATCTGTTGTTTCCTGACGTTTTAATGATTGCCATTCTAACTGGCATGAGATGGTATCTCACTGTGGTTTTGATTTGCATTTCTCTAATGACCAGTGATGATGAGCTTTTTTTCATATGTTTGTTGGCTGCATAAATGTCCTTTTCAGAAGTGTCTGTTCATATGCTTCGCCCACTTTTTGATGGGGTTGTTTTTTCTTGTAAATTTGTTTAAGTTCCTTGTAGATTCTGGATATTAGCCCTTTGTCAGATGGATAGATTGCAAAATTTTCCTCCCATTCTGTAGGTTGCCTGTTCACTTTGATGATAGTTTCTTTTGCTGTGCAAAAGCTCTTTAGTTTAATTAGATCCCACTTCTCAAGTTTGGCTTTTGTTGCCATTGCTTTTGGTGCTTTAGTCATGAAGTCTTTCCCCATGCCTAAGTCCTGAATGGTATTGCCTAGGTTTTCTTCTAGGGTTTTTATGGATTTAGGTCTTATGTTTAAGTCTTTAATCCACCTTGAGTTAATTTTTGTATAAGGTGTAAGGAAGGGGTCCAGTTTCAGTTTTCTGCATGTGGCTAGCCAGTTTTCCCAACACTATTCATTAAATAGGAAATCCTTTCCCCATTGCTTGTTTTTGTCAGGTTTGTCAAAGATCAGATGGTTGAAGATGTGTGGCATTGTTTCTGAGGCCTCTGTTCTGTTCTATTGGTCTATGTATCTGTTTTGGTATCAGTACCATGCTGTTTTGGTTACTGTAGCCTTACAGTATAGTTTGAAGTCAGGTAGCATGATGACTCCAGCTTTGTTCTTTTTGCTTAGGTTTGTCTTGGCTATACAGGTTCTTTTTGGTTCCATATGAAATTTAAAGTACTTTTTTCTAATTCTGTGAAGAAAATCAGTGGTAGCTTGATGGGGATAGCACTGAATCTACAAATTACTTTAGGCAGTATGGCCATTTTCACAATATTAATTCTTCCTATCCATGTGCATGGAATGTTTTTCCATTTGTTTGTGTCCTCTCTTATTTCCTTCAGGAGTGGTTTGTAGTTCTCCTTGAAGAGGTCCTTCACATCCCTTGTAAGTTGTATTCCTAGGTATTTTATTCTCTTTGTATCAATTGTGAATCGGAGTTCACTTATGATTTGGCTCTCTGTTTGTCTGTTATTGCTGCATAGGAATGCTTGTTATTTTTTATTGATTTTGTATCCTGAGACTTTGCTGAAGTTGCTTATCAGCATAAGGAGATTTTGAGCTGAGACGATGGAGTGTTCTAAATATACCATCATGTCATCTGCAAACAGAGACAATATGACTTCCTCTCTTCCTATCTGAATACCCTTTATTTCATTCTCTTGCCTGATTGCCCTGGCCAGAATTTCCAATACAATGTTGAATAGGAGTGGTGAGAGAGGGCATTTGTGCCAGTTTTCAAAAGGAATGCTTCCAGCTTTTACCCATTCAGTATGATACTGGCTGTGAGTTTGTCATAAATGGCTCTTATTATTTTGAGATATGTTCTATCAAAACCTAGTTTATTGAGAGTTTTTAGCATGAAGTGGTGTTGAATTTTATCAAAGGCCTTTTCTGCAACTATTGATATAATCATGTGGTTTTTGTCATTGGTTCTGTTTATGTGATGGATGACATTTAATGATTTGCATATGTTGAACCAGCCTTGCATCCCACGGATGAAGCCGACTTGATCATGGTGGATAAGCTTTTTGATGTGCTGCTGGATTCGGTTTGTCAGTATTTTATTGAGGATTTTTGCATCAGTGTTCATCAGGGATATTGGCCTGAAATTTTCTTCTTTTGTTGTAGCTCTGCCAGGTTTTGGTATCAGGATGATGGTGGCCTCATAAAATGAGTTAGGGAGGAGTCCCTCTTTTTCTATTGTTTGGAATAGTTTCAGAAGGAATGGTACCAGTTCCTTCTACCTCTGGTAGAATTTGGTTGTGAACCCATCTGGTCTTGGGCTTTTTTCGGTTCGTAGGCTATTAATTACTATATCAATTTCAGAATTTGTTATTGGTCTATTCAGGGATTTGACTTCTTCCTGGTTTAGTCTTGGGAGGGTGTATGTGTCCAGGAATTTATCCATTTCTTCTTGATTTTCGAGTTTATTTGCATAGAAGGATTTATAGTATTCTCTGATGGTAGTTTGTATTTCTGTGGGATCAGTGGTGATATCCCCTTTATCATTTTTTATTGTGTCTGATTATTCTCTCTTTTCTTCTTTATTAGTCTGGCTAGCAGTCTATTTTGTTAATCTTTAAAAAAAAAAAAAAAAAAAAACCAGCTCCTAGATTCACTGATTTATTTTTAAGGGTTTTTCATGTCTCTATCTCCTTTGGTTCTGCTCTAATCTTAGTTATTTATTGTCTTCTGCTAGCTCTTGAATTTGTTTGCTCTTGCTTTTCTTTTAATTGTGACGTTAGGATGTTGATTTTAGATCTTTTCTGCTTTCTCCTGTGGACATTTAGTGCTATAAATTTCCCTCTACATACTGCTTTAGCTGTGTCCCAGAGATTCTGGTATGTTGTGTCTTTGTTCTCATTAGTTTCAAAGAACTTATTTATTTCTGCCTTAATTTCGTTATTTACCCAGTAGTCATTCAGGAGCAGGTTCTTCAGTTTCCATGTAGTTGTGTGGTTTTGAGTGAGTTTCTTAATCCTGAGTTCTAATTTGATTGCACTGTGGTCTGAGAGACTGTTTGTTAGGATTTCCATTCTTTTGCATTTGCTGAGGCGTGTTTTACTTCCAATTATGTGGTCAATTTTAGAATAACTGCAATGTGGTGCTGAGAAGAATGTATATTCTGTTGATTTGGGATGGAGAGTGCTGTAGATGTTTATTTGGGCCACTTAGTCCAGAGCTGAGTTCAAGTCCTGAATATCCTTGTTAATTTTCTGTCTCGTTGATCTGTCTAATATTGACAATGGGCTGTTAAAGTCACCCACTATTATTGCGTGGGAGTCTAAGTCTCTTTGTAGGTCTCTAAGGACTTGCTTTATGTATCTGGGTGCTCCTGTATTGGATGCATATATATTTAGGATAGTTAGCTCTTCTTGTTGCATTGATCCCTGTACCATTATGTAGTGCCCTTCTTTGTCTTTTTTGATCTTTGTTGGTTTAAAGGCTGTTATATCAGAGGCTAGGACTGCAACCCCCGCTTTTTTTTTTGCTTTCCATTTGCTTGATAAATACTCCTCCATTCCTTTATTTTGAGCCTATGTGTGTCTTTGCACGTGAGATGAGTCTCCTAAATACAGCACACTGATGGGTCTTGACTCTTCATCCAATTTGCCAGTCTGTGTCTTTTAATTGGGGCATTTAGCCCGTTTACATTTAAGGTTAATATTGTTATGTGTGAATTTGATCCTATCATTATGATGCTAGCTGGTTTTGCCTGTAGACAGTGGGTGCAGCCCACAGAGGGCAAGCTGAAGCACAGTGTGGCTTCACCTCACCTGGGAAGCTCAAGGGGTCGGGGAACTCCCTCCTGTCGCCAAGGGAAGCCATGAGAGACTGTATGTCCCATGAGGGATGGTGCATTCTGGCCCAGATACTATGCTTTTCCCACGGTCTTTGCAACCCGCAGACCAGGAGATTCCCTCAGGTACCTACACCACCAGGACCCTGGGTTTCAAGCACAAAACTGGGCGCCGTTTGGGCAGACACCGAGCTGGCTGCAGTTTTTTTTTTTCAAACCCCAGTGGTGCCTAGAACTCCAGCGAGACAGAACCGTTCACTCCCCTGGAAAGGAGGCTGAAGCCAGGGAACCAAGTGGTCTTGCTCAGCAGATCCCACCCCCAAGGAGCCCAGCCAGCTAAGATCCAATGGCTTGAAATTCTTGCTGCCAGCACAGCAGTCTGAAATCAACCTGGGACACTCGAGCTCAGTGAGGGGAGAGGCGTCTGCCATTACTGAAGCTTCAGTAGGTGGTTTTCCCCTCACAGTGTAAACAAAGCCGCGTAGAAGTTCACACTGGGCAGAACCCACTGCAGCTGCAAAGCCACTATAACCAGACTAGCTCTCTAGATTCCTCCTCTCTGGGCAGGCATCTATGAAAGAAAGGCAGCAGCCCCAGTCAGGGGTTTATACATAAAACTCCCATTTCCCTGAGACAGAGCATTTGAGGGAAGAGGCAGCTGTGGGCACAGCTTCAGGAGACTTAAACATTCCTCCCTACTGGCTGTAAAGAGAGCAGCGGATCTCCCAGCACAGCACTCGAGCTCTGCTAAGGGACAGACTGCCTCATCAAGTGTGTCCCTGACCCCAGTGCCTCCTGACTGGGAGACACCTCCCAGCAGGGGTCGACAGACATCTCATACAGGAGAGCTCTGGCTGGCATCTGGCAGGTGCCTCTCTAGGACAAAGCTTCCAGAGGAAGGATTAGGCAGCAATCTTTGCTGTTCTGCAGCGTCCGCTGGTGATACCCAGGCAAACAGGGTCTGGAGTGGACCTCCAGCAAACTCCAACAGACATGCAGCAGAGGGGCCTGACTGTTAGAAGGAAAATTAACAAACAGAAAAGAATCAACAGAAAACATCAACATCAACAAAAAGGACATCTACACAAAAACCCCATTTGAAAGTCACCGACATCAAAGACCAAAGGTAGATAAATCCATGAAGATGAGGAAAAAACAGTGCCAAAAGGCTGAAAATTCCAAAAACCAGAATGCCTCTTCTCCTCCAAAGGATCACAACTCCTCACCAGTGAGGGAACAAAACTGGACAGAGAATAAGTTTGACGAATTGACAGAAGTAGGCTTCAGAAGGTAAGTAAAAACAAACTCCTCCGAGCTAAAGGAGCATGTTCTAACCCAATGCAAGGAAGCTAGGAACCTTGAAAAAGAGGAATTGCTAACTAGAATAACCAGTTTAGAGAAGAACATAAATGACCCGATGGAGCTGAAAAACACAGCATGAGAACTTCGTGAAGCATACACAATTATTAATAGCTGAATCGATCAAGCGGAAGAAAGGATATCAGAGACTGAAGATCAACTTGATGAAATAAAGCATCAAGACAAGATTAGAGAAAAATGAATGAAAAGGAATGAACAAAGCCTCCAAGAAATATGGGACTATGTGAAAAGACCAAACCTCCGTTTGACTGGTGTACCTGAAGGTGATAAGGAGAATGGAACCAAGTTGGAAAATCCTCTTCAGGATATTATCCAGGAGAACTTCCCCAACCTAGCAAGACAGGCCAACATTCAAATTCAGGAAATACAGAGAACACCACAAAGATACTTCTTGAGAAGAGCAACCTCAAGACACATAATTATCAGATTCACCAAGGTTGAAATGAAGGAAAAAATGTTAAGCCAGAGAGAAAGGTCGGGTTACCCACAAAGAAAAGCTGATCAGATTAACAGCAGATCTCTCTGCAGAAACCCTACAAGCCAGAAGACAGTGGGGGCTAATATTCAATATTCTTAAAGAAAAGAATTTTCAACCCAGAATTTCTTATCCAGCCAAACTAACCTTCATAAGTGAAGGAGAAATAAAATCCTACACAGACAAGCAAAAGTTGCGAGATTTTGTCACCACCAGGCCTGCCTTACAAGAGCTCCTGAAGAAAGCACTAAATATGGAAAGGAAAAACTGGTACCAGCCACTGCAAAAACACACCAAATTGTAAAGCACTGCAATTTCTATGCAACTCTTAGTCCTGGGCTGGGCTTAGAGTCAACTGACTAGGATGGCAAGTGTCCTAGGGAGATCTAGGGAGACAACAACTGGGACAGATAAGGGAGTGCTTGCACCACCTCCCCCACCCAACCCCAGGCAATGTAGCTGGCAGCAACAAAAGGGTCTCCTTCCTTCTGTCTGAAGAGAATAGAGTGAAGTGTAAAAAGGACTTTGTCTTGCATTTAGGTAACAGCTCAGCCACAGTAGAATACAGCACCAGGCAGTTTTAAGGGCCCCAATCTAGACCCTAGCTCATGGATGACATTTCTAGACACACCTAGGCCAAAGGGGACCCGCTGCCTTGAAGGGAAGGACCCAGTCCTGGCGGGATTCATCACCTGCTGATTAAAGAGCCATCGGGCCCTGAATAACCAATAGTGATACCCACATAGTACGCCATGGGTCTTGGGCTGTGCTGGCTTCAGGGCGGTGACCCAGCACATTCCCAGCTGTGGTGGCTATGGTGAAAGACTCCCTTTATTTGAGAAAGCAGAGGAAAAGCAAAGGGAACTTTGTCTTGCACCTTAGGTACCAGCTTGGCCATAGCAGGGAAGAGCACCAAGTGGGTTCTTGAGGTGCCCAAGTCCAAGCCTAGGCTCTTGAAGGCAATTCTGGACCAATCTTCCAGACAGAAAATCAACAAAGAAACATCAGACTTAATCTGCACCATAGATTAAATGGATCTCATAGATATTTACAGAACATTTCAACCAATGGCTACAGAATACACATTGTCCTCAAAGAATTCTTGAGTAATGCCCTACAAGTACAGGTAACCGAAGCAAAAACGGACAAATGGGATCACATCAAGTTAAAAGCCTTGCGCACATCAAATGAAATAAACAACAAAGTGAAAAGACAACCCACAGAGTGGGAGAAAATGTTTGCAAATGACCCATCTGACAAGGGATTAATAATCAGAATATATAAGAAGTTCAAACAACTCCATTGAAAAAAAAACTAATAATCTGATCAAAAATGGGCAAAAGATTTGAATAGACATTTCTCAAAAGAAGACATACAAATGGCAAACAGGCATAAGAAAAGGTGCCCAACATCAATGATCATCAGAGAAACACGAATGAAAACTACAATGAGATATCAACTCACCCAAATTAAAATGCCTTCATACAAAAGACAGGCAGTAACAAATGCTGGAGAAGATGTGGAGAATATAGAACCCTCGTACACTGTTGGCGGGGATGTAAATTAGTACAAGAACTATACAGAACAATTTGGAGGTTCTTCAAAAAACTAAAATTTGAGCTACCATACAATCCAGCAATCCCACTCCTAGGTATATTCTCAAAAGTAAAAAGGAAATCCGTATAGCAAAGAGATATCTGCACTCCCATGTTTGTTGCAGCACTATTCACAATAACCAAGATTTAGAGGCAAACTAAGTGTCCATCAACAGATGAACAGATACAGAAAATATGGTACATATACATAATGGAGTACTATTCAGTCATAAAAAAGGAGATCTTGTCATTTGCAACAACATAGATGGAACTGGGTGTCATTATGTTAAGCAAAATAACTCAGGGACAAAAAGACAAACTTTGAATGTTCTCCCTTATTTGTAGGAGCTAAAAATCAAAACAATTGAACTCATGGAGATGGAGAGTAGAAGGATGGTTACCAGAGGCTGGGAAGGGCAGTTGAGGGAGGTGGGGGAAAGTAGGGATGGTTAATGGGTACAAAAACAATAGTTAGAAAAAAATGAATAAGACCTAGAACTTGCTAGCACAACAGGGTGACTAAAGTCAATAATAATTTAATTGTACATTTAAAAATAGCTAAAGGAGTATAATGGATTGTAATACAGAGGATAAATGCTTGAGGAGATGGATGCCCCATTTTCCATGATGCAATTATTATGCATTGCATGCCTGTATCAAAGTATCTCATGTATAAGTATATATACCTACTATGTACCCACAAAAATTAAAAATAATTTTTAAAAATGGTTAAGATGGTATTTTGCCACAATTCTTTAAAAAATACAGCTAAGAGAATGACAAGATAAGCCAGATTGGGAGAAAATCTTTGTAAATTATGCAAATTATGTACTGTGTCCACACGTAAGTCAATAAGAAAACAACCCCTCAAAAAAATGGGCAAAGTATCTGAAGAGATATTTCACCTAAAAAGATATTCAGATGGCAAAGAAGCATATGAAAAGATGCTCGCTATCATTATTGATCAGAGAAATACAAATTAAAAGCACTATGAGATACTACTGCACACCTGTTAGAATGACTGATACCAAAGAGACCAAAGATAGCAGATTTTGGCAAAGATGTGAAAAAAATGAAATTCTTATATGCTGCTGATAGAAATGTAAAATGGCACAACCACTATGGAAAACAGTATCATTTTCTTAAAAAGTGAATCATACACATACTATTTGATCTAGCCATTCCTCTCCCAAGTACTTGATCAGGAGAAACGAATGTGTATGTTCATACAAAAACTTGTACATGAATGTTCATAGCAGCTTTATGCACAGTAGCCAAAAACTAGAAACAACCCAAATATTATGAACAGGCAAATGGACTAGCTGTGGTATATTCATAAAACTACTCAGCAATTAAAAAAAAAAAAGAATCAACTATTGATACACACAACATGTGAATCTCAAATAATTATGTTGGTTAAAAGAAGCCAGACCGAAAAAGAATAGGTACCATATGATTCCACTTATAAAATTCTAGAAAATGCAAATCTACCCATAGTGATAGAAAGCAGGTCAGTGATTTTCTGAGACAAGGGACAGACAAACTGCAAGGAAAAGGGGACAGGGATTACAAGGAGTATGAGGAAGCTCTTGGGGGTTACAAATAGATGCAGTATCTTGATCGTGGTGATGGTTTCACAGGTAAGTAAGTGTATGTCGAACTTATAAAACCACATACTTTGAATATGTGTAGTTTACTGTATGCCAATTATATCTTAATAAAGCTGTTAAAACGTAATAAAAATAATGTCTGCCCAAAAGGAACTTAGAATCTACTATATAAATTTATTCTATGGCACTGAAGATATTATTTTTGTTGTTGTTGTTGTTTTTTTAAGACAGGCTCTCACTCTGTCACCCAGGCTGGAGTGCAGTAGCACTATCATAGCTCACTGCATCCTCAACCTCCCAAGCTCAAGCGATCCTCCTGACTCAGCCTCCTGAGTAGCTGGGACCACAGGTGCATGCCACCATGCCCAGCCAATTTTTAAAATTTTTTTGTAGAAACAAGGTCTTGCTATGTTTGAGCTCAGGGTTGTCTCAAACTCCTGAGCTCAAGTGATCCTCCCTTCTCAGCTTCCCAAAGTGCTGGGATTACAGGCATAAGCCACCAAAGTCAGCTGTCAGGATATTATTTTGGTAAGCAGGGAAAGGAAAATCTGAAAAAATGAGCATATATGAAAAGGCTAGCCAGGCGTGGTGGCTCACTCTTGTAATCCCAGCACTTTGGGAGGCCGAGGTGGGTGGATCACGAGGTCAGGAGTTCGAGACCAGCCTGGCCAACATGATGAAACCCCATCTCTATCAATAATACAAAAATTAGCTAGGCGTGGTGGTGCACGCCTGTAATCCCAGCTACTGGGGAGGCTGAGGCAGGAGAATCGCTTGAACCTGGGAGGTGGAAGTTGCAGGGAGCTGGAGGTTGCAGGGAGGTGGAGGTTGCAGTGAGCTGAGATCGTGCCATTGCACTCCAGCCTGGGCAACAAGAGTGAAACTCCGTCTCAAAAAAGAAAAGAAAAGGCTAACAATACCTCTTGATATCACTAACTAAATTCCTTAAAGATAAAATTTTTATTTTTATCAAATACTTTATTTCAATTGAATGTTTTATAAAATGTATTCAGTTTAAGAATCAAAAGGAACCCACTCCATCCACTAGCCAATAAGTGACCCCCCAAAGGTTACCAATGTTATCAGTTTGATATATTTAAAATATTATTTAACCCGAACAACAAACTGCAGAAAAAATTTCCAGAACATAGGAATAATGACTAAATTACTAACAAGAACCAAAAGTTTACCTAAAATAGTTTTACATGGTTAATAAGTTTGAAATGCCAAAACCAATTTTAAAGGAAACAACTCTTTTTTACATGATGAATAAAAATACATACCTGAAGCAAACCATATTTGGTTTCTACATCATAAAGTTTATAATCCTTAATGTCTGGAGATATAGGGGAAGGTAGATTTTCCCAGTTACCAAGAACATTGGCTAAACTGGCAAAAACTGGTTCTGTACAAAATGCCAAGCAATCCCTGTTTTAAAAAAGAAAAAGTTATTTACTATCATATTATTACACATTATCAAAATCAAATATACATAAAATATTAGTGCTCCTATTAAACTATCAATAAGAAGGTAACTATTTTACATTTGTTAATTTCAGCATAGACATAATCCACTTAAACCAACAAAGTTAGGAGCCTCTGCATACAAATTATACTAGATAAATCACTCGGTCTTTTAAACTAAGTGTTGTGATAACTGCGATCTTTTTTAAAACTTAAAAAGTGAAAAAATAAAACACCACCTTGTTCAACCACCTTGTTCAAATGATTGATATTCTTTATGGAAAACCAATAAACTAATTCAAAATACTGTTACATTACACTTATGGTATTATCCTTATTTATTAAGGCTGTTAATTTTCAGAATACGCTCAAAGGAACTTCTGGATTTCCCACAGATGACCCTGGAATAGGAGTAGTCAGGAAGAGAGACAAGGCACAGCTAGCTCCAGTAGCCCAGTTCCCACTTCACAAAACAGCTTTGATCTATTTTATATGTCATTTTGAAAGGTGTCACAGTTATTAAATTTTTTAAATTACTAGTCTTTCATGTACAAGAAGATTTATAAACTCAGAAAATGTTAGATATTAACATTCAATGGCCTTACAGGGTAATGATCAAGAGCTCAGGCTTTGAGGACAGATACCTGACTTTAAGTCCCAGCATCCCTATGTGCTGTCTTGGTAACAATGGACACTACTGTTCTGAACCTCACTTCACCCATTTGTAAAATGGTGATAATAGACCCACCTTGAAGGGTTAGTATAAAGATCTAATGAGAAAATCATGTAAAATACATAAAGCATGTAAGCTCAATAAGCTTACCATTGCTATTATAATTACCAAGCATTTGCCACCCAAGCCCTAACACTTTAGGCCTTGGGCTTTAGGCTCTGGCAATGAAGAACTACAAAGTAGTACAGTAATGTGGCTACATAACAAGCTTCTGGGCCTGCATAGTAACTGTTAAATGGCAGTTATGTCCTTTAATTGATGTCTCATCTGTTCCAATACCTGAATAACTTTTCTTCTGCCTTAAATCTGTTTTTCAAATGAGAGCATATGCAGAAGCTTAATATATAAGAAATAAAAACAGAACTTAGGTTGAAGGTGAGAAATGGTCACATTGTCCTGCTGCCTGCTCAGCCATCATCAAGGAAGCTGCCTTGTTCTGTACTCCCAACACGTAGCTCATTAACACATTGGACCATAAGGCATGCTTTTGTTGAACTGTACTGTTAAAAAAAAAAAAACTGTCTTATAGACTTACATAGTGTCTTCTCTGCTAGGTCCCTTTGAATCTATTTTTTTTTGCTTCCAAACTGTCATCCTACTAAAATTACTGAATGTTACTAACAACTTCTCACTGGTCAAATGTAATGGATTCTTCTCTGTCCTTATCTTCTTTTTTATTCTGTATTCCCCAGTGTTAGCAGGTTCTTTTTCCTTCCTTTTGCTTCCATGACATGCTGCCAATTCTCCTGCCATACGACAATATTCCTCCTTTTTCTTTGGCTCTTGTTTTCCCTACATTTCAAGGTTCTTTCCTCAGTACTCTGCTCCTTTTACTCATACTCTTGAAAAACTCACTTTTTTTTAGGTTTTAATTACTGCCTGTAAGTGACTCACCCCCATATACATCACCAACTCTGGACTGTCATCTGAATTACTCTTTCTGAAGTGCATTTCCTTTGGGTAATTCCAGTGTCATGTCAGTATTATTAATTCATTAAAAACTGGAAGTTATCTTTTTCTTCCCTAAAGTGTCCCTATTTCTATCAATGCTACTACAATTTTTACAACCTAACAATTAGGACATCTTAAAGTAATCTTTGAATTGTCTCTCTTCATGATTGCCAATAAATTCCTAATTCTATAATATTTAAATCACCATACAAAAAGCTGCAGGGACACAGAAAAGTATAACTGATAGTCCTTCTCCCCTCAAGAGACTTGAAATGTAATTATGAGATATAAGACATGTAATTCTGCAGCATTCATTCAGGAAGCACTCATAAAGAGCCTACCAGGTGTCGGCCCTGGCCTGGGGCTGGGCTTAGAGCCAGGGCAGGATGGCCCGGCATCTGCTCCATGGAGCTCACAGCCCAGCCTAGGCTGGCAACTCCAGTCTGCCCCAGTTTCCAGTTCTGTCCATTCCCCTTGCAGCTCAGCATGGATGAAGCTTTGAAATCCAGCTCTCCCTCTCCCTCTCCCTCTCCCTCTCCCGTCTCCCCACGGTCTCCCCCGTCTCCCCATGGTCTCCCTCTCCCTCTCCCGTCTCCCCACGGTCTCCCTCTCCCTCTGTTTCCACGGTCTCCCTCTCATGCCCAGCCGGAGCTGGACTGTACTGCTGCCATCTCGGCTCACTGCAACCTCCCTGCCTGATTCTCCTGCCTCAGCCTGCCGAGTGCCTGCGATTGCAGGCACGCGCTGCCACGCCTGACTGGTTTTCGTATTTTTTTTGGTGGAGACGGGGTTTCGCTGTGTTGGCCTGGCCGGTCTCCAGCTCCTAACCGCGAGTGATCCGCCAGCCTCGGCCTCCCGAGGTGCCGGGATTGCAGACGGAGTCTCGTTCACTCAGTGCTCAATGGTGCCCCGGCTGGAGTGCAGTGGCGTGATCTCGGCTCGCTACAACCTCTACCTCCCAGCCGCCTGCCTTGGCCTCCCAAAGTGCCGAGATTGCATCCTCTGCCCGGCCGCCACCCCGTCTGGGAAGTGAGGAGCGTCTCTGCCTGGCCGCCCATCGTCTGGGATGTGAGGAGCCCCTCTGCCTGGCTGCCCAGTCTGGGAAGTGAGGAGCGTCTCCGTCCGGCCGCCATCCCATCTAGGAAGTGAGGAGCGCCTCTTCCCTGCCGCCATCCCATCTAGGAAGTGAAGAGCGTCTCTGCCCGGCCGCCCATCATCTGAGATGTGGGGAGCGCCTCTGCCCCGCCACCCCATCTGGGATGTGAGGAGCGCCTCTGCCCGGCCGCGACCCCGTCTGGGAGGTGAGGAGCGTCTCTGCCCGGCCACCCCGTCTGAGAAGTGAGGAGACCCTCTGCCTGGCAACCGCCCCGTCTGAGAAGTGAGGAGCCCCTCCGCCCAGCAGCCGCCCCGTCTGAGAAGTGAGGAGCCTCTCCGCCCGGCAGCCACCCCGTCTGGGAAATGAGGAGCGTCTCCGCCCAGCAGCCACCCCGTCCGGGAGGGAGGTGGGGGGGTCAGCCCCCCGCCCGGCCAGCCGCCCCGTCCGGGAGGGAGGTGGGGGGGTCAGCCCCCCACCCGGCCAGCCACCCCGTCCGGGAGGGAGGTGGGGGGGTCAGCCCCCCGCCCGGCCAGCCACCCCGTCCGGGAGGTGAGGGGTGCCTCTGCCCAGCCACCCCTACTGGGAAGTGAGGAGCCCCTCTGCCCGGCCAGCCACCCTGTCCAGGAGGGAGGTGGGGGGTCAGCCCCCGCCCGGCCAGCCGCCCGGTCTGGGAGGGAGGTGGGGGAGTCAGCCTGGGGGAGTCAGCCCCCCGCCTGGCCAGCCGCCCCATCCTGGAGGTGAGGGGCGCCTCTGCCCGGCCGCCCCTACTGGGAAGTGAGGAGCCCCCCCGCCCGGCCAGCCGCCCCGTCCGGGAGGGAGGTGGGGGGGTCAGCCCCCCGCCCGGCCAGCCGCCCCGTCTGGGAGGTGAGGGGCGCCTCTGCCCAGCCGCCCCTACTGGGAAGTGAGGAGCCCCTCTGCCCGGCCAGCCGCCCCGTCCGGGAGGGAGGTTGGGGGGTCAGCCCCCCACCTGGCCAGCCACCCCATCCGGGAGGGAGGTGGGGGGGTCACCCCCCCGCCTGGCCAGCCACCCCTTCCGGGAGGGAGGTGGGGGAGTCAGCCCCCCGCCCGGCCAGCCGCCCCGTCCGGGAGGTGAGGGGCGCCTCTGCCCGGCCGCCCCTACTGGGAAGTGAGGAGCCCCTCTGCCCGGCCACCACCCCGTCTGGGAGGTGTGCCCAACAGCTCATTGAGAACGGGCCAGGATGACAATCGCGGCTTTGTGGAATAGAAAGGGGGGAAAGGTGGGGAAAAGATTGAGAAATCGGATGGTTGCCGTGTCTGTGTAGAAAGAAGTAGACATGGGAGACTTTTCATTTTGTTCTATACTAAGAAAAATTCTTCTGCCTTGGGATCCCGTTGATCTGTGACCTTACCCCCAACCCTGTGCTCTCTGAAACATGTGCTGTGTCCACTCAGGGTTAAATGGATTAAGGGCGGCGCAAGATGTGCTTTGTTAAACAGATGCTTGAAGGCAGCATGCTCGTTAAGAGTCGTCACCACTCCCTAATCTCAAGTACCCAGGGACACAAACACTGCGGAAGGCTGCAGGGTCCTCTGCCTAGGAAAACCAGAGACCTTTGTTCACTTGTTTAGCTGCTGACCTTCCCTCCACTATTGTCCTATGACCCTGCCAAATCCCCCTCTGTGAGAAACACCCAAGAATGATCAATAAAAAATAAAAAATAAATAAAAAAAAAACATGTAAATACAACATAAAATAACAAGGATAGGTAGGATTCTAATAGGTGACACTAGAGACGCTGATAGAAAACACTCCAGAGGAAATAGCACCAACAAATACAGAGTCAGGAAAGTGTAGGATAAGTGTGGGAAAACCAGTCTACTTTGGGATACAGGATTCACAATAGTATTACATAACAGACAGAAACTATAGTGTTCTGGGTTTATCCATGAAAAGAAAGGCAATAAAAAATATTTTTATGACAAGAGACATATGAGCAAGCCAGGTGCAGCAGCATGCACCTGTGGTCCCAGCTACTTGATAGGCTGAGGCAGGAGGATCACACAAGCTCGGGAGTCCAAGGCAAGCCTGGGCAACAACAGCAAAACCCCACCCCAAAAATTAAAAAAGAAAAAGAAGAGGCCAGGCACAGTCACTCACACCTGTAATCTCAGGGAGGATCACTTGAGGCCAAGAGTTCAAGATCAGCCTGAGTAATATAGCAAGACCCCACTTCTACAAAACAAAAAATTTTTAAATTAAAAATCAAAAAATTAGCTGGGCATGGTAGCACACACTTGTAGTAGTCTACTTGAGAGGCTGAGGCAGGAGGATCACTTGAGTCCAGGAGTTCGAGGCTGCAGTGAGCTATGATGGCACTACTGTAATCCAGCTTGGGCAACAGAGTGAGACTCTTGTCTCGATCAATCAACTGACACATTAGCATATTTTTGGGTAGATGCAGCATGGTGCAGTAAAAAATAAAAACAGGGACTCAGGAATCAGAATGACAAAATGAATCCTAGCTCCAGCACTTAAAACCATACAGTTTCTTTGATCCTCTGTTCTGTGTAATTGTGAGAATTAGATGAATTAAACAATGTAAAACATTTAGCATAGTTTTTCACATAGTAAATGTTTGTATTTTTCCTTTTATGTTTAAAAAAAAGATCTTGTGCCTTTGAAGGGTGAGATGGTAGAAAGTGGTTATTGAGGATTCCAACGTAAGAATTGCAGAAACTCAATATATAATAAAAGATAAAAGCAAAACTGTACAATTGAAGGGAGATGGGACCTTCATCCCACACAGCCTGGAACCCTGCCAGTTCTGTGTCCTCCACTTTCCCATTCTTCCCCTATCCTTAAAAATCCTAAGGGCCAACAGGGCCACAGGACACAAATACCAAATGATCTGATTAAGATTTTCTGAATTAAGAGAGGGGAATACAGTCTGCTGAGAAAGAAGGAAGAAAAGCATAAATTTGGGTTATAAGTAATGTCGAAAAGGTTTATAAAGCTAGCGTATCTAAAGGAGTATTAAAAGTGCCACAAGCTTGAGAGTCTAGTTAAGATTACATAAATTTCATTTTCTTGTCACTCTCACTAACACTTCCCAAGCTCACCCTTGAGAAAAATAGATGGTAAAGTAACTGAGAGCTATGGACTGGCATGCTAGGCATAGTAGAAGGTTAAGTGTCTGAAACAGTAGTTGGCACACACACAAAATTGGCCTCCAAATACTGTATCAATGAAAAGGAGACAAGAAATTCTAGCAAATTAGCAAGGACAGCTACTTTCAGGCAAGAACTGTATTCTATACCCTTGTATGTTCTATTTTGACTATTGTAGTCATGAGCACAGGGTAGCCACTGAAGTACAGAATCATGGCAAAAGTAAAGAAAGTATTAATATTTCAAAGAGAGACATATACGTAGACAATGCAAATAAATTTTAGGGAGAAAACTAATGCATAAGAACTCAACACTTAGAGTATAAGAATTTTTCACTGACAATACTTGAAACAGATTTCAAATATAAAATTATTTTTAACTATTTGTTCAGGAAGTCTACTATGTAAGTTTTTGTAAAAATTTACCTGGATTCTTCTAAAGGATGCTGGACAGTAAGAAGTCGAGGGTGTCGAAGCCGAGTTAACTGTTGGACTCCTCGTTTTAGAGAATCAATGATTTGATCCTTTTCAAATTTTTGATACTTGTCAATCAGTTTTTTATCAAAGACAAAAACTGCCACTTCCTAAATAAAAGAATTGTGTAATTTTAGTCAAGAAATATAGAAAAGTAATAAAATTATATGAATGTCACAATCTACAAATAACTATGCCATAAAAATTTTAGCACCATTGTAATACTTTTCTGATATCAAAGAGTTGGTTTCCTTATGATAGTAAATCTAAACATTTTAAAAGGTGTAAAACCTAGAGTCCTCATCTAAAGAACACAGGAAAAACCTTACCTTTGAATTCTGCTATCACAGGTACATATTAATTGTGTACAATATGTTGTTTCCTGTGTAGTAATCTCTTATGGACACAGAATTCAAAGAAAATGTTTAAAAATTTAAAATGTAACTTACAATGATAATCGTGAAGTATACTACAAAATCTTGAAATGCTTTTTGAAAGAAAGGTTGTAAGTCAGGGAGTACTTGTTTGTAAGAAAAATGAATTTGTAGTATCTTTTACATATGAATAATCTATATTCTATCTCATACCTTCCTATCCCCCATCTTGTTAGGGGCAGTAAATGTAAACGGTTACTAGTACAGGGACTTGCTCTCCCACCACCTCTCTTTGAAATCATTCACAGCTTATTTTATACTACTAAAAGCACACATCCTCCTTACCATCTTCTTCCTTTCATTATTCCTCAGATACCCAAGGAAAAACAGTTCTCATCTAGTTACCCACTCTTAACAAATCAATAAAAAAACAGCTCTACTGATAGGTGATGTGTTAAATTACTGATGTGTGTTCTTGGTAATAACGCAAAATAAACTGGAAACGAAATTAGCAAAGAATGCTAGCCTTCCAAAATTCCTTGAAAGATTTAGAAACTCTTTCAGAATTTCTATGTCTTTGAAAGCCTCAAATTAAACCTACTGCTACTCAACTATCAATATCCAAGACAATTAGTTTTCTATTTTATTCTCATTTTTTTCTCTTCTAATTATTTTCTTCTGTTCTGCATTTTTGCTACATTAGCATTATTATTTTCATAAGTTAGCCTGGCAACTCAACCATCTCATAGAGATTCACTGCAAAAAGTCCAATCCAATAAATTTCTCAAACATAACTTGTAAAATGAGGGTTCCTTATGTATATAAATGAGTTAAGGATATTAGAGGAGTAAGTCTCTGAAAAGTGGCAACAAAAAGGAATTATTTAGCACTGTAACTCAATTAAAACACAACGTCCCCCCAAGCATTTGTGAATAAGGCAGCATTTACTACAATAAAACAACAGAGGATGTATCTATACAGCACTCAAGACACTGGCATTAGATCAGAGGAGCCTTTGAGTCAATTTCCCTTCAACTGACCAGCTGCCTTTGGGCAAGTTTTCTCAACAGAAAAAAAAAGAATAAATAATAGTATGAATACCTCAAAGGACCACTGAAGAATAAGTGACACAGTAATATAAAAAGAACTTATTGTAATACCTGACATATTCAATTAATGTTAGCTAACGTCGTTACACCACTAACATCAAGACTTGTATTTTGTTATTTTTCTATTACTGATGAGTTTTCTGCTGACACACATCTGATCAATGACACATACATATGATCAATGACACACATTCAAGACCCATGGTCAAGAATCAACTTTGAAAGACAGAGATTCAACAACCTGTCAACTTGATAAGGAACATTAATATACTAAGCTAAACAAAATGATGTGATATAAACCCAATACCATTCCCATGTCACACAGAAAAAAACATGCAGCATAAGAATATAACAGTGATCAAGAGCCCAGTTTCCAGAGTCACACAAACCTAAAATGAAATTTCACTCCTCCATTTATTATGTCGACCCTGAACTCAAACCTTGGTCACTGTTATTTTCAGACCACAGTCATAAAAGGAATGAGATAAAAAATGAAAATATAATACACTCTACAGCTAAAGTTTCAGGCATTAGTCTACTAGAAAATCTTACAAATAAAGAGGTTCCCAAGTCAACTATTTATATAATAGAAATAACAAGATAGCATTTGCGTATTTATATGTGCCAAGCATTGTGCTAAGTACTTTTCAGGAATTATTCTATTCCTCACAGAAACCCTACGAGACAAATATTATATTAACTTTACAAATGAGGATGTTGTGGAGAAGATAAATGTTTTCTAAGATAAAAAAAGTCAAGTTTCAAACAGTTAGTCCACAGGACTATATTTTTAGCCAAGACATCATTCTGTCGCCCCAGAAATAACACAGGGAAAATACGGAACACCAAAGCAAAACACGATGCATGTCTTCAAGAAAGAAATCAGTCATTTAGGCTGAGTAACAGCTTTAAATAGCACTCATATAAACACCTAATCTTAACTCCTGATCATTACGAGGCACAGGACAGCCAGGAGGTAAGAGTTTTACATAACACTAATTCGAACTAAAAACAAATGACCTAAAACTTCAAGTTCTCATCTTGCCATTCATGTGCACAATCTTATTTTAGTAAGTCTTCTGCTATAACACATTTTATAAATGTATCCAATTTAAATGTGTTATGGCCGGCACGGTAGCTCACGCCTGTAATCTTTGCACTTTGGGAGGCCTGGGTACTCCAAAGTGTCCAGCACTTTGGAGCCTGGGCAGCACAGTGAGATTCCATCTCAAAAAAAAAATTTTAAATAAATAAATGTTTTATTTTTCAAGTCTTTTTTTTTTTTCTTTTTTTGAGACAGGGTCTCACTCTATTACCCAGGCTGGAGTGCAGTGGCACAATCATGGCTCACTGCAGCCTCCACCTCCTGGTCTCAAGTGATCCTCTCACCTCAGTCTCCCGAGTAGCTGGGACCACAGCCACACACCACCATGCCCAGCAAATTTTTTAATTTTTTTGTAGAGACGAGGTCTCACTATGTTGTCCAGGCTGGTCTCAAACTCTTGGACTCAAGCAATCCTCCCACCTCAGCCTCCCATAGTGTTGAGATTACAGGTGTGAGCCACCGTGCTCAGCTCAAGGTGTTCTAAGTATATATAAAAAAAGGACTACATGAAATAGCTCTTGCAGTTTCACCACAAGTAAAGAGGAACACTATAGTTCACGAAGAAAAAGAAAACACTGGCTGGACATGGTGGCTCATGCTTGTAATTCCAACACTTTGTAAAAATGAGGCAGGAGGATGGTTTGACGCCAGGGGCTTGAGACCAACCTGGGCAACACAGTAAGGCCCCATCTCTTAAAAGAAAAAAAGAAAAGAAAAAAAAACTCACAAAATTCTCTCAGATAGTCCATTGTTTTACTTATCAAAGATAAGTCCTAAATAAGTCAGAAGAGGTTATCAACTATCTTAAAAATATTTTCTCTTTGTTTCAATCAGGTGATTAAAATTAACCAATGTTAACAAGGTTGTGTTGTTAATCCTCAGGCCTCATACTGACTTCCTAAAATAAAACTATTACACTGTACAAAGCCTTTCATCAGAATACATCATAATCTAATTTCATTTTTCTTTTACTACTTTTCTATACTACCCACTCTGCTAACACACATCATTTATGCAAAAGTCCAGTCACCTTATATATATTACAATCCTCTTGAAGAAAGAAACAACGTCTTATGTGCCTCTGTATCTACCACAGAACTCAGCAGTTATGCCTAGAAGATACTCAGATGTCTATTGCTTACTGATAGTAAATAAAGATAAGCAATTAAAGCTTTTTATTATCATCTTTAATTAAAATATTTTTTAACTTTTTATTAACAAAAATTTCAAATATACAGAAAAGATCAAATAGCACAATCATCCAGTATGTCTTCTGCTTAAGATTCAACAACTGTTAACTGTAGTTAAATTGAGGGTTTTTTAATACAAAAAATTATTAGAACAAAATATAAGCAATATATGGTATCCTATTATTTATTTATTCATTGCAGATTCTTTAAAAACACTGGCAAAGAAAGACACTTACTAAAAAGTATTTTTTCTCAATAGCCTAATTTAAACAAAAAAGGCTACGGAAGTATTCTAAAAGACTGTAGTATTTGTCACAATACAGTGTATGTCCCATTTGATACAGACCTAATTTATAATTTTTAAGAGCTACTTGTGAGCCAGGCATGGCGGCACACGTCTGTAATCTCAGTTACTTGGGAGGCTGAGGTGGGAGGATTGCTTGAGCCCAGGAGGTCAAGGCTGTAGGCTACGGTTGTGCCTGTGAATAGTCATTGCACCCCAGCCTGAGCAACATATTAAGACCCCCTCTCTGGAAAACAACAACAACAACAACAACAACAAAAACCAAAGAAGCTATTTTGCTTACTACAAAGTTGAGCTCTGTTGATAACAAGATACTTAAGTAATAAAATTTAAATTACATGATTTATAGTAATGTGTCTCGATTCTCTAACAGCGATCATGACCTCCACTAATCTAACCCTCAGAGGCACCAGAGGTGGCTTTTGGAACACAGATGTTCCCTGAGATCTCTATTTTATGGACCCCCATGACTGGCTGGTGGTGACTGTCAAGCATCACACACTTCATTTTTCATCTGATTTTGGGATAATGTTCCTTCTTCAAAACAGTAAAGCAAAATATAAACTTTTATTTATATTAAGTTAAAAATAAGTTGCTGAGAAGAATGAAAGGTAAAAACATATACCCCTTAAAATTACTAGTCTATGATCATCTTTTGTCTAAGTGACATGACTAGCATATTTGGCTTCACATAAAAGTTTCCTTTATTTTAAAACTATTAATTATTCTAATTTAATTATTTATTATAATTTAATTATGCTTTTGTATATACAATATTAGCAAGCCTCATCCATGAATACTGGCATCTGGATAACACAATGTATATTTTGTAGTAAGGAAGGGATTACGTCCAACCCAACGTTTGGTAGAGTGGATAAGATATGAACAATTATTTATCATATAATAATTATTAGAAATCAATCAATCTTCACTATCCTCACAGAAACAGTCATTTCAGGGAGGTGTTATGAAGCCCCTGAAGTAGGGCAAAACTATCAGGTCAACAAATACAACTTTTAAAGCCAACTAACACAAACCTACCCTATTTTCTTTCTTTTTTTCAAGAAAAAAGGTCTACTGCAAAAGCAAATATAAAAAGTCATAATAAATGTAGGATACTAGAAGACTACTCATAAATGTTAAATGAATCAATTTTGAAGGGTAATTCCTTGACAATACAGAATCTTATGTCAAACTAAACAGAAGTGCTTAATAAATAAATGCTTAAATATCCCAAGACCAGGCAAAATTACATATATAAACATACACACATACACACACATTTTTTTAAACATCCTCTCCCAAAATAAATCCCTTAGCTTGATATTTGACAGTTGAAAGAAATTTCAAAATCTAGAATTATTATTCTACTTGAAAGGAGGTAAAAATTAGGCACTAGGGACATAGCTGAGACAGAAATTAGATGTATATGGTGTTTTATTAGAAATTATTTAAACAAATTAGCAGCCTTGATAGTCATAATATTCCTACCTAACAGATAACAGTATTCCAATTTTTAAAGGACATACATGTACGTATGTATGTATGTATACGGTAAACATTTATCATTTATTATATATATAGCTTGGCCAAAATAAAAATTTCCATCTTTAATGGCTAGTTTAAATAAAGTATAACTTAAAAATTAGTAAAGTCAATGAAATCCAACCAAGAGCATTTGCCTCAGAAATACCTCTCAAATAAGTATTTACAACAAAGAACATAACAATGTTTGAAAAGAATACCTATATTCAAATGACCATTTTAAGCCTGAAAACATGAAACTGTGTAAAAAGACTAAGTCAGTTAGAAAGCTATTAACAGAAATATAATGGTATAAATTCTATGTTTGAATTACCTATCAGACATTTTTAAAGTTCAGAAGAGAGGGGAGCAGGGAATATTTCACTGAATTTTCAAAAATTAGATAAACCCTCCACCCAGAATGTCTAAAATTAAAAAGACTATATAACAAGATTGGCAGGGATGTGAAGAAACTGTAACTGCTGGTGGAAGTGTATACTGGCACCACACCGGAAAAATTATTTGGCAATGAACACATACACTACAACCTAGCAATCCCACACCTAGGTAATGCGTCATATGTGCCAATGGCACATACAAGAATGTCTACAGCTATACTCTATCAATGAAAAGAAAAACTGCATTGTTCAACAACACAGATATAGCTTATCCATATACTATTAAGGAAAAGGGATCAAATACAAGAGTATATACAAATGCATTTAAATAAAGTTCAAAAACAGGCAAAATTATTCTAGTGTTAAAGGACAGGGTAGTGGTTATCCCTGGAGAGAAGGGGGTTAGGGATAATGACAGGAAAGGACATGAGTATTAGCAGTGTTTTTTTTATTGGTCCGGATGCTGGTTACATGGGTGTATTCACTGTGAACATTTATCAAGCTGTACACTCATGATTTGTGCAATATTCTATAATATGCTGAACATAAGTTATTAAAAATAAGTTTATATTTTAAAAATTAATCAGACCACACAATTTTTTTTAGACAGAGTCTCCCTACATTGCACATGTTGGTCTTAAACTCCTGAGCTGAAGGGGTCCTTCCACCTTGGCCTTCCAAAGTGCTGAGACTACAGGCGTGAGCCACCATGGCTGGCCGACACCACAGTTTTTATTCTCTAAATATTACCTGGAGATGTCTTTAGCATCCCTGCTGAGATTCCAGAAAAAAATAATAGTGAGAAACTAAGAGCTGCTTCTAAATGAACACTCAAAAAAGAAACTAGGCCGGGCGCGGTGGCTCATGCCTGTAATTCCAGCACTTTGGGAGGCCGAGACGGGCGGATCACTTGAGGTCAGGAGTTCGAGAGCAGTCTGGCCAACACGGTGAAACCCCGTCTCTACTAAAAATTCAAAAATTAGCCAGGCATGGTGGTGCACGCCTGTAGTCCCAGCTACTTGGGAAGCTGAGGTGGGAGAATTGCTTCAACCTGGGAGGCAGAGGCTTCAATGTCAAGGTGCTTAAGGACTTAGCTATTCTTTAAAAAATTAACCAGTAGTAAAGACAGGATATTCAGTTCTGACCCTTGCAAGTTGAAGGAGGCAAAAAAGAAAATTTGAACCTATATCCACTGAGCTCACTGGTGTACCACCTTTAATTCCAAAGCAATAAATACAGAAAAAAAGTGCAATGTAGAAAAGTTCCCTAAGAAAATCCAGTGCTGATAGTCAGCAGTTGAGAATGGTGTTCTATCATTTGTGCCTGGTTCTCATGTTCTAGAAGCTCCAAAATCATCAGGAGATTTCAGCATATGAACTACTGATATTACCACAACTACCTAGAACCTTTCTAGTTACGCACAGAGATGCTATTATATATTACCACATCCTTAATAAAAATGTCTAATTTTATAAATTTGTTATTTTGTTTTCCCCTTATATAACTGATTGTAAAAGCAATTTGTGCTAGAATCAGAGGAGGTTGTTCATTTACAAAACTCATGACCTCATTAATAGTTTTTAGGTAGTCAATACTCAAGAAACCATTTACTTTTTTGGATGAGCTTATGGTGAATTGAAGAAAAAAGCAATGTTCAAAAGTAACAAATCGATCAGCATTTCAGATGCAGATCAACTCTGAATTTCAGTAAAGACTTCCAAATGGCAATAAAAACAAGACTTAACAGGTTGAATACAAATGACATACCAGCAATTTATCATAGGACCAAGATTCCTATTTCATAAAAGGATAACCAAAGCCAATTCAGTCTTCAATGTACTTACCTGGGAAATAAGCTAACTTCGGAAAAGTAGCAAATAATGCATACCCACAATTGTATGACTGTGGTAGTCATTGGGAGGTATATATAAGAAATCCTTTACATTTTACAACCCATATATTTCACTTGTAGGGAAGTAAAAGACTTTTGAAAACAGTGATTTTGGCCGGGCACGGTGGCTCACGCTGTAATCCCAGCACTGACTGCACTAAGACGCACTTAACGTTGAAAAATTTAACTGGGTATTTTGCCAGTAACATATTGACAAATATGAAAAGAAAATTTAAGAAACACGGCAATTTCTATCCTAAAACATATGCTTCACTAAATATTACAATCTAATATACTCGTTTGCTCAACTGACATGTTTATTAAGTAAGCAAAATTATATTTCAAGATGATATGGTATGTCAAACAGTATATGTGTAACCAGGAGATTCAGAGCATGTTTAAAAGCATTTGTTTTTTTGTATGACTTAATAAGATAAAATGAGAACTAAAGAACCCATTTAAGAACCTATTAAAGAACTTTTGGCATTTCTTAACATAAAAATGCACACATGCATTTTATGGTTCTTAGCATGTGGGTTTTTTCCAAGTGGATGCTGAATTAAAACTCACCTGCTTTGTTGACTTTTTTGTGCCATTAAAAATCTTCCAAGCTAGCCCATTGCCACCACTGGCAATGTGTCGACCAACATCAAATTCTCTAGTGACAGGATTTCCCATTACAGCACTAGTGACATCAGCTGTTACTTTTGTAACAGTACTCTTCAATTTATTAAGCATGGACTCCATGGCTGCAATATTGGGTAGTTATAGTTACCTAGAAAAACAGAAGGATAGTGGAGAACTGATCATTTCTTATCTATATAAGCATTTATTCATAGTTTAATTTGAAAAGTGTAAGATCTCCCAAACAGTGAACAGAATAATCCTATATAGATGAAAGTTGTATGTTGGTTTTATCTTCAGAGAACCCAATACACTTTAGTACAAATTTAAGTCCAGAAATCAAACTGCTCGTTTCAACCTCAGTTCTCACTGACCAGGAAAAGATATACTCACACTTGACAATGACATTAAGAAAGAGAATGAATATTGCTCAACTGTATAACATGGATCCTTTAAGACTTAAAGTGGGGGATGGGCATGGTGGCTCACGCCTGTAATATCAGCACTTCGGGAGGCCAAGGCAAGCGGATCACCTGAGGTCAGAAGTTTGAGACCAGCTGGCCAACATGGTGAAATGCCATCTCTACCAAAAATACAAAAATTAGCCAGGCGTGGTGGCAGGTGCCCGTAGTCCCAGCTACTTGGGAGGCTGAGGCCCAAGAATCACTTGAACCCAGGAGGTGGAGGTTGCAGTGAGCCAGGATTGCGCCACAGCACTCCAGCCTTGGTGACAGAGTGAGACTGCATCTCAAAAAAAAAAAAAAAAAAAAAAAAGACTAAAAGTGGGTTTTGTGGGGTTTGTGGGGTTTGGGAGGCTGAGGCAGGAGGATCACTTGAGACCAGGAGTTCAAAATCAGTCTGGCCAATGTGGCGAAAAACCATCTCTACAAAAATTACAAAAATTAGCCAGGCATGGTGGCGCGTGCCCACAATCCCAGCTACTAGGGAGACTAAGGTACAAGAATTGCTTGAACCCGGGAGACAGAAGCTGCAGTGAGTCAAGAGTCGAGATCACACTACTGCACTCCAGGCTGGGTGACAGCACCAGACTCTGTCTCAAAAACAACAACAACAACAACAAATATAGGAGGTCTGACTCTCACTTCACATTAAACATTTATTCTTATTTTTTCTTTTTCCACCCCTTTTCACAGGTGTTGATCACTTCACATTAAAAACAACAATATACAACTTAAAAGATGCTAACACTTTACACTTTACTAAGCAATAAATTTGTACTTTCTTTTTTTTTTTTTTTTTGAGACGGAGTCTAGCTCTGTCACCCAGGCTGGAGTGCAGTGGCATGAACTTGGCTCACTGCAAGCTCCGCCTCCCGGGTTCACGCCATTCTCCTGCCTCAGCCTCCCGAGTAGCTGGGACTACAGGCGCCCGCTACCACGCCCGGCTAATTTTTTCTATTTTCTAGTAGTGACAGGGTTTCACCGTGTTAGCCAGGATGGTCTCGATCTCCTGACCTTGTGATCTGCCCGCCTCAGACTCCCAAAGTGCTGGGATTACAGGCGTGAGCCAAAGCGCCCAGCCTATTTTCTTTATTATTATTTTTCTGTAGAGACAGGGTACTGCTATGCTGCCCAGGCTGGTCTCAAACTCCTAGCCTCAAGTGATCCTCCCATCTTGGTCTCCCAAAGTGCTGTGATTACAGGCATAAATAAGCCACCACACCTAGCCCAAATTGGTATTTTATAAAAAGTTTTGTTATTAAAACAATAATTACATTCAACTATGAAATCATTTAAGAATATTTCCTAATAAAGAAGCATTCAGGCTTGTAATCCCAGCACTTTAGGAGGCTGATGGAGGTGGATCACTTGAGCTCACGAGTTCAAGACCAGCCTGGGAAACATGGAGAAACCCTGTCCCTACAAAAAATTCGAAAATTAGCCAGGAATGGCAGCATGTGCCTGTAGTCCCAGCTACTTGGGAGGCTGAGGTGGAAGGATCGTTTGAGCCCGGGAGAGGGAGGCTGCAGTGAGCTGAGAAAGCACCACTGCACTCCCGCCTGGGTGACAGCCAGGCTCTATCTCAAAAAAAAAAAAAAAAAAAAAAAAAAAAACACTGATGGTAAAGGGACAATAAAATACACATAAGCATACAGTCAGAAGATTATTTTTAGAATTTTACATAGGTTTGTTATTAATGACTAGTGTCATTAATGAATACTTATCATTTAATTGGTAATTTTTAATAAGCATAATGATCAGTAGTTGTTACAGGTTGAATATTTATCCTAAATGCTTGGGACCAGAAGTGTTTTGGATTTTTTTATTTTTTCAGATGTTGGATGCTTACATTATATACTTACTGCCTGAGCAATCCTAATTCAAAAATCCAAAATCTGAAATGCTCCAAAGAGCATTTCCTTTAAGCACCATATCACTGCTCAAAAGTTTCAGATTCTGGAGCATTTCAGATTTTTGGATTAGGGATATTCAACCTGTATTAATAATTAGTAATTGCCAGGCTTAACTTTTCTCCTTTGGTAAATTAAAATAGACTCTAATTGTGATGATGTCTGTTGACATCTTTAGTTGAAGAAAGTTAAAGGAAGCTTTCTTCAAACTAGAATGTCTGCATCTCTAGGGTTACATGAAGACTTTTCAGGGAATACATGGGCATAGACAGTTTTAAGGTAGCAGTTCCTAATCTGGAGTCAGGTAAAGACTTCAAAGAGAATTAGAGGTATTATTAGGCCCCCATACTAGGTTTTATTATTGAATGCATTAAACATATATAAAACCATTTTGTAGTTATGAAAATGTTATTACAATTATTTCAAAACAATTTTTTCTATACATTTTATTTCATACATTTAAAAATATTACTCTAAGTAAATAAATGAATAAATAACTTCTGCCCATGAGGGAGGAACAAAGAGTGAATCTGCCCTCTTGCTTTTAACAACTAGAAAACTGAACAAAATGTATTAAACACATTTTTTCAGACATTGAACAGGCAGCAAGAGCCTTTGACCCCAGTAAGAAAGAGAACAAGAGAACCAGGATTGCCCCAGAGGCACATTCCAAACTACAGAGCATAGAGCAGAATTCCAAGTAGCTATCTAGCTGAATTGAGAAGCTGGAGGGACAAACTGGCATTCAAGAATGCGGAGGTAGATGAAAGTTCTGAGATACAATTTCAAAGTGAATGAAGCTATGCTGAAGAAAATGCAAACTGGTCCCCTTCATGCTCTGTTCCCTGGTCCCACACATGCTTATGCATAGTGTGACACTCCACCAGGTCTGGCAAGAACCAAACTAGAGAGCTATCAGTTGAATAGTTTCAAAGTTCACACAAGGCTGCAAATCATTTGATATCTCATCAGCCAGAGTAGTGAGTCTTCACTGACCACTAAGACAATCAGCAGAAACCTGTAAGAACCATGCCTTAATAGTGGGGTAAGCCACCCTTAGAGTAAAAGCTAATCTAAATCCACTCTAAAATCAATTATCAAATGACCAAAGTAATCATAAATTACTAAACAGCCTACCAGAACAAAACCCAATAGTCATGAAAGACACATAACATGCACAAAAAAATTCAGATACTAAACAATGTAACATTCACAATATTCAGCAGGCAATCAACAACTATCAGACATGCCAAGAAGCAAGACGATGTGACTTATACAACAGTAGACCCCAACCCCTAGGCCGCCAGATCAGTACCAGTCCACGGCCTATTAGGAACCGGGCTGCAGAGCAGGAGGTGAGCGGTAGGCGAGCAAGCATTACTGCCTAAGCTCCGCCTCCTCTCAGATAGGTGGCAGCAATAGATTCTCAAAGGAGCCTGAACCCTACTGTGAACTGCACATGCAAGGGACCTAGGT
The DNA here is from genome assembly GCF_000001405.40 of Homo sapiens. Taxonomy (NCBI): domain Eukaryota; kingdom Metazoa; phylum Chordata; class Mammalia; order Primates; family Hominidae; genus Homo; species Homo sapiens. Next base: position 100,279,246 of record NC_000012.12, on the reverse strand, counting down.
TGTGTGCTCCTTATGAGAATCTAACTAATGCCTGATGATCTGAGGTAGAAGAGTTTCACCCTGAAACCAAGCCTCCCATCCCCCATCTGTGGAAAAACTGTCTTCCACGAATCCGGTCCCTGGTGCCAAAAAGGTTGGGGACTGCTGCTATACAAAGCTCCAAGAAATTAAATAAACCACACACAGGATAAACACAAAGAAACCCATACATAGATATACCAAATAGCTGAAAATCAGTGATTAAAAGAAAAATCTTAAAAGCAGCCACAGAAAACAAGTAAATTACATATAAGAACAAAGATAAGAATTTCCTCAGACTGGCCAGGCGCGGTGGCTCACGCCTGTAATCCCAGCACTTTGGGAGGCTGAGGTAGGCAGATCACAAGGTCAAAAGATGGAGACCATCCTGGCAAACATGGAGAAACCCCATCTCTACTAAAAATACAAAAATTAACTGGGCATGGTGGTACGCGCCTGTAGTCCCAGCTACTCAGGAGGCTGAGGCAGAAGAATTGCTTGAACCCGGGAGGTGAAGGTTGCAGTAAGCCGAGATCACGCCACTGCACTCCAGCTTGGCGAGGGAGCAAGACTCCATCTCAAAAAAAAAAAAAAAAAAGAATTTCCCCAAATTTGGCAGAAACAACACATGCCAAAGAACAACTGAATGAGGTCTTTAAACTGCTAAACGAAACTGTCAGCCTAGAATTCTACAGGTTGGGGAAAAAACTTTCAAAACTCAATGTGAAATAAAGACATCTTCAGAAAAACAACAGATAATCACTATAAAAACTATTAGAGATGGGAGGATCACTTGAGCCCAGCAGTTCGAGATGAGCCTAGGCAACACAGTAAGACCCCATCTCTACAAAAAATAGAAAAATTATCCAGGTATGGTGTCATCTGACTGTAGTCTCATCTACTCAGGAGGCTGAGGCAGAAGAATCAATTGAGACCAGGAGGTGGAGGCTGCAGTGAGTTGTGATTGCACCACTGCACTCCAGCCCGGGTGACAGAACAAGACCCTCTCTCTAAAACAAAACAAAACAAAACAAAAAAAACTTAAAGTTTTTAAACCAGAATAATAAAAATAAAAAATGATGTGGGTATATAAAATACTTTTCACGTCATAATACCTTTAAAAGATAGCTGATCATTTAAAGCAAAAATAATAAAAATGTATTGTGTTTATAATATATGCAGAAGAAACTGTAACAAGAAAGAACAGGAGGGGAAATATAAGTATATTTTTTAAAGATCCTTACATTATATTTGAGGCAGTACAGTATCATTTGAAGGCAGGTTGTGGTATTTAAAGTTAAAAGATATATACTGTAGACCCTCAAATAATAACAAAATAAAAATAACAACAAAATAATAAAGTGATATAACTAAATTGTAGAGATAAAATTTAGTTAGTAAAAAAAACCCTAAAGTAAACTGAATATAAAAAGAAGCGGAAAAGAGGAAGGAACAAAAAACAAATGTGGCAAATACAAAATAAATAGCAAGATGGTTGACTTAAATCCAACCATATCAATAAATTACATTAAGTGTAAATAATTTAAAATTTCAATTACAAGGCAGAGATTATCAAATTGGATAAAAAAGCAAGACCTAACTATATGCTGCTTACAAAAACCCACTTTAAAAGTATAAAAACACAGGTAAAAGAATGTGAAAGTATACCAAGCTGGAGTGGCAATATTAATAACAGAATAAGCTTGAAGACAAAGAAGTCATTTTGTAATGACAAAGTTGTCAATTCACCAAAAAGACATAACAATACTAAATCTGTACACACCCAATAAGAGAACTTCGAAATAAATGCAGCAAAAAGTGGCAGAACTGACAGAAGAAATAGACAAATTCATAATTATAGTTGGAGACTTCAAGAGTTCTCACTTAGTAACAGACACAGACGAAGCAGAGAGAAAAATCAGTAAGGACAGAGACTTCAACAGCACTATCAAACAACCTGACCTAAAACACACACTCTACAAATGACAAATTGTTTTCATGCAGACATGTAACATTCACTAAAAATGGTTTTCATGTAGACACGTAACATTCACTAAAATGAACTATATGTTGGGCTATGAAATAAGTCTCAAAATATTTATAACTACTGAAATAATACAAACGATTCTCTTTGACTACAATAAAATTAAACTAGAAATCAATAATAGATTAAAATATATAGAAAAACTGCAAATATATGGAAATTAATCAACGCTTTTAAATAATCCAAGGGCTAAAAAAGAAATCACAAAGAAATTTTTAAAATATTTTGAAGAGAATGAAAATGAAAATGAAAATTTGTGGGTCATATCTAAAGCAGTACTTACAAAGAAATCTATAGCTGTAAATGTTTATATTAGGGAGTTTAAAAGTCCAAAATAATGGTCTAAGCTTCCACCTTAGGAAGCTAGAAAAAGAGAAAATTAAAATAAGTAGAAGAGGAGGAATCAATGAAAGAGACTGAATTTAATGTAATACTTTATTTAATAGAGAAATGAAAAAGAGGAAAAAAATCCAATGAAGTAAAAAAAAAGTTTTGAAAAGATCAATGAAATCAGTAAAACTCTAGCTATATTGATCAAGAAAATTTTAGCAAGGTGCAATGACTCATGCTTGTAATCCCAACACTCTGGGACACTAAAGCAGGAGGATCACTTGAGCCCAGGAGTTCAAGACCAGCCCGAGCAACATAAGGAGACCCTGTTTCTACAAAAACAAATAAAATAAAATGTGCAGGGCATAGTGGTGTGTGCTTATGGTCCCAGCTACTTGGGAGGCTGAGGTGGAAGTATTGCTTAAGCCTGGGAGATCAAGGCTGCAGTGAGCCATGATTGTGCCACTCTCCTCTGGCCTGCGTGACAAAGAGTGGGATCCTATTTCAAAAATAAAAATAAAAAGAAAGAAAATAAAAATTTTAAAAGACACAAATGACCAATAACAGAAATTCTACAGATTCTAATTCTAAAGCTTCTAAATGAATAGGGTATATCATCAAACATTTAAGGAAAAAAATCATACCAAGTCTACACAAACTCTCCCAGAAAATAGAAGAGGGGAGGATACTTTCCATTTCATGTTATGTAGTCAGCATTACCTTGACATCAAACCAAATAATGCAATGGCAATAAAATTGCAAACCAATGTCCCTCGTTAATATGTAAAAATCCTTAAGATATTAGAACATCACATCCAACCCCACGACCAAATGGGGTTCACTTCAGGAATGCAATGTTAATTCAACTTTTAAAAATGAATCCATGTAATTCACATTAACTGAATAATGAAAAAAAGCAAGATAATCTCAGTAGAGGCAGAAAAAAAACTGACAAAATTCAATACCAATTCATAATAAAAACTCTTAGGAAACTAAGAACAGGAAGGAACTTCCTCAACCTGATAAATAGCATCTTTGAATAATTACAGCTAACATTATATTTAAAGATAAAATACTAACCACTTTTCTCCCTAAGTTTCAGAACAAGGTAAGTATACCCACTTTTACCACTTCTATTCAATATTCCAGTAAAGGTCCTAACCAAGGCAATAAAGCAAGAAAATGAAATAAAAGGCATTCGGACTGCAAAGAAAGAATACAATTTATTCCCAAATGACACAACTGCATACACAGAACATCAGAAGGAATCAATCTACAAAATAGCTATCAGAATGAATACATGAGTTTGGCAATATAGTAGAATACAAGAACAACATATTTGAAAAGATTGTATTTCTAGGCTGGGCATAGTAATTCATGCCTGTAATCCCAGCACCTTGGGAGGCTGAAGTGGAAGGATTGCTTGAGTACAGGAGTTTGAGATCAGCCTGGGTAACATATCAAGACTCCAAAAAGTTTTTAAAAATTAGCCAGGAGCAGTAGCACATGTCTGCAGTCCCAGCTACTCAGTAGGCTGAGGTGGAAGGATCACTTGAACCTGGGAGGTTGAGGACGCAGTGAGCTGTGATCACACTAATGCACTCCAGCCTGGGTGACAGGGTGAGACCCTGTCTCAAAAAAAAGAAAAAAAAAAGAAATTGCATTTCTATGTATTTCTACTAGAAAATTTAAAATTTAAAAATACTGTTTCAAGGGTATGAAATACCTATGAATAAATTTAACAAGCTATGCAAGATCTATACAATGAAAACAAAATACTGCTAACAGAAACTGAAGAAAACCTAAATAAATGGAACGATATATACTGTGATCATGAATTGGAAGATTCAATATGGTTAATGTGTCAGTTATCCCCAATAATCTAGAAACTCAATGCAATTCAACCAGAATCCCAGCAGGCTTTCTGTAGAAAGTGACAAACTGATTCTAGAATATTACTGTGAGAAGGGATCCACAGGCTTTACTAAATTGTCAAAAGGGTCTATGGCACAAACCAAGGTTTTAAAGCCCTATCGCTCTCCAAATTGTCAACTTCCAGGTGTACTCTTTCCTAAAATTGATTTGCCTGAGAACAAGTCTATGTCCTGAAGATTTTCCTTAACCACTTCTTTGTTCACAATTTTTTCCCACTTGACTAAAACAAAGTATTTCTCTCAGCCATCCCAGTGTTACTGTAGGCCATTTTCCTAGGTGTAAAAAAATTTTGTGGGAGGAGGGGGATGCAATCTGTAGATTTAATTCTATGAGAAAGCCACTTAAGAGTAAAGCACAAGGAAGTTTGATAAGAAATACTAAAGGAGGCTGTACCTTGCTTCTTTCAGGACAGATGTTAATAACAACAAGAACCCACGCCTTATCTACCACAGAACTACAGTTAAGAAGATGGTTGTCACAGAGATATATAGGAACACATTTATTTCAATTGATAAACTCCAAGGTTTTGATAAAGTAAAGCACTATCACAATATACGACAATTTAGAAATTAGATCTTTTGCAACTATTTAAACTCTTGACAAAAAAACTCCAGCTGTGATCAACTTAAAAAATGTGCAAGAGGAGCACATGTTATTCAAAATTATTGGATACACAAGCAAAAATATTTGAAGACCACTGATCTCAGGTAGTTTGTATCCTGTTTTCTCTATTAACGAAATTATACTTATGTAAATATAACCCACTTTCTTCTATTAAAGATTTGAACTGTCTGTAAATGGAAATGGAGACTGACTTTCCCTTTTTAATTTAATGCTGCATTTTTGTAAGCAGCTAGAAAATGTTGCTACTGGCATTATGAAAACATTTACTGGCTATGCCAAGTTGTTCTCTATGAACATCTGCTGTTGATTTTGACGGGAAGGTGAAAGGATACAAAATTCTATTTAAAACCATACATATCTATTCCTCTAACGCTGCCTGACAAGCTATATATTAAATGCCGTGCATCTTGTTATACACTGAGAATACAGAGGTTCTTCTTTTTAGGGACTCCGTCCAATAGCAGACTCAGTCCTCCAAAGAGTTACAGCAATTAACTTGTGGTAAGAATGTACATGCTATGGAAATATTAAGATGGGCTCAAAACTATAAAGTAAGGGGGGAAGGAGTATTCCAGAAGGGATTATAATACCACGTGCCAAGATATGTAAGGGAGGAAGACTATGGTGTGGTCTGCAAACTACAGTTACATATGAAAACAAAGCATATTTTCAGAATTGATATTCAAATTTGAGATGCTATCCATCATCCAGAGTCAACACTGATGTACGTATGGCAAAGAACAGGCATGGAAATTCATTTGGTGGTTTAATATTTACTGAGTATCCACTATGTATCTGATACCATATGAGAAACTGGGAAGGAAGTAAATGAAAAATAAGCTATGAAAAATCTTACATCAAAGGGAGAAGACAGACAAGTAAAACCACCACAGCACTAGCCTACAGAGTGATAAAACGCTACAGAATATACATGCACAGTGTTATAGGAACAAAAAGAAGAGGAATAGAATGTTTCCCAAAAACAGTAATGCTAGAGGAGTAAACTGGATAGAGAATAGGAGAATTGTAGGAGTAAAATCACAAAGCAAAAACCAAGTTCAGTTAAAAGCTGAAGAAAAAGAAGAAAGTATGGCAAAGGAGGCTAAAAAGCCAGATCACCAAGGACATTGAGTAGTAAGAAATCAAGCTATGGAAGCCACAGAAGGGTTTCAGGCATCAGTAAGATGATCAATCACTCTATCAAGCAGAGTGAAAGATATACTAAAGGTGGAGGCTGAGAATATGGCAAGACTGAAGAGAACTTCAATATGCAATTCAGGGATATTTATAATTCAGAATATATAAAAGCAAGAAAATAAAGGAAATATGGTCAAGGAAGATAGAGAAGAGATGGTGGGTAAAGGAGGTATTTCAAAGGTGCTAGTTATACAGATATTTATTTTGTATTTACATGTTAAACTACGTTATATACTTTTATGTGTTATATTTCACATTTTAAACAAATTTTTAAAGGGAGAAGCGTTGCTGAATTACAAAAATAGCAGTGAGAAAGGAGAAGAAAGGAAAAATTAAGAAACAAGTTAAAACCAAGAGAAGAAAAGAACGAAACTAAGAATCCTACCCCACCCCCAATTTCACAGTCTAGGTGGAAGGTGAAGCCATTTACCAACGACATATAGAAGCCAGTTGTTTTATAGGGGAAGAACTCAACTTGGACATGTAGAATTTGAGCTGCCTGAATGACACTCAGATGGAGATATCTAATAGGTTTTTAGACATGCAGGCCAAAAACTTAGAAAAAACCGTCCAGACTGAAAGTAAAAATTGGTGCACGATGAGCCAGTATGGTAGACTATGGCCTTGAAAAATATCACCCAAGAATACCATGAAAATTACAGAAGGCCAAGGACAGAGTAATCTCCAAGGAGCCTGTAAAATAAGACCTGAACTTAAACGAGATTTTGAATTATTAGCATAGCCATTTGACATATAAGAAACCTAAGAGTCCAAATACCTTTTCTTAAAATGATAGCTTTTCATTTTTCCTTTGATTAATGAAGAAAAAAGCCTATATTTTCCAATGACAAAGTTATAAATGATGGAAATTCTTAGTCATGTAAGGCATTTCTCATTGTACACCATTTATTATAATTCACTTGAAATTCAATCATCTGCCCTTCCTAAATTTCAGCCAAAATAGGATTTGGGGTAGCTTCAGTATGATTCCAAGACTGTGTATCTCTCTACCATCTAGCTCAGCCATCACCTGGCTTTCAATAGAACCAGCATGTGAATCTGTTGTAATACTAGATTTTACGTGCACCTGGCAGAAAGTAGGATGAGTATTACAGCATCTGACAGCAGGTAGCTGAAAGGAACTGGCAATTCTTTCAGTCCTGCCTGCTCATGAATTCTAGATACAGCAAGAAATGTAACAGGTAAAATTATATTTATGCTTAACAAAGACTTCCTGAATTTTCAAATAACATGACTACAAACAGTCCTATACTTCCCCAAGAATATATTTTTACTTTTTTCCCCAGCTTCCCAAGCTTACAATCCCAAGAATAAAATATTATAAAGCAGAATGAGCTTCCATTTTTGTTGAAGTCACTGCAATGCAAATAAAAGGCTTACCGTAATTACATCTGGCAATGAAGTTACATTTAATAACTTTCAGTCTCATGGCACCTAGCAGAGACTAGACTTTCAAAAAGCACAAAATAATAGACACTGACTACAAAGAACAACAATATAAAACAAAGAAACTCAAAATAGTTTGCTTTATCCCTTAAAGGGGCACAAAGGTCTGAGATTTGTATGTAAATGCCTGAAAATAAGAGAATACCATTTATATCATCATTTATAGTTATTCAATGAATTTTTGTAATTCTAATTAAGAATTACATTCAAGAATTACATTCAGAAGACATGAAATACGGTTAAATACTTCACAAAATCTGGGGGAAAATACGTGTGCTTATACTCCCATATGCAGTACTTACCTGTTTGTATCTAAAGAAAGATGATCTTAAGATATATTCTCTCTCTCTTTTTTTTTTTTTTTTTTTTTTGCTGCTCTGCAAGGAGCAGGGCTAACTTTAAGGCCAGAGTTGGCCTTAAGATGTATTCTTGAAATATACATTTCTGCTTGTGGGAGCACTCAGAGATTACTAGAAGTTTTTTAAAAGAAAGTTTTCAAAAACTGGATAATGCTCTTCTTTGTTCTATACAGAAATCATGTTTAATCTTATACAGAACAAAGATTAAACCAGCTGAGTATAATCATTCTCTTTACAATTACAAAGAGTATCTAATTATCAGACATAGTTAAGCCAGAACAGATTACAGAAGACAAGCCTGATTTTAAAAACGAACATAAAAAACTGAAAAGACTTAGCAATGTACAGCCAAGTTAGTACACAAATTATTGGGTACCTACTAGATGAAAAGCACCATGCTAAATGCAGGGGGAGAAACAAGAAGTAAAACATTCAGTTTCTGTCACTGGTCACAAATTTTAAGACCACTGTACAATAAGATTTAAGATTTAAAAAGCAACATGAGGCCAGTGGCTCATGCCTGTAATCCTAGCACTTTGGGAGGCCAAGGCAGGAGGATCACTTGAGCTCAGGAGTTCGAGACCAGCCTGGGCAACATAGTGAGACCCTGTCTCTATGTAAATAAAAATATTAAAAAAAAAAAAAAAAAGAAAGCAACATGAAATTTCAGGCAACATACGCTTAAATATCAAATTAGTAATTTAAACAATAAGTAAGATCTGAGGAAAGATTACATCCAAGTTTTTTGAAGCTACTTCCAGCCCATGTATTTAGTGAACTATAGTTTTTACAACAAGAAGTTAATCAGATTCTTGAAATTATTGTAATTTTTTTTTAAAGCAGTAGCAGAGGGGTGACAGTTTCTCACTATTCAGGCCTTCCAGCTAGAGAAGAGGGACAAGGAATAACTGAGTAGGAAATTAGATTAAATGATCACTTCCTTAAAGTCTACAGTTCTTCCTTAATTTAAGAAAGTATAAAATCTCGGCCAGGCGCGGTGGCTCACGCCTTTAATCCCAGCACTTTGGGAAGCCGAGGCGGGTGGATCACGAGGGTCAGGAGATCGAGACCCTCCTGCCTAACACGGTGAAACGCCGTCTCTACTAAAAATACAAAAAATTAGCCAGGCCTGGTGGTGGGCGCCTGTAGTCCCAGCTACTCGGGAGGCTGAGGCAGGAGAATGGCGTGAACCTGGGAGGCGGAGCTTGCAGTGAGCCGAGATCGCGCCACGGCACTCCAGCCTGGGTGACAGAGTGACACTCCGTCTCACAAAAAAAAAAAAAAAGTATAAAATCTCAAATACAATGTATGAAAACAAACTCATAAAACACAAGTACTGTCTAAGACAGTGGTTTTCAAATTCTGGTGAACATCTAAATAACCTGGATAACTTCTTAAACCACATAGATGCCTAGGTAGTATCTCAAACCTTTGGAATCGGAACCTATAAAGGTGAAGTATATCTGTATCCTGAGAAAGCTCCGTAAGTGATTCTGATGAACAGCAAAGTGTTAAAATTAAGTTACATGGTTAAGTACACACTCTTCAGTGGTAAGGAAATCTGAGTTCAAATGCCAATTCTAATATTTACTAGAGCCATCACCAACTAACTACCCACCCTAACACTATTTCTAATCTACAAAAAGGGGAAAAGCTAGCTATACCTCAAGTGATTGTTATAAGGATTAACAGTGATGATAAGATAAAATGTTTAGTACAATTCTTGGCCCATTCAGTAAGCATTAAATGAATTCATTCATTTAATAAACATTCAGCACTTACACATCAGGAGATGAGGAACATCTAATTAATTTATTAAGTATTAATAAACATGACAACTCTTCAATGGTGTGGTAAGAACATATAATCAGGAGAATGTATTCTAATCAGGAAAGTCTTCCCTGAAGTGAGCTGAATGATGAATAGGCATAATTGGCTAAAAAAAGAAAGGAAGGGCATTTCCAAGCAGAGGAAGTAGCATAACCAAAGCCACATACTTGAAGCAGGAGAACAGAAAAGACAGGGTGACTAGGGGAGAAAGGGAATGTCAGAAAGCACAGTGGAGATGAGTTTGGAAAGGGGACCGACTATGCAGGGCTTGTAGGGCATGTTAATGTGTTCGATTTACTTAAAAATGGTGAGAAGCCACTGAAAGATTTTAAACACTAAGACAATGTTATTAGGTCTGCATTTTGAAAAAGTCACTAAGTCTTGTTTGGAAAACTACAGGAGACCACAGTAGATGCAAGCAGACCATAATCAGGAGGCTACGGAAGTAGTCAGGATGAGAGATGGTGGTGGCTTGGAACAGGACTACTGTTACAGACGAAGAGCAGACAAGAGTCAAGAGATATTCAAGAGGCAAAATCAACAGGACTTCATGAGAGGCTGAGTATGAAGCACGACAGAGGAATTGTCAAACTTCAACTTCTATACAAAGGAATGGATAGTGATGCTACCCACGGAGTTAAACACAGTAAGAGGAGCTATTTTTCTTCTTGGGGTGGGGGAAGGGAGGTATATCATGAATTTCAAACATGTGAATATGAGTAGTTATTCCCAGTAACAGGGTTGATCTGTCTAGAAAGTATTCCACAGTATAGAAGTACAATGTGCCTGTATTTATTTTACTGGGTATTTATGAATCTTAGAGACAAAATAGGTTTCTGCATGTGAGTAATGTAAATCTAAAGAGAATGAAGGCCCTTACCTTCCATTAGGTTCCCTTCCTTTACACAATCCCCCAAAAGCATTCTTTATGATTACAGTTTAATGTTGCCTCAAGAAGTAATTTATATACTCAGCTGATTTCATTTTTAAATATTTTAAAAATATTTGTGCTAAAGAATAAGACAGCAAACCAAACAACAACAAACCTGCAAAGTCCAAAAGGAATCTTCAAGCACCTGACTTTCAAGCCATCACCAGAACATAATGGGGTTTTACAGTGGCAGGCTGATTTGGAGCATTTTTGCTAAACTATTTATTTTTCAGAACGGAGATAGGCTACTTAGAAAACTCACTCATAGTATCCAATGTTTTTAGAAAGTGTCATCACAAATAATTCCTGAGTTTGACGTACTAAAAAATAGTTGACACCTTCCAATGAAGTCACTACAGGCATAGCGCTTTTAAGCAGCTTGTCTGGAGCCTCCTCGAGTGCCTTAGAGGGTGGATTTGATAATATGGCCTCCTTAATTACGGATCACAGGTATGTGCTCAAAGTCCAATAAGTTTTTGCAAGCTTTATCGGTCTAAACCCTCCTCCATCCGTATTCTCCCGTTTAGAAAAACAAGACTGCAGGAGTAACCGTGGGGTTTTTTCTCTTAACAAAACCCCTGCCCCACCCACCTCACACACAATAACCTTCCATTCCAGAACTAAAGCTACTGTCAGAGAAGGACGGCGGGCGGCAGGGCCCTGGCTGGTGACCCAGGCTACCGGATTCCGGACCTCAGAACTGAGGTGAACTCTCTCACCCGGTCCTAGAGTAGTGTCCAATGTCCCCGAAAGGTACTACGTTCTCCACCACCGAAACCCGAGCTCTCGAGCCGGCATGGGGGGCTCTCCCTCCGGCAGCTGACTTCGATCCCGGGTCTCCCGTCGCCTCAAGGCCTCTTTCGAGGACTCGGCCCTCTCGGATCCGCTCCCCGGAGCTCGCTGCTCGTCCAGCCCCGCTTTGCGCGGGCGCCGACCGCCGATCGCCCGGCCGGCCGCCGGCAGGCCCGTCACCAGGCAACACCCACCAGCCTGAGCGGCCCTGGGAGGCCTAACCCGGGCGCGAGTCCTCCATTCCCTCCTCGCCGGCTCCGGGAGCCCAGGCGAGAGAGCCGCCGGTGAGGGAGGTCGGTCGGTGCCGGCGGCCGGTCACTTACCTCTTCCTTCTTCCAGGAGGGGCGGTGCTGGGGCTCTTTCCCCCCGCCCCCCTAATAAACGCCTCCTGGCTGTTCCTGCTCTGCCTTCGTGCCTGGCCACTGACTCTGGCTTTACTCCATATCCTCCGCCGCCCCCGCGGCCGCAAACGTCGGAGCTAGAAGGAAAGGGGTGGGGAGGGGAGGGACCGGGGACGAAGAGTAAGGGAGGGGGAAAAAGACTAAAAGACCTGCCGGCCGGGGGCATGACGTCACTTCCTGCCGGTTCGGAAGAGGCGGAGCCAGTACTTCTCTCCGCCCCGGGTGTCAGGTGGGGCGGGGCTATGGTGCCAGGGGAGGAGCCAGCGCGCGAGCTTATGGCGGTTCTTTTGACTCCGAGGTTCCGTAGACTTGTCAGTCAGAACGAGCTTCCGGGCCCAGGGCTGAACGGGCCAAGTTCCAGGAACCGTAGAGATGGCTTCTGCCGGAAAAGGAGGACAGGTAGCCCTGTATATCCTAGCCAAATGTGCAGTGAAGGTGGAGGGGGCAGCTGAAGGGAGCAGGCGGCTGGGACTCTGCTCCTCATTGGTCCAGGGCCCCGCCCATTTCCTAGCCCCGCCCCCTTCCTGCCCTACCAGGCACTGGACTGGGGGACCCAGGACTGAGGCTTTTTAGGGGTTACTGTGGTGAAGTGCCCTTGGAGCGTGCAGGAAAGCGTTTTTTCTCAAACTTTAATATACATACGAATCCCTAGGATCTTGTGAAAGTGCAAATTCTGATTGAGGAGTAGGGTCTGATAATCTGCGTTTCTAATACATGTCCAGATGGCACCAATGCTGCTGGTCCCTAGGCTACACTTACAGCAACAAGGGGTTAATGTACTAGAGGGCAAATTCCTTGAGCTAGAGGAGTTATTTCTTTAATCTAGCCTACTTGTTTAATGAAGGTTAGAGAGGTAGACTGTCTATGGAAAACAGGCTGTACCGCTGTATTTTCCACCTACCCCGTCGAGTACCCTCCTGCCCACCTCCGCCCATCACTTTCTGGCCTCCCCTCCTCAGTCTCCGCTCTGCCCACAATGTCTGGGGATAAGATTTCTTGAGTGATTAGACGGGTAACTTCTGTTACAGAAGGAATTTGAGGGTGGTGGATTTTTATTTCTGTCATTTTATCGTAAACATATGTATAGTTGGGCATACTTTTGCGGTTATGCATAGTTGGAGAAGAGAGCTTAAGTTCTTGGATTCTACCCACTTCCCCCTGCAAATCTAGAAAAAACATTCTAGAAGTTCTAAGTTATTCCCTTATCATTCTTTAATTTTTTTAATTAATTTTAATTAAATTTAATTTTAATTAAAATTTTACTGGGGTACGGAAGAATGAAGAATGACTGCGAACTATAGGTTTCTTTGTGGAATGATGCAATGGTCTGAAATTAGATAATAGTGATGGCTGCACAACTTTGTGAATGTACTAGAAACACTGAATTGTACACTTTAAAAGGGTACATCCTCTTTCATCAGCCACCATTACAATCCTTCTTCCCCAAGGTTACTCGTTTGAAGTTTATTCTTCCAGATCTTTCTATTTATTTACATACATTTTTACATAGGTTGGGAATTCATTTTTACCTAAGTAGGATAATAATATACAAGTTGTTCTGCTCAGCTCATTTTTAAAAAATTTTTGTTTTGGGTTTTTCTTTTTCCCTACTTAATGAGATCCTTGCACACTATAAACATAGCTCTACTTCATTCTTTCTAATGGCTGGCTACTATTCTATAGTAAGGGTATACCATAATTTATTTAACTGTTTTTTTCAGGTAATAGACTGTTTTTTTTCCCTTGCCCAGGCTGGAGTGCAATGGCGTGATCTCGGCTCACCGCAACCTCCACCTCCTGGTTCTAGCAATTCTCCTGCCTCAGCTTCCCAAGTAGCTGGGATTACAGGCGTGCGACACCATGCCCAGCTAAATTTTTTTGTGTTGTATTTTTGGTAGAGATGGGGTTTCACTATGTTGGCCAGTGTGGTCTTGAACTCCTGACCTCCACCTGCCTCAGCCTCCCAAAGTGCTGGGATTACAGGCTTAAGCCACTGCGCCTGGCCAACTGTTTTTGTTTCTAATTGAGACAGGGTCTCACTCTGTTGCCCTGACTGGAGTGCAGTGGCAGGGTCACAGCTCACTGCAGCCTCGGCCTCCCTGGCTCAAGTGATCCTCCCACCTCAGCCTCCTGAGCAGCTGGGACTATAGGAGCACGCCACCATGCCCCACTAATTTTTTGTATTTTTTATAGAGTCTCCCTGTGTTGCCCAAGCTAGTCTTGAAATCCTGAGTTCATGCGATCCTTCTGCTTCAGCCTCCCAAAGTGCTGGGATTACAGGCATGAGCCACTGAACCTGGCCAGTAATAGACATTTTGATTGTTTTTAGGTTTTCATTATTTCTCAGCAATTTTTTTTTCTTTTTGCCCAGAGAAGTGGGATTTCTGTTATTTGGAGAGTAAGTTCAGCATGTGATAAGGCAATTTTTTTTCATTATGCAATATGTCCATGTAAAATAAGGCACATCTTTATCTAAACCCCTTAATCGGGAGCAACAGTGGAAGCACTTTCTAGAGCCCAATATCTCTACAATGTTTGGTAGTTTCACTTCATAATTTAGATAATTGGGTTATATTCAAGTATTCAGCTCAAGTGGGTATGTGACCCTCTTTCATTTTTCAGCAAACTTTTTTTTTTTTTGAGACAGAGTCTTGCTCTGTCACCAAGGCTGGAGTGCAGTGGCGCGATTTCAGCTCACTGCAACCTCCATCTCCTGGGTTGAAGAGATTCTCCTGCCTCAGCCTCCCGAGTAACTGGGATTACAGGCGCATGCCACCACGCTCGGCTAATTTTTGTATTTTTAGTAGAGGTGGAGTCTCGTCATGTTGGCCAGGCTGGTCTCAAACTCCTGACCTCAGGTGATCTGCCTGCCTCGGCTTCTGAAAATGCTGGGATTACAGGTATGAGCCACTGTGCCTGGCCTTAGCAAACTTTTTAAACAGCTGGTTTAAACAATTAAAAAAATTGATTATTTAGTTCTTTGCCTTGATCTCCCTAATGAAGAACTAACCATTGTTCAAAAGGGCAAAAAGAAAAAAGAAAAGGCAAAGAGTTTGGTGAAGCCACAACTCTGTAATAATCAATACTCAAGTGTATTTGCATTACTTTTAAATATGCCCTAAAATAACATTCTTGAAGATTCGGTATAACTAGTAGTTAACCATGTAATAAGGGTATATAAATTCATATAATAATGTATTTCACATCAGTAAAGCAAGTTCCCAGGTTTACTCTGTTTTTATTGGCAGACCCACATGGTGCAACTTAGTAAATATACTATAGTTTATGTAAGATGTGAGATGACACGTAAGAAGGACATTACCAGCAGATATGCCTTCAACAAGCATAAGGTTGTCAAAACTGAAAAATTTGCATATTTTTGTATAATCTAGATTTGTTAGAAATGCATATTTAATTTTTTTCAGGATGCTCTGGTCCTTTTCAAGCTACTCAGCTATGGGATGGTATTATTCACTCTCTTCAGGCCCAAGTGGAAATAAAAAGAAGGAGGCATCATTTACAGACATACAAAGACTGTTTCACTGGTTCTGATGCTGTCGATGTGGTCTTAAGTCATCTTATGCAAAACACGTGCCTAAGTAGCAATGACATCTCTTGTCTTAAAGGGGTTCATCTTTGCCAAGTTCTAATGAATCACAAAGTATTTGAACCAGTAGGAATGAAGAAGCTTTTCAAAAAAGAAAAGGAATTAGAATTTGAAGATTCCAACATTAGTCTCTACAGGTTTCTAGGCAATAAATCATCTTACGATTGTTGCAAAAGACAAAAGGATGCTGAGAATGAGTTCAATGAAACCTTGAGGTTAGTGTTACCTAAGATACTGTAATATATTTTATTTAGACCCTAGAAGAACTGTCTTTATTGAGCTAAACTCGAATGTGTACTTTTTTCAGAAGCCAATTAAAAAAAAAAATCCATGTGAAAATTAATCCACTTATGCATTTCCTCTAAAACTGGAATGATGCAATAGACTAGAATTAGATAATAGTGATGGCTGCACAACTTTGTGAATGTACTAGAAAACACTGAGTTATACACTTTAAAAGGGTGACTTTTGGCCAGGTAGGGTGGCCCACGCTGAGGCAAGACGGACAGATCACTTGAGATCAGGAGTTCGAAACCAGCCTGGCCATTATAGCAAAACCTCGTTTCTACTAAAAATACAAAAATTAGCGGGATGTGGTGGCAGGTGCCTGTATTCCTAGCTACTCAAGAGGCTGAGTGAGGCACAAGAATCGCTTGAGCTGGGGAGGTGGAGGTTGCAGTTAGCCAAGATTGTGCCACTGTACTCCAGCCAGGGCGACACAGCAAGAATCTGTCTCAAAAAAAAGTGAATTTTATGGGATGTGAATTATATCTCAGTAGTTTTTACTGTTTCCAATATAGCAGCATCTGTTGCTGTAACCAAAAATATATATTATTCCTTTTCCTTTACAACATTTTGTTTTCCTTAGAGCAAATACAGTTTTGTTTTCTGTTTTGCTTAGTTGTTGAAGACATTATCACATAAATTTTTCAGAGTTTATACCAGGAAAAACTATGTCTTCTAAGGAATGGATATGCTTTCTAATTTGAAAAATGACTTAGCCAGTGTACTAAAAGCCAAGGTTTTCTGGAAACTCAGAACAAAAATTTTCTATTCCATCATAACAACTATGTTAACCTTAGAATTAGCATATATGCTTTTCTTCTTTATTTAGAATTCTAATTTGTCCTCTTTTGGTGATAGTCTATTAAATGAATTATTTGCATCTTTTATTATAAGCTGCCTGAAATCGTTTTTGGAAATAGAGAATGTATGAATAAATTTTAATACATTAATTTAAATATATATTTGAAATTTTGGTTCTGTGTATAATGAAAAGAGCCACGTATTATTTTTTAACAGACCAGGATATGAAATGATTTCAAATCCTCTAGCACAGGAGATTGGTGAGGAAAGAATTGAGGAACTTATTCATACAATAAATGGGAATCCAGCTTTATGTCCAAATATCACAGTTCAGAAACCTTTTCTCCGGCTTTCAAAAGAAGGTAATTTGTTTTCATTATTTTTTCAGAACATGGTAAGGAAGAACTAACTTCTTTTTAACAGGTTCTTATAAGCAGTTTCAAGGTCACGGCAAAATAGAGCAGAAAGTACAGTTCCCACATACCCCTTGCTTCCACTCACACACAACCTTCCCCATTATCAACATCCTGCAACCAAGTGGTGCATTTGTGATAATCAATGAATCTACATTGATACATCATTTTCACCCAAAGCCCATAGTTTACATTAAGGCTCAGCCTTGGTGTTGTACATTCTATGGGTTTGTACAAATTTTTGATGACATATTATCTGTCATTATAGTATCATACAGAATAGTTTCAGTGCCCTAAAAATTCTCTGTGCTTTACCTACTCATTCCTCCCTTCTCTCTAACCTTAGGCAACCACTAATATTTTTACTGTTTCCAAGAACTGACGTTTTAAATGTGATTTAAGTAGTGTATTAGTGTGTTGACTCCCTCCTTCTCTTCCCTGTAGGAGTTTCCTTCTACACAGCAATTACATCAGATAAGACAGGTGAGGCAATATACATCTAATAACACTTAATTCATTTTTTACAATGACTGTGACCAGATTAACTGGAGGTGCTATAGTCTGCACTGCAAGAGAAAACATACGGACTCACCACAGTCCTTAGTATTTGTCCTGCAAGACCATCTTCTTAATGAGTGTATCCTTTGTCCATTGTGTAAACTCCTCCCAAACATCTTCCTACTCTTTCCCTTTCTCAGAACAAACTAGCTAAACTACCTGTTGCACCACTCCTCTTTACTATTTACTTCATCTACTTGTGTTTTTCTCCTTAAAATGCCACTAATGGCAGATAAAAGAGCACCATAGCCAGGGCAGTTAGGAGAGATACATACAAAATTCATTAATGGCCCTTTACTCCATTTGGTCAAACCATGACAGAAGCAAGACTAGCTATGACTTGCACACTGGAGGACTGTGATTTATCAACAATAGTTAACATTGGCATGATAAAGGAAATACAGGGTGCCCAAAGAAAGGGTGTAGAATTGAGAAGAAGAACTAAAAGAGAACTCTTTTTTTTTTTTTTTTTTTGAGACGGAGTCTCGCTCTGTTGCCCAGGCTGGAGTGCACTGTTGTGATCTTGGCTCACTCCAACCTCTGCCTCCCAGGTTCAAGTGATTCTCCTGCCTCAGCCTCCAGAGTAGCTGGGACTATAGGCGCCCGCCACCACACCCGGCTAATTTTTGTATTTTTTAGTAGACACGGGTTTCACCATGTTGGCCAGGTTGGTCTCGAACTCCTGACCTCAAGTGATCCACCCACCTTGGCCTCCCAAAGTGCTGGGATTACAGGCGTGAGCCTCCTTGGCTGGCCATTGAGACACAGTTTCACTCTTTCGCCCAGGCAGAAGTGCAGTGGTGTGATCTCAGCTCACTGTAAACTCTGCCTCCCAGGTTCAAGCAAGTCTTGTGCCTCAGCCTCCAGAGTAGTTGGAACTATAGGCGTGTGCCACCATGCCTGGCTAATTTTTTATTTATTTATTTATTTTTTGTATTATTAGTAGAGATGAGGTTTTGCCATATTGGCCAAGCTGGTCTTGAACTCCTGACCTCAAGTTATCCACCCGCCTTGGCCTCCCAAAGTGCTGGGATTATAGGTGTGAGCCACCATGCCTGGCCGTAAGAGAACTCTGATGAAGACTAATATTTAAAGGGCAAGCAGGAGAGTCCCCCAGAAGTACAGTTTTTATCTAGTACAAATGAAAAAATAACTTTTCCCATTATTTTTTCTTGAGGTCATGACGTACCTCTAGAAATTTCAAACTAAAAGTGGATATGATTTATCAGTAAAGGCCAGGGCACGGTGGCTCACGCCTGTAATCCCAGCACTTTGGGAGGCCAAGGTGGGTGGATCACTTGAGGTCAGGAGTTCAAGACCAGCCTGGCCAACATGATGAAACCCCATCTCTACTAAAAATACAAAGATTAGCCAGGTGTCGTGGTGCGTGCCTATAATCCTAGCTACTCTGGAGGCTGAGGCATGAGAATCACTTGAACCCGGGAGGCAAAGGTTGCAGTAAATGGAGATCGCGCCTTTGCACTGCAGCCTGGGCAACAAGAGCGAAACTCTGTCTCAAAAAAAAAAAATTCTATAGGTAATAATAAGAATAATTTCCACTTATTTTGGACCTTTCTCTGTGCTAAGCAATTTGTTATGCATTTTATATTTATCCATGATTTTACAGTAGCCTGTAAAGTGAAGGGTAAAACTTGCATTTTATAGTTAGGGAAACAGAATCAGAAGGATCACATTAAAAAAAAAAAAAAGACATAGGAGGGAATGAAAGCTGTCACTCTAATGTGGGTTTTTAAAAGTATTATCCTTACCCTTGTTTTATAGGCACATAACGTAACCGTTCAAATAGCTGTTCTAGTTTTGTTACAAAAAAATAGCAGTTCCCCACCCTTTCATTCCCTCCTCCCCAGACAGGCCATTTACAACTCGTATCTCTAAATAGCATGCTTATATTGTTACTTTATGATTTTTCAGTTTTAGGCACATCCATTAATTTTCTAAAAGGGAAAATGGGGATTTGTGTCTCTTTCCCTCCCTGTATCTATCTTACGAATACTTCCCTATGCCCCCATCTTTTAATATAATTAGATTGCTTTGATTAGAGCAATACAGCATGTTTACATTATTTTGTAGAAAAGAGCTATTCAGAGTTGAGGTATGTAATAAACCATCTGTTGTTATAACTGAAAATATATATTATTCCTTTTCCTTTACGACGTTTTGTTTTCCTTAGACCAAATACATTTTTGTTTTCTGTTTTGCTTGGTTTTTTACATTCATACACATTTTCACCTACAAACACTCCAACACTTATCCAAATCACCTGCTGGCATGCTCAGGTGTATCAGGTATTTTTATCAATTTCATCTTCTTGGGGAAATCCCCTTCATAAGGTTTCTCATGTCTCAATAACGGACTGGCTGCCCTCTATACTTGGTGCATGGTTGTCATCCTGGTGTCTGCCTTTACCATGATCATGGGGATTACCTTTGCCTGTTATATTGTAGATCTCCTATGTCCTGCCTTCTGTGCCTTTTCTTGTTTACTGCTGATTTTAGTGGCACACATTTTCTAGTAGTTTCCTGACAAAGGGTACATGGGATATATATATATATTTTTTTTTTTTGAGACAGATTTTTGCCCTGTCGCCCAGGCTGGAGTGCAGTGGTGCGATCTCGGCTCACTGCAATCTCTACCTCCTGGATTCAAGTGATTCTTGTGCCTCAGCCTCCCAAGTAGCTGGGATTACAGGCACACACCATGACACACAGCTAATTTTTATGTTTTTAGTAGAGTCACAGTTTCACCATGTTGGTCAGGCTGGTCTCGAACTTTTGGCCTCGAGCAATCTGACCACTGCAACCTCCCAAAGTGCTGAGATTACAGACGTGAACCACCGCGCCTGGCCTGAGATAATTTTTTTGTTTGTATTTCTGAAATTTTCTGTATTCTAGCCTCTTATTTGATTGACAGAATTCTAGGTGGAAATAATTTCTCAAATACTTTTAAAGGTATTTCCCCATTGCCTTCTAGCTTCTTGTGTTGGTGTTGCAAAGCCTTGGCTGTGATATGAAGGAAGGAAAAAAGACTAAAGCCATTCTGATTAATGACACTTTGTATCTGATTTGTTCCCCATCTCCACCCCAAAACTTAAGAGTCTTCTCTTTGTCCCACACTTTCTGAAATTCTAAAGTAATATACTTTAAGGTAAATCTATTTTTACTTACTGGGCTGTTGCAATCTAGAAGTTTTTTTTATTTCATTGGTGATTTTCCCCATTTCTCCCTAACTCTACCTTCTCTGTTCTAATTCCGATCTCTTATTCAGATATTGGACCTTCTTAACTAGTCCTCTAATTTGTATATATTTTTCTCTCTTATTGTTCATGTTTTTGGGATTTTTTTGTTTTACCTACTAGGAAGTATCTTCAAATGTATCCTCCAGTTTTCTTATTGATACCTAAAAACACTTTTCCTTTTTTTCTTCTTTTTTTACTTTTTCCTCAAATCACTTTCAAGTTCTCAGAATTTCCTTTCTTGTGGCATCCTGTTTTTGTTTTATTGTTGCTTGTTTTGGTTACTTTTATATCCCTGGCACTTAGAACAGGAGTTTGAGACAGCAGTGAGCTATGATCATGTTATGGCACTCCAGCCTGGATGACAGAGCAAGACCCTATCTATCTATCTATCTATCTATCTATCTATCTATCTATCTATCTATCAATACATTTTAGAATTTCACATGAAATCTCCCGTTTTTATACATTAATTTTCTTCAAAGTACTTTATAACCAAACAGATCATGGCTGTGGGCCAAATTTAGTCCACAGGCCACTGGCTTGGGAGCTCTGCAAGAAACTTACTATAACTGTTGCTTTTGTAGTTTTGTTAAATAAAAGGAAAACCAGGCTGGTCCAAATGCAATGGTGTTTACAACTAATTGATAACAACCAGTTAACAGATTTCTTTGTTCCTTCTCCACTTCCACTGCTTCACTTGACTAGCCTTAAAAAACAAAAAATAGGTTGGGCACAGTGGCTCACATCTGTAATCTCAGCACTTTGGGAGGCCAAGGCAGGCAGATGACCTGAGGTTGGAAGTTCAAGACCAGCCAGACCAACATGGAGAAACCCCGTCTCTACTAAAAATACAAAATTAGCTGGGCGTGGTGGCGCATGCCTGTAATCCCAGCTACTCGGTAGGCTGAGGCAGGTGAACCTCCTGAACCTGGGAGGCAGAGGCTGTGGTGTGCCATTGCACTCCAGCCTGGGCAACAAGAACAAAACTCCATCTCAAAAAATAAATAAATAAATAAAAACAGGCTGGGCACAGTGGCTCACGCCTGTAATCCCAGCACTTTGGGAGGCCAAGGCGGGTGGATCACTTGAGGTCAGAAGTTTGAGACCAGCCTGGCCAACATGGTGAAACCCTGTCTCTACTAAAAATACAAAAATTAGTCTGGCAGGGTGGTGCATGCCTGTAGTCCCAGCTACTCTGGAGGCTAAGGCAGGAGAATCACTTCAGCGGGGAGATGGAAGTTGCAGTGAGCCGAGATTGCACCATTGCACTCCAGCCTGGGCAGAGTGACACTCTGTCTCAAAAAGTAAGTAAATAAATAAAAATAAAAATAAAGGAAAAACAAAGTATTATGATGATGGTTAGGGTGATGAAAAACTTAACAGGAACTTAACAGGAATGACTGGAAATCCAAGACAAAATTAGCCTAATACTGTATTTTAGTTTAAAAACAATGAACTGGCCTGGCGCAGTGACTCACGCCTGTAATCCCAGCACTTTGGGAGGCCGAGGCGGGCGGATCACTAGGTCAGGAGATCGAGACCATCCTAGCTAACACGGTGAAACCCCGTCTCTACTAAAAACACGAAAAATTAGCCGGGCATGGTGGTGGGCGCCTGTAGTCCCAGCTACTCAGGAGGCTGAGGCAGGAGAATGGCGTGAACCTGGGAGGCGGAGCTTGCAGTGAGCTGAGATCTCACCACTACACTCGAGCCTGGGCAACAAAGCGAGACTCCATCTCAAAAAAAAAAAAAACAAAAAACACAAAACAAACAAACAAAAAACAATGAACTACAATTATCTATGTTGCTATAAATAGAAAGATAAATAATTAGTAATCTCATTCTCTCAGATGTGTAATATAAGTTATAAGCATGACTAGTAGTTTTTTATATTTAGAATTAATGTTGGCCTTAAGAGCTAGATAATATATCTTTATAATCAGCATAACAGAAAATAAAATTAATATGGCTCATAACTCTGATGTTTAAGATCAATCTTGAAAAATTGTAATATAACAAATGTAAATTATCTAAGCATTAAATTAACCCATTATATTACTACTGAACTAGTTTTACTTTTGTATTATTTAGAAATAGAACGATTTATAATATTGGTTGAATGTGTATGTTTTATTTACCAATCTTGATCATTGCATTACTTTCCTTTTCAAGATGTTTGGAAAGAACAAACATTATTATGTCTTCTTCAATTGATTCACCTTCCATTCTTGGACAATATTTTGGAGCCTCCAGTTAAAACACAAAATCTTCAACTAAACAAAGAGGAAGATCTTGTTATCACTAACACTTGCCTAGACAGAGAACTTATTCCAAGCTTATGTCTACCTGAGTAAGTGACCATTTTTATTGTCAAATAATTTGTAAACAGTTTTTTTCACATATTTGCCCTTAGTATTTTAGGATGTGAGAAAATATTCATGTTATAAGCTTATACTATCTCTCTTTTATAAATTATCATTATGAATCCTCATTTGATCTAATAAAGCCATTGGTCATGACCTATAAGATCACTGGAAATCAGAGTGGTTTGGTTCGTACGAATTCATTTGTATGTCAATCATCTTCTCCCCGCATCATCCAAAATTCTGTCATTTCCATTTTATTACCCTAAATAATGCAACCATCCCAGTTTCTACCAGCTTATTTATCCCTGCCCTAAAAGAAACCGTAGTCTAGAAGGGGGAGACATACATGAGAGAAAAAATTATAGTCTGAAAGATAAGCCCTATCATAAAATCGGCCTAATTTGTAGATAAGAGATTAAAGGAACCCTGAATGAGGCTCCTTTCCCTTTTACTCCCAACGCCAAGCTATTTCTCACTTCTGAATAAAGCAGCTGCTGGAAACTATAGGCATTAGACCTTGAGTACTGTTGGGATTCCAGCAGGGAGAACTGATATAGTGCTTCCTCCCATGTGAGCCAAACAAGAAAAGAAGATGAGACACCAAGGCTGAGGAACAGAAAACTTCAGATCTTGTGAAGAGGTTAGTGATCAGAGACCTCTGGACCCTCTTAGTCAACTATGGTCCTGTTTGTACATGACAGATTTCTCTTATTCGCAGTAGGCCAAGAAAGACCCAAACAAAGGGCTGAGTCTTCCTGCCCTTGAGTCAGGGATAGTATAGGGACACCAGAAAAGAAACAGGATTTCTGCAGGTGCCGCTGCAGGAAACTCACAGCAGCCAGTCTGCCTTAAAAAGCTTCCAGGCAAAAAGGGCAGATTAGCTGTAAGAGAAAAGCAATCAAACTGTCATTAGTCTTTTCATCTGCAATACTAGGATCTAGAAGACAATGAATCACACATATTAGGCAAGATGTACTGTTCATCTGTCAGGAGAAAAAAAGAGAAAGGAGGAAAGAAGGGCCAAAGGGCCTGTAATCCCAGCAACTTGGGAGGCTAAGCTGAGAAGATTGCTTGAGGCCAGGAATTCAAGACCAGCATGGGCAACATAGTGAGACCCTGTCTCTCTGAAAAAAAAATTTTTAAATTAGCTAGGCAAGACAGCACATGTCTATAGTCCCAGCTGCTCAAGAAGCTGAGGTGAAAGGATCACTTGAGCCCAGGAGTTGGAAGTTAGAGTGAGCTATGACTATGTCACTGCACTCTAGCTAGGTGACATAGCAAGACCCTCTGTCATATTTAAAAAAGAAGAAAGAGAGGGAAGGAGGGAGGGAGAAAGAAAGGAAGGAAAGGAGAGAGGGAGGTAGAGAGGAAGGAAAGAAAGATACTTGAGGATTTTGAAGAATTCAGGCCAGGCACAGGGGCCCACACCTATAATCCCAGCACTTTGGAAGCCCAAGGCAGATGGATCGCTTGAGTCCAGAAGTTTGAGACCAGCCTGAGCAACCATAGTAAAACCCCGTCTCTATGCAAAATACAAAAATTAGCCTGGCGTGATGGTGCACGCCTATAGTCCTGGCTACTCGGGAGACTGAAATGAGAGGATTGCTTGAGCCCAGGAGGCAGATGTTGCAGTAAGCCAAGATCATGCCAGTGTACTCCAGCCTGGGCAACAGAGTAAGATGCTGCCTCAAAAAAAAAAAAAAAAAAAAAAAAGTCAAAAAAAAGGGACATACCATTAAGGGAAATTACAGTAAATACTAACCTATCTTGGCAAAACCTGGGGGTTGGGAGGGCAGCAGATATGGAAAAGGGAGAAATGAAGGCCTTCCAAAGGAGTCACCGGAGGGCAGGGGAGTGACAGGACCCTAAATTTCTTATCTTATTGGGGTGGGCAAATAAGAAAGGGAAAACAATGTGTGGTGGGGTAAACAGTTCATCTGGGTTGGGGAAATATTTGGTATCTTATTTTCAAATAATAATAGAACCATACGCAACTCATCAGAGCAGGAAAAGGGAGGGGAACTACTAACAAAATTAGATATAAATAATAAAGGGTTCATTAAAAATTATTTTAACTTCTTGAAAATAAAAGTCCATAAAGGTGTGGTGGTATTCAGTAAGGAATACAGCCATTCCCTCTCATACAGTCCTTCACTCATCCAGCAAAATGTATTGAAATGCTTCTCCCAAAAAATAATTTCTTCTTTAGATTTATCTAGCTTAAATAAGCCAGATTTTTTCATGTTTTATCAAATAGTGCTTTAGTTAAATGGAAATGTTAACCATTGCTTTATTTTGGTTTGCATTTTCCCTCTAGAATCGATAACTGGCTTAATGCAGCAATTGAATGCTTGGAGTATTTCCCTGACCAGTTAATAGTTACAGTTAGTCAGCAGTTAATGCAAAACAGAAATGAAGAGACAAGATTGAACAGTCAGAAGAAGATACTCTTTGATGTCATAGCAAAATACTATGCTCAAGAGAGAGATTGCCTATTAACTGATGAGTATTTTGATATTCATTCAGGAATTATTGAACTTTTAGGTAAGATAGGATGTTTATATTTTAATTTTTGGTGTAATAAAACATTTTAAAATATACAAGTTGAAATAGAAAATTGTGTATACTATATGAGTATTACATTTTAATATTTTTCTTCTATGATGTCAAGGTACTTCAAGAAGTCTTGTTTTACTTCACTACTATTGCCTACCTTGTAAATTATATTATCAAATGTAACTAATATAGTATAGTGCATAAATCTAAGGCAGTACATCACAGGGACATCGCAGGGACATTCTAAGAAACATGATATAGCCAGGAGCGATGGCTCACACCTGTAATCCCAGCACTTTGGGAGGCCAAGGCGGGTGAGTCACCTGAGGTCAGGAGTTCTAGACCAGCCTGGCCAACATGGTGAAACCCTGTCTCTACTAAAAATACCAAAAATTAGCCAGGTGTAGTGGCGGGCGCCTGTAGTCCCAGCTACTCGGGAGGCTGAGGCAGGAGAATGGTGTGGACTCGGGAGGCGGAGCTTGTAGTGAGCCGAGATCGCGCCACTGCGCACCAGCCTGGGCGACAGAGTGAGACTGTCTCAAAATAAAAAGAAAGAAACATATGTTATAGTACAAGGATTTAAGAACCGAGGTACCTAGAAATACTAACTTCTGAGTTATTAATTTGATGACCTTTTAGCAAAATGAAAATTGAGTGACATAATATGTCATTTTTTAGCTGTGTAAGTGGCCATATAATTTCATGTTAAAAACAAAATACTGTTTGATAATGCTGGATATAGCTACATCGCATATTACATAGAATTATAAAGATAATTTCCTGTGTGTTTGAAATATTCCATAATAAAAAATTTTAATTGTAGAAAAGAACCTGCAAACTAATACAACATTGTAGCATTTTAATTGACTACTAAGTAAATACTTACTATACTCTCCATTTTTCATCTTATGCTTTGTTTTCTTTGTAACCTATATAACAGAAAATGAGAAAAGAGCAGAAGCACTTGAAGCAACACAACTATATCTAAGATTGCTGTTGCTGAACATTAGAGAAGAATTACGACGGCTACTTACTTTTATGGCAATGGCATCAGAGCCCAATGCCTACAAGTTGCAAAAACAGGTGAAAAATTTTGCAATAAGTTTTGCCATTTTTTTTTGCTATTTTTTTCCTCTAAAAACCATTTATGCTAATGTTAATCTTTCTGTTTACAGTATGATAATAAAACAGTGGTCCTGAAAACTCTTGCCAAATCAGTTTTGCAAGCCAAATCATTATTAAAAGTGCGGGCAGAACAACTGGTCTGGTTTCCACTGGAGTACCACTCTGAGCTCTTCAAGGTATCTCTGGCATTTTGCCTGGGCACATTTATTACTAAGCTACTTGTGTCAAGCAGAAAAGCAAATCATTCACTTAGTAAATAATTTACTAAGTACCTATAATGTGCAAAGTTTGAAGAAATGCTGACTCCCCACACCCACAAAAGAGAAGAAAGCAGACTTAAAACCGTTTTGTTGGCTGGGTACAGTGGCTCATACTTGTAATCCCAGCACTTTGGGAGACTGAGGCATGTGGATCACTAGAGCCTAGGAGTTTGAGACCAGCCTGGGCAACATAGCAAAACCCCATCTATACAGAAAGATAACAGGCCGGGCACAGTGGCTCATGCCTGTAATCCCAGCACTTTAGGAGGCCCAGGTGGGTGGACTCACCTGAGGTCAGGAGTTCAAGACCAGCCTGGCCAACATGGCAAAACCCCGTCTCTACTAAAAATACAAAAATTAGCCAGGTGTGGTGGCGCGTGCCTGTAATCCCAGCTACTCAGGAGGCTGAGGCAGGAGAATCGCTTGAACCTGGGAGGCGGAGGTTGCAATGAACCAAGACTGCGCCACTGCACCCCAGCCTGGGCAACAGAGCAAGATTCCGCCTCAAAAAAAAAAAAATGCCAGGGGTGGTGGCACACACCTGTGGTCCCAGCTACTGGGGAGGCTGAGGTGGGAGGGTCAGTTGAGCCCATGAGATTGAGGCTGCAGTAAGCCATTGCACCAGCCTGGGTGACAGAGTGAGACCCTGTCTCAAAACAAAACACTTAGGAGTAGCAGTAGCATTAGTAAAACATGGTCATATTCTTATTTTGAAACGTTTTTGAAATAGTTTTTTTTTAGCCTCACTATTATATTTTAGTACCAGACAATAGTATGAATACTTTCAATGGTGTTATTTCTCCAAAGCCTCTATAAAGAATTCCCTTTCTTCTGTTTTCTGGCTTAAAAATGTGTCTAGCTGGGCACAGTGATACATGCCTTTAACCCCAGCTACTCTGGAGGCTGGGGTGGGATGATTTGAGCCCAGGAGTTTGCAACTAGCCTGGGCAACATTGCAAGACCCCATTTTATTTTTAAAAAAATTTTTGTCTCATGTCATAATGCAACATATTGATCCAAATTTTGTAACAGTTCTGTGACCTTAACTGAACTTTTTTTTCCATTATTTACAAGAAAAAGGTGGTACTAAGTATATACAATAGAGGCAGTCCCATTAACATTAAACATTAAAAAATGTTTCATTCATGAATTTTGAATGAAACATATTTTAAAAGGTCATTTGTAAGTCAGTTGTTAGGTACTCTACACCTAGTTTTTCATCCAAATAAATAAATAATAGATGGTAGTAAGGGCCCAGGTTATGTAAATGTTTTATGCTACAGTCACTAAAGTAAAATTCTCATATGTAGTTTTTCTCATATGTAGTTTACCTGCTAAAATGGGTCCCAGATTTCAACTAGCAATTTAGAAAGAACACTTCTCTCCTCTCTCCTCTTCTGTACTACTCAGCTTCTCTCTGCTTTCCTCTTTCTCACTCTACCCCCTCCTCTACATAAATGAATCTGCCTCTTTCCTACACATGGTACAGACATTAGGAAGGATTTTTTTTCATCTTTCTACCTCCCCCTTCATGTTCCAACTAGCAGTGTCATAAGGAAACATACTGGTTCAGGCCAGGTGCAGTGGCTCATGCCTGTAATCCCAGCATTTTGGAAGGCCAAGGCAGGTGGATCACTGGAAGTCAGGAGTTCGAGACCAGCCTGGCCAACATGGTGAAACCCAGTCTCTACTAAAAATACAAAAAAAAATTAGCCAGGCATGGTGGTGGACACCTGTAATCCAAGCTACTTGGGAGGCAGAGGCAGGAGAATCACTTGAACCCGGGAGGCGGAGGCTGCAGTGAGCCAAGATCGCACCGCTGCACTCCAGCCTGGGTAACAGCACAAGACTCCATCTAAAAAAACAGAAACATACTGGTTCAAATTTTGTACCAGGCCACAAATGGAGAAAAGGAACTTGACATGGGCTGGAGGAAGTGGGGATATGGAAATCAGGAAGCAGGGAGAAGGGCCCTGATAGTTGGTTTCTAGAGATTAGAGGCTGATACATTTCAGGGAGGCTGAGGTGGGGATATTTATGATAGGGGCTCTCGAACATGCCACGCTTTTTCCTGTTACGGGGCTGTCCCTGTGCTGTCTACCTTTGGCCACTGCTTTCACTCTGGCCTCTTTCTCTGCTTTGTTTTCATAGTGGCACTTATCACTACCTGAGATTATATGTATTATGTATTTGCCTATTTTTTTGTTGTTGTTAAATTGTCTTTCTCTCCTATGAGAATGTAACTTCCCATAAATTCGGGAACTTGATCTACTCATTCATCACCTGTAACAGTACCTGGCACATAACGTTAAATCACTCACTCAGTTTTTATAGAATGACAGAATGAAGTAAAGGGGGCAGCATCATGGCTGGAAAGTGGCAGGACAAGTGGAAGCTAATGAAAAGGTAGCCTGCGAGCCAGGATGAAGGAGCTATCTAGATGTGAGCTTTGGGATTGGTAGGGCTAGGGCATGCCCTCTGTAACAGTATTATTAGTCAATGGATTATTTCTCCAGATACATATAGTAGTCTGGGATTACCTTTGGTATAACCAAATTAGGAAAGGAATGTATACCTATTTTGTTTGGGGGTTTTTGTTGTTATTATTAGAGATGGGATCTCGCTGTGTTGCCCAGACTGGTCTTGAACTTCTGGACTCAAGCGATCTTCCCACTTCACCCTCCCAAAGTACTGGGATTACAGGTGTGAGCCACCACGCCTGGCCTATTTGCCTATTTTAGGAGAATAATTTTAGTGTATTTTAGAGCTACTATTTACATATGGACTGTGTAATTACAATGTAATGTTATTTAAATAAATGCTGTAAATTACAAATAATTTTTATTGTTATAGGAGAACATTTCACTAATGATGGGTTAACCTAATTTTAAATACAGTACACACATGAAGGCAGAAAATAAGATTTTAAGAGTGCTAAAAAAATTTCAAGAATTTATGATTCAGAGGCCTTCTACCACCCACCCTTTCCACTCATCTACAATCCTCTCCCTCTACTCATTGGTCAAAAATATTGAGATGTTTTTCTTTCTATGTTGAAATGCTGGCTAGAAAAAAATCATATTAAATATTTTGAAAATACCTGTTTTGTGTAGACACCAGTTACTTTATTGGATCTGGTTAGTAAGAAACTTAAGAAGCTTCTACATGGAGAAGATGCAGATGCCATATCAGGTATGGATTCCAGCTTGTTCCTCCTTTATCATTAAGTGACTGTTGTTGCCAAATGAGTTGGGAAGGCATCAAAGATGAGTATGTAATAAATATATGTAAAATGTTGTAAAAAGTGGTTACAGGAAGGTTATTTTTTAGTATCTCCAGGGCAAGTTCTTCTCTAGTTCTTTTTTGAAACCCTTTATTTACCTTTTCTACTAAGAAGGCAGGAACCTTCTGTCTCTCACTGCTGCTCCCAATTCTCACCTCCCCTTCAATTATCACCCACATGCCTGCTTCTTTGCTCCTGTGCTCTCTGTTGTATCTTCTTCTGACTCTCTCAGATTCTTTTTCTTGTTTTTCATCCTCTCTCCCTTGCCTGCTTCTTTTTTAGGGGAAGGATCAAATTTTATAGAGGAGTAGCCTGGCCCCCAGTTGAATAGACTCCATGATTCTTTTCATTCAGTGTCTTTAGGCTATTGATCTTATGTTTTAACTTATAATTGTTTAAAACTATAATGTATTTTTAATCCAAGTTTACTAAGATTGTCATGCAGGAAACAAAATAGCCTAATAGGTATATCTGTGAGTGCCAGCACCAAATTGTCTGGGCAAGTCATTTAACCCCTTTTTGCCTCAGTTTCCTCAACTACGAAATGGGAATGATAATATCTATTTCTTTGTGCAGTTAGATATTTAATATTTATGCTATTAATAGGATATTAGATATTCTATTAATATATAATGCTGGTTGTAATTAATTATGATTAATATATCTGAATATGACATTAGCTGACACATATACTGAGCCCTACTATGTGTCAGAAACTGTGTCGAAGATTAACATAGACTTATGAAATTATTTAATCTTCACAATAATCTGTGTAGGCATATTAATATTATTATTATTTGATTTTATAGGGGAGGTAGCTGAAGCTTAGAGAGGTTGCGTAACTTGGTGAACTAGAAAGATCGGTGATTTTTTTTCTTTAAAAAGATGTTTCAAGGGTTGTGGCAGGGCAAAAATCATCCAAAGGCATTATTAATTGTTGGAAAGAACATTTACAGAGGAGGGCATAAGTGTACTTGCTTGAATTGCTTGGAATTTCTCAGCTAATAGATGCTATTTTCTCTCATTCTCTTCTTTGAATACGGAGTATATGGCAACAAGTATGTTGCCACATGCATCCTATTTGGTGTAATTAAACAATGATACTAATGAAGTATTCTGAAACTAGTACTTAGAATCTTTTGGATTAATTTAATCTTATCTGGCTAATTTCAAAGCAAACATTAAATGGCTGCCGTTACTGCATTATCTTTTCACATTCAACTTTTCATTATTTTTGACTTTTGAGGAAAATAGAAGGATTGTCAGCATTTTACTCTTTATTTCTATTCAACAATATATGCTAGGCTGGGTGCGGTGGCTCATGCCTGTAATCCCAGCACTTTGAGAGGCCAAGGCGGGCAGATCACCTGAGGTTATGACTTCGAGACCAGCCTGGCCAATGTGGTAAAACTCCATCTCTACTAAAAATACCAAAAGTAGCCAGGTGTGGTGGTGCATGCCTGTAATCCAAGCTACTTGGGAGGCTGAGGCAGAATCACTTGAACCCAGGAGGCGGAGGTTGCAGTGAGCCAAGATCATGCCACTGCACTCCAGCCTGGGTGACAGAGCACGACTCTGTCTCAAAAAAAAAAAAAAAAAAAAAAAAACACTAAGGGGAGATTATAAATATAAGTGTTTTGCACAATGCTATGTGCTACAAGCACTTGGAAAGTAAAGAGTTTTCTGATAATATTTTTCCTTAAATAGCTTACCTATTTTATCTCTTCTTGAAACTTATCTCTTACTCAGTAAAACTGTCAGAGTATATCAGTAAACAACTTTAAATTTTTAAATTGCCTCCATGCTTTGTGTTGTATGCTTTTTTCTCTGTAACTTACTTGAAATTTATTTTCTTTGCTTTTCTTTTTTTTTGAGACAGAGTCTCACTCTGTCGCCCAGGCTGGAGTGCAATGGCGCATCTCGGCTCACTGCAACCTCCGCCTCCTGGGTTCAAGTGATTCTCCTGCCTCAGCCTCCCAAGTAGCTGGGAATACAGGCAAGCACCACCACGCCCAGCTAATTTTTATATTTTTAGGTAGAGACAGGGTTTCCTCATGTTGGCCAGGCTGGTCTCGAACTCCTGACCTCAAGTGATCCGCCCGCCTTGGCCTTCCAAAGTGCTGGGATTACAGGCATGAGCCACTGTGCCTGGCCTGATTACTTGAAATTCATGAGTATTGATTTAAAATGCTTCTGACAGCCAGGATTTGTCTGTCCATCTATTCATTCAGTTATTCACTTAACATTTTTTGAATCTCTATAGTTGTGCCAGAACTTGTATAAGCACCACAAAATGCAAAGAGGTATAAGATAATGCCCCTGCTTGCAATAAGCTCACATTCTAACATTCAAAATGACTAGCACATAGTAGATGTTCAATAAACATTTGTTGACTAAATTCAGTGAAAGAGTTGATGAATGAGAGACAGCCATATCAATGAATCATAAAAATCTGACAGGGATATGTTCAAGCCAGAGGAGATTATGGAAGCTTGGAGGAGGATTACCTGACCACCTAGTCTGAGGGAATCAAAGCTTGTAGAAGAGATAACGCATAATAGGAGTCTTAAAGAATAGGAGCTTAAAGAATTAGAACAGTGTGAGCAAAAATAGGTAAGCACTAGAAACAGCAGTCAGGCATAAGGCAAAACAAAATGAAACAAAAATGACAAAAAAAAAAAAAAACCCAGGCGTAGTGGCATATGCCTGTGGTCCTAGCTGCTTGGGAGGCAGATGTGGGAGGATTGCTTGAGCTCAGTAGGTCAAGGCTGCAGTGAGCCTTGATCATGCCACTGAACTCAGTTTGGGTGACAGAGTGAGATTCTGTCTCAGAAAACCAAAAAAATTTAAAAATAAAAATAAAATAAAATAAGAAACTGCTGCCAAGGAGATAGCAGAAATTGAAACTAGAGAGATTGATAGGTATCATCTTATGAAGGGCCATATTTAGCTACCAAGTCTCTAGGCAGTTGGAAAGGCATTAAAAATTATTTTTAAGGAAGTGATACGACCAGATTTGTATTTTAGATAAAGAGTGCTGGCAGCAGTGTAGAGAATGGATTGACCTGGAGGACTGGAAGCAATCCTGGTTGGGAGACTACTATGACAACACAGTGAGAAATTATGTAGGCCTGTACAATGCACAGGCATGAGGGATGAAGAGGAAGGAACAGTTTGAGAAATATTTAGGAGGTAAAATTGGCAACAATTGATTTCACTTGTGGGTTACGAAGAAAAGTGACTCGGCGGGATGCAGTGGCTCATGCCTGTAATCCCAGCACTGGGAGGCCGCAGCAGGCAGATCACTTGAGGTCAGGAGTTTGAGACCAGCCTAGGCAATATGGTGAAACCCTGTCTCTACTAAAAATACAAAGATTAGCCCAGCATGGTGGTGGGTGCCTGTAATCCCAGCTAGTTGGGAGGCTGAGGCATGAGAATTGCTTGAACCCGGGAGGTGGGGGTTGCATTGAGCCGAGATCTCGCCACTACGCTCCAGCCTGGGGGACAGAGCGAGACCCTGTCTCCAAAAACAGAAAAGTGACTCAAATATGAATCCCAGGTTTCCAGGTGGGGTGACTACCACCGTATTTAGGGGAATGATGGAGTCTGTTTGGGGCTTTTGATTTAAAATAAGGATGGGGCCAGGTGTGGTGGCTCACACCTGTAATCCCAGCATTTTGGGAGGCCAAGGCAGGCGGATCACAAGGTCAGGAGTTTGAGACCAGCCTGGCCAACATAGTGAAACCCCATCTCTACTAAAAATACAAAAATTAGCTGGGGATGGTGGTGCACACCTGTAGTCCCAGCTAGTCAGGAGGCTGAGGCAGGACACTCGCTTGAACCCGGGAGGCAGAGGTTGTGGTGAGCTGAGATTGCGCCACTGCACTCCAGTCTGGGCAACAGAGTGAGACTCCCTCTCAAAAAATAAATAAAATAAATAAATAAATAAAATAAGCATGGGACGTTGTGGTTGAGATTTTCAGCAGGGCAACTAGATGTACAATTTGGAAGTTCAGAGGAGAGAGAGGAGCTAAAAATAAATATCTGGGTTGGGTGCAGCGGCTCACACCTGCAATCCCAGCACTTTGGGAGGCTGAGGCAGGAGGATTGCTTGAGCCCAGGAGTTCAAGAGCAGCCTAGGCAACATAGTGAGAACCCATCCCTACAAAAATAGAAATAAAAAACTAGCCAGGCAAAATATAAAAAATTATTCAGCAGGATGAGGCAGGAGGATCGCTGCAGGAGGTCCAGGCTGCAATGAGCCATGATCAACGCCACTGCACTACAGCTGGGGTGACAGAGCAAGACCCTGTCTCAAACATAAAATAGGCCGGATGCTGTGGCTCATGACTGTAATCCCAGCACTTTGGGAGGCCGAGGCGGGTGGATCACAAGGTCAGGAGATTGATACCGTCCTGGCTAACACAGTGAAACCCTGTCTCTACTAAAAATACAAAAAAATTAGCCTGGCCTGGTGGCGGGTGCCTGTAGTCCCAGCCACTCGGGGGGCTGAGGCAGGAGACTGGCGTGAACCTAGGAGGCAGAGCTTGCAGTGAGCCGAGATCGCGCCACTGCATTCCAGCCTGGGCGACAGAGAGAGACTCTGTCTCAAAACAAACAAACAAACAAACCAAAAAACCATAAAATAAAATTGTATTTTATTGTATTTTGTGTATATATATATATATATATATATATATATATATATATATACACAGAGAGAGAGAGAGAGAGAGAGGGAGACACCTCTGCCTGTGCTAAGTAAAGGTTCAAGGATAAAACTTTGACATCAATAGTCAAGGGGTGAGTAAAGAGGAACCTATGAATGAGAGAAAAATATGTTAGGAAGGCAATGAGAAGAAGTCATGCCATGAAGCCAAAGAAATATAACATTTTAGGATGGAGGGTTCCATGTATTGGAAGATCAGAACGGCCACTGGATATGTGGAGCCAATTAGAGCTATCTTAATCACTTGAGAGGCAAAATCCAGGTTGCAGTGGGAAGAGAAGGATAGAATGGGTAGAGAAATGAAGACTGGATGTATGATGAGAAGGGGAAGAGAGGAACTGGGCAATAACCAGAGCAGTGCAAGGTCAAGGGAGAGATTTTAGCATACTGATCTGCTGAGAGGAAGGCATCAGAAGAAAGGGGGTATTGAAAAAAAAGAGATGCTGGTGGAGGCAGGCCCTGGAGGAGGCAGGAGGTAATTAGTTTGAGGGCATAGGATCAAGGGTTTTCCTGGAACAGGAGGAAGGATTTTAGAGTAAAGGTGAGCGTATATGGATGTAAATAAATGTGTAGTGCCAAGGGTAGGAAGTTGGGGGATACTATTAAGTGATGAATCCATTTTCCTCGATAAAGTAGGAGGAGACCATATTGTCTGAGGGTTTACAAGGGGAGCACTGAATGGATGACATGAGAAGAAGGGAATAGTTTGAAATAGATGGTTAGGGGAGTTGAGAAAGTTTAAGTACAGGGATTGATGCATAATTCTGAGCACCACATAAAGCAGGAGATTCTAAATTTTAGTGGTACCGATTAGACGGTATTTTTTTTCAACACTTACAGTACCCCCCCTTTTATCTGTGGTTTCACGTTCCACAGTTAGAAAATAGGTGAGTATGGTACAATAAGATATTTTAAGAAAGAGAGACCACATTCACATAACTTTTACTCTAATATATTGTTATAATTGCTCTATTTTATTATTGGTTATTGCTGTTAATCTCTTATGATGCCTAATTAATAAATTAAACTTTAATATAGGTATGTATATATAGGAAAAAACATAGTACATATAGGATTTGGTACCACCTGCAGTTGGATGCACCCACTGGGGAATGTAGCCTCTGGGAATAAGGGTGAATTACTGTATTTCCTTGAATGTTGGAGTGGACACAGTAGATTAGAGCATTGATTAAGAGCTGGGATTTTGCTTTGTCGCATGTTGCAGAAGGATAGGTGTGCAAGAGAATTAAGGACACATATTGATGAAGCAGTGGCTCAAGTGTTCAGATATGTGATGGACTCAGGATGGGAAAGAAGAAATGCTAGAAGTATGCTAAAACTGGCACATCAAGGTTTCATGTTCTGAGACTGAAGAAAGTTGACAGAGAGCCAAAGGCAGCATAGCATAGTGTTGAAGACACCAAGCCCCAGTAATGGACAACCCTGGGTTCAGATCCTAACTCAGCTACTTTCTAGCCATGTGGTCAAGCTTTATTTCTTTATCTTTAAGGTATGGCTGAAAATAACAGCTACACATCTACAGCTTAGGATACTGGAGATTTAATGAGAAAAAGTACCAAAAGGTTGACACATGGTAAGCATTCATTGTAAGATATTATTATTATTTGAAAAATGTAGATTCCGAGTAGAGAGTTGAGTATAGGAGCGTAAGTTTTCAGAGGCAGTGTAATTCCAGGCTATTTCCATAGGTGTATCCTATTATAGTGAAGATAGGCAAAAAAAAAAAAAAAAAAAGCCCTCATAGTAATGGTCTTCAGGGTTTCAGACATTAACTCTGAGAACTGCTTTGGTGAGTGTGGAGGCTATGGTGGCTTCCTCTGTAAATCAGCATAGGTTGACTGTACATGCTAAGACAGCTCACAGAGCAGTGTGAAAAAGCAGTGCTATAGAATTCAGACATTCTTTGTTCATGTTTTGAACATGCCTTTAACTTATTGGCCATGTCACTTAAATTTTTTATGTATTTCTCTTGAAACTGGGATACTAGTTTCTTGCTTCTAGTTATTTTAGAGATCAAATAATGTATGTAAAATAAAATCATGTATGTTTTGCTAAAGTAAAAGCACTTTTGAAAGAAACTGTGGAACAAAGAAAGCCTAGGCATAGGTAACATACCGTAAGACCAGTTTGGATAAGTACAGTTTAGTTGGTTTTTTAACTTGCTTTTCCAGTGGTACTTTTCTTTTTCTTTTGTTTTTTTTTTTTTTTTCCAGGCTTTACGTTTTGCCAACCCTTGACATACAAGGAGTTTGAAAAGCAGAAGGGAAGGACAATTCAGTATCTACACCAGTTGGCTCTTGAGATTAATAGTAACCCCAGCATCTCTCTGAAACGAAAAAAGAAATTAATTAAGGAATTTCAAAAACACCATCCAGAAGCTTTGAATTAACATTTCTGATACAAGAAACTACAATTTGTAAATATAAACAATTCTCTGGTGGTTTTCTCAAATTGCCATACTTACACTTCAGAGAAAGCATAATCTCAAAGGATTTTAAGTGTTTTATTTTTTATTTTTATTTTGTAGAGACAGGGGTCCTATTATGTTGCCCAGGCTGGTCTCGAACTCCTGGCCTCAAGTCATCCTCCTGCCTTGGCCTCTTAAAGTGCTGGGATTATAGGCATGAGTCACTGTACTTGGCCATTATTTTATTTTTATAAAATATTACTTTTAATTTAATCATGCTTAAAATATGTTAAGGAAGTTTTTAACTTTAAGAAGGAATACAAGTTAGCCTTCATGTTTGCTGATTCACTTAATTATGCTGCTAAAATCACTTAATAAATGTGCTGCTATTATTAGGGATCTAGTACAGTTAATTTCCTTTTTTTTCCACAGGAAAGGAGCTTTTCATACACAAGCTCTCTGAAGAAAGCATGCATTTTCCTTAGTATATGATTATTTTCAAGCAACCCCCTTAACCTGCTGTAACTTAAATAACTGTGAATCATTGAAATAGGGAAAGATGCATAAAGTAGTTGTTTTGTTTTGTTTTGTTTTGTTTTTGAAATGGAGTCTTGCTCTGTCCCAGGCTGGAGTGCAGTGGCACCATCTCACCTCACTGCAACCTCTGCCTCCTGGGTTCAAGCAATTCTCCCTGCCTCAGCCTCCCGAGTAGCTGGGATTATAGGTACCTGCCACTATGCCCGGCTAATTTTTGTAGTTTTAGTAGAGACAGTGTTTCGCCATGTTGGCCAGGCTAGTCTTGAACTCCTGACCTCAGGTGATCTGCCCACCTTAGCCTCCCAAGGTGCTGGGATTACAGGCGTGAGCCACCACACCCGGCCACATGAAGTAGATTTAAAAGGCCACAAATTAAAAATTCGTAAACATCAAAACTGTGATTTCTCTCTCTAATTCTTCTTCAGTCCATATTTTATGGTTATCTTCTTTCCTTCTCATTCTTTCTCTGCTCCTTCCTTTTCTTTCCTCTTTCTCTCTCTCTTTCCAGCTCTTTCACTTTTTTCTTGCCTGCTTCTCTCTCTTTCTTTGTTTTAAATTGGTTAGTTCACTCTATGGCATCATTCCCTAATGTAGCAGAGGTTACAGATTCAATACCTATGGGAAGTTTTACACAGAAAAATTCTTATGGGCCAACCTTGGTGGCCCATGCCTGTAGTCCCGGCACTTTTGGGAGGCCAGGGAGAGGGGATTGCTTTAAGTCCAGGAGTTCAAGACCAGCCTGAGTAATAGTGAGACCCTGCCCCTATCTCTACAAAAACTACAAAAAAAAAATTTAGCCAGGTGTGGCAGCCCACACCTATAGTCCCAGCTACTCAGGAGGCTGAGGTGGGAGGATCTCTTGAGCCCAGGAGTTTTAGGCTGCAGTGAGCTATGATTGCACCACTGTACTGCAGCCTGGGCAATAAAGGAAGCCTGTCTCAAAAAAAAGAAGGAAAAAAGTATTTTGTGGTCATCTTAATTTATATTGTTGATCACAGGGAAACAGAAGCATAATTAATTAAATTCTTGAAAAAATAAACTATATTAGACAGATGTCATCAGTTTTATCTTTTTGTATAAAACCTTTATCAGTCATCTTGAATTAGAATGCTTAGTTTCAAAGTTCTCAACTAAGAAGTCAGACATGGTGGCATGTAGCTGTAGTCCCAACTATTTGAGAGGCTGAAGCAGGAGGATCCCTTGAGCCCAGGAGGTTTAGTTTGTTTGTTTGTTTTTGTAGAGATGGAGTCTCACTATATTGCCCAGGCTGGTCTCAAACTCCTGGCCTCAAGCAATCCTCCTGCCTCTGCCTCCCAAAGTGCTGGAATTACAGTTGTGAGCCACTGTGCCTGGCTGACCACAGGAGTTAGAGGCCAGCCTGGGCAACACAGCAAGACCCTGTCTTGCGGGGAAAAAAAATTCTCAGCTAAGGCTTGGCCTGGTGGCTCACACCTATAATCCCAGCACATTGGGATGCCAATGCAGGAGAATTGCTTGAGACTGGGAGTTCAAGGCCAGCCTGGGCAATATAGTTTGACCCTGTCTCTACAAAAATAAAAATAAAAATTTTAATTGCTGGGCAGAGTGTGGTGTACCCTGTAGTTCTGACTACTCAGGAGACTGAAGTGGGAGGATCACGTGAGCCAAGGAGTTCAAGGTTTCAATGAGCCATGAGTGTACCACTGCACTCCAGCCTGGGCAATAGAGTGAAACGCTGTCTCAAAAAAAAAAAAATTATTGGCCAGGTGTGGTGGCTCACATCTGTAATCCCAGCACTTTGAGAGGCCAAGACAGGTGGATAACCTGAGGTCAGGAGTTTGAGACCAGCCTGTCCAACATGGTGAAACCCCATCTCTACCAAAAATACAAAAATTAGCGTGTGTGGTGGTGGGCACCTGTAATCCCAGCTACTTGAGAGGCTGAGGCAGGAGAATTGCTTGAACCCAGGAGGTGGAGGTTGCAGTGAGCTGAGATCACACCGCTGCACTCCAGCCTCAGCAATAGGGAGAGACTCTGTCTCAAAAAAACTAACAAACAAAAATTCTCAACTAAGAGTCTGTGAAAAGGTTTCAAAGGGCCAAAGTACAATACACTTTCTGAAACTGTAGGCAGTTTTTTGTGTATCTGTGCTTATGGCATCTTTCTAGGAAGACAATCCATGGCTGTCAGCAAATTTTCACGAGGGCTGTGGCGCAAGCACAGTAAGAACCACTGGGTTCAAGAATCTAAAAGTCTTTATTGATGTATATTTATATATTTCCTAAATTTTGCTTTTACCTTATGGATAAACTATTAAATATCCCAATGTTATATTAACATAAGAGCATTGGCTGGATGTGGTGGCTCATGCCTATAATCCCAGCACTTTGGGAGGCTGAAGTGGGTAGATGCCTTGAGCCCACGAGTTCCAAGACCAGCCTGCACAACATGGCAAAACCCCATCTCTAGTAAAAATGCAAAAATTAGCCAGGTACAGTGGTGGGTGCCTATAGTCCCAGCTGCTCAGGAGGCTAAGGTAGGAGGATCACTTGAGCCCAGGAGCAGAGGTTGCAGTGAGCTGAGATTATGCCACTGCACACCAGCCTGGGCAAAAAAAAAAAAAAAAAGCACTAAGCTAGATGACTTTTAAGTTCTTCCTACTTAAAAAAAAAGAAAGGCTGGGTGTGGTGGCTCACACCTGTAATCCCAGCACTTTGGTAGGCCAAGGCAGGCAGATGACCTGAGATCAGGAGTTCGAGACCAGCCTGGCCAACATGGTGAAACCCCGTCTCTACTAAAAATACAAAAAATTAGCCGGGAGTGTTGGTGCATGCCATCTACTTGGGAGGCTGAGGCAGGAGAATTGCTTGAACCCGGGAGGCAGATGTTGCCGAGATGGTGCCATCGCACTCCAGCCTGGGTGATGGAGCGAGACTCTGTCAAAAAAAAAAAAAGCAACCCAATTATATGACACTGGAAGATAAAACTGCCCTAATCTGCATATTTTTTTTTTTTAAGTTGGGGAGGAAGTTAGTATACTTCCAGTGGAAGACCTGAGAGGGTACCTGAAGAGATACCGGGAAAATATTGGAAACATGCCACCAAGCCCTCTTCGATAGAAGTCTCCTTATTTGGAAAGTTGCCATTTTAATGTTCAGTGTGAATCAGGTAGGGATTTGCTAGTCATCACTATGAATGGTGGATACTTTGACAAATGCTTTAAGGATATTACCATGTTGTTGCGTCTGCTGTTCAGAAAATTATAACCTTAGACAAATATCTTTGCACTGAGCCTCAGTTTTTTAAAAATCTCTAAAATAAAAATACACATGCACAGATTTGTATTTTTAAGATCGAGCTATTCCTTTAATAGTTTAAGGTTGAAACAAAGAAATAAAAAATGAAATAAATTAAAAAAAATTTTTTAAGATTGGGCCAGATAATACCAAAGGTACCTTCCAACTCTTCGATGGATAACAGTCATCTGTCCATCTGTAAATAGTGGGTTCGTGAGGGAGAATCTGTGATGTGGTAACAGGAATATGGGCTCTGAAGTCTACAATTCAATGCAATTTCCATTAAAATACTACCATCATTCTTTACAGAACTAGAAAAAATAAAAATCCTAGGCTAGGTGCA
Source organism: Homo sapiens (assembly GCF_000001405.40). NCBI lineage: Eukaryota > Metazoa > Chordata > Mammalia > Primates > Hominidae > Homo > Homo sapiens. The sequence continues at coordinate 100,237,496 of NC_000012.12, read as the reverse complement.
GTGGCTCACACCTGTAATCCCAGCACTTTGGGAGGCCAAGGTGGGTGGATCACCTGAGGTCAGGAGTTCGAGTCCAGCCTGGCCAACATGGTGAAAACCCATCTCTACTAAAAATACAAAAATTAGCTGGGTGTGGTGGCACACGCCTGTAGTCCCAGCTACTTGGGAGGCTGAGGCAGGAGAATCACTTGAACTTGGGAGGTGGAGGTTGCGGTGAGCCGAGATCACGCCACTGCACTCCAGCCTGGCTGGCAACAGAACGAGACTCTGTTTCAAAAAAAAAAAAAAAGAAAAAGAAAATCCTAAAATTCATATGGAAAGAAAAAAGAGCCTGCATAGCCAAAGCAAGACTAAGCAAAAAGAACAAATCTGGAGGCATCACAGTACCTGATTTTAAACTATACTATAAGGCCATAGTCACCAAAACAGCATGGTACTAGTATAAAAATAGGCACATAGACCAATGGAACAGAATAGAGAACCCAGAAATAAACCCAAATACGTATAGCCAACTGATCTTCGACAAAGCAAACAAAAACAGAAAGTGGGGAAAGGACACCCTCTTCAACAAATGGTGCTAGGATAATTGGCAAGCCACATGTAGGAGAATGAAACTGGATTCCTCATCTCTCACCTTATACAAAAATCAACTCAAGATGGATCAAGGACTTAAATCTAAGAACTGAAACTTTGAAAATTCTAGAAGATAACATGGGAAAAACTCTTCTAGACATTGGCTTATGCAAAGATTTCATGACCAAGAACCCAAAAGCAAATACAATAAAAACAAAGATAAATAGGTGGGACTTAATTAAACAAAAGCGCTTTTGCACAGCAAAAGGAACAGTCTGCACAGTAAACAGAGAACCCATAGAGTGGGAGAAAATCTTTATACATCTGACAAAGTGCTAATATCCAGAATCTACAAGGAACTCAAACAAATCAGTAAGAAAAAAACAATCCCATCAAAAAGTGGGCTAAGGACATGAATAGAAAATTCTCAAAAGAAGATATACAAATGACCAACAAACATATGAAAAAATGCTCAACATCACTAGTAATTAGGGAAATATAAATCAAAACCACAATGCAATACTACCTTACTCCCACAGAATGGTCATAATAGAAAAATAAAAAAAAAATAGATGTTGGCATGGATGTGGTGAACAAGGAACACTTCTACATTACTGGTGGGAATGTAAACTAGTACAGCCACTATGGAAAACGGTGTGGAGATTCCTTAAAGAACTAAAAGTAGAACTATCATTTGATTTAGCAATCCCACTACTGGGTATCTACCCAGAGGAAAAGAAGTCATTATACCAAAAAGATACTTGCTCACACATGTTTATAGCACCACAATTCACAATTGCAAAAATACGGAACCAGCCCAAATGCCCATCAATCAACAAGTGGATAAACAAAGTGTGGTATATGCATACAATGGAATACTATGCAGCCATAAAAAGGAATGAATTAAGGGCATTCGCAGCAACCTGGATGGGATTGGAGACCATTATTCTATGTGAAGTAACTGAGGAATGGGAAACCAAACATCGTATGTTCTCCTTCATAAGTGGGAGCTAAGCTATGAGAATGCAAAGGCCTAAGAGTGATACAGTGGGCCAGGCATGGTGGCTCATGCCTGTAATCCCAACACTCTGGGAAGCTGAGGCAGGTGGATCACCTAAGGTCAGGAGTTCAAGACCAGCCTAGCCAACATGGTGAAACCCGTCTCTACTAAAAATACAAAAATTAGCCAGGCGCAGTGGCGGGCACCTGTAATCCCAGCTACTTGGGAGGCTGAGATAGGACAATTGCCTGAACACAGGAGATGGAGGCTGTAGTGAGCCGGGATCATGCCACTGCACTCCGGCCTGGGTGACAGAGCAAGACTCCATCTTGGGGGAAAAAAAAAAAAGAATGATACAGTGGAGTTTGGGGACTTGGGGGTGAAAGGGTGGGAAAGGGGTAAGGGATAAAAGGCTACAAATTGGGTTCAGTGTATACTGCTGGGGGGATGGGTGCCCCAAAATCTCACAAATCACCACTAAAAAGCTTATTCATGTAACCAAATACCACCTGTTCCCCAAAAACCTATGGAAATGAAGAATTTTTAAAAAGAGAATAAAAAAAAAAAAAAAACCTTAAAAGAAAAAAAGAATATGGGCTCTGGAATCATAGACCTGGATTTACGATTTGACCTGTTTGGGTTAAAAGGGAAAATACTATCAGATGAGTATTCTAGATTAGGATAAAATATAGTTTAGAAATAGAATTACCAGAAGTCAGAGTTGTTAAGCATACTTTAAATATCTTATTTTGTTATCATTTAAATTGAGTATTTCCTACAACATTCTCTAATGGAGCTTATTTTTATCAACGTGTACATATATATGTATATGTATGTGTATATACATATATATATATACACACACATACATCCATACTACTACTCAATGAAACTTGTAAACAGTGAAACGTTTGTAAACAATGAAACTTGTTTACAAAGAAACTGACTTCTACTGAATAGTTTTTGAAGGTTCTGAGGCATTAATTTCCAAAGGGAAATTTCTAACCAAGCATTGCCATGCCACCTAGTGACAGCTTCATAAAGCACAGTTATTAGGCTTAAAAAGAATTAAGTTCCCAAGGGTATCATCATTCAATGTTAGGCTAAACAGTTTGGAGGGACTTACGTGTAAAGCATTTTTTTCTCTGTATAAATAAATCCAGCTTCAATTACTGGAAAGCTTTGCTCCTGATAGAATATTCAGTAAATTTCCATGACCATTAACGGTCTGATTCATAACACTTGAGACTGTTTAAACTTCTTAGATTATTCGGTCTCTACGAGATGACAAAGATTGTTTGCTTGACCAAACTTTAGTCAGGCTCCTGAATCTTCTTCTAGTCCCATCTGTGCTCTTCCTTGTAAAATCCCATTTTAGCAAAGAACCCTGCTGTGTCAGTTTAGCAAGAAGCCCCCACCGTCAATATCTGATCATACTCAATATCCAATCAGGTTCCTCATCCTTCATCATTCCCCAAAGGTTATGTGTCATCATCCTGGCCAGTCTTCAGCGAGAATCCTGTTAGGTCAGTTCAGCCAGAATCTCCCTTACCCTTGAGGTTTTTCTCTGAGTAATTTTCCATTCATTGACCCCTGACCTGCTTCTTGGCTATAAATTCCCACCACTTGGCCATGCCGTACCCAGATTTGAGGCTAGTATCTCTCTCTGACTGCAAAATCCCATAGCAGTGGTCCCTGTACCTATTTTGATGGTCCTGAATAAAATCATCTTTTAACAAGTATCATTGAACAATTTTTTTTGTTGACAGGTACTATCCACATAAATAAAAGTTTGGTTTTTTGTTTGTTTGTTTCTGGAGACAGGGTCTAACTCTGTCACTCAGGCTGAAGTGCAGTGGTGTAATCATGGCTCACCACAGCCTCAACCTCCTGGGTTCAAGTGATTCTCCCACCTCAGCCTCCTGAGTAGCTGGGACTACAGGCACATGCCACCAAGCCCAGCTAGCTTTTTTTTAAGAGACAGGGTTTCGCCATGTAGCCCAAGCTCATAAAAGATTTTCTAACTCCAAAAAAAATTTTTTTTTGAGACAAAACGTTTTTCTTCTTATATAACTTTTATACATAAAGAATTCAAGACTGAAATCTGTTATTGAGATCTTTTTCCTGGAAATCTTTCCTTCCGGTACACTCTACAAGTAGATTGCAAGTGCTTCTATTTGCTGATTCCTTGCATGCTAAAAAGATTTTTGGAACACAAAAACCAAAAAAGTTGGGGCTGAAGCCTCATCTCTGATGCTTAGCAACCCTATAACCAATGATGCTACCTAATAATTCATTCATGAGTATAATCATTCAGCTTTTCAGCTATGCCAGGTATGATGTAGGAGACATAAAGTGGATGTCATAGTCCCACCCTTGGAAAAGTAACTCTAATACAAAGAACATAAACATGACATTAACAACGTAGTAATGTATAGAGGTATGAAGACAGAACTCTATACAACTATTTTATTATGGCATCTGAAAGAGAAGCAGTATTTAAAGTTGGTCGTGAAATCTGAATGGGAGTTAGAATTTGTAACAGCATCTCTGGAAGAGGGACGAGAATGTTTAAAGGGACTGGGTTGCCGAGAACATTTTATACATATTTCCATCTTTCAGGGGGCTGTATGCATATGCATACATGAAAATTATATATATGTATGTATATAGGAGTGGCAGCTTGGGTTAGAAAGATGAGGAGTTGAGAGTAAATTTAACTTTGATATGTTTAGGGTGAGATACTTGTGAACATCTAAATTGAAGGTGTGGTAAAGCATAAACTTCAAAATTAGACCCACCTGTGTTTGACTCGCAAGTCCACTACCTAATGTGACCTTGAACAGTTTACTCGTTGTTTTGAACCTAGGTTTTCTCATTTGCAAAATGGAGCTAGTATACAATTGTTGCAGTTAGGATTAAATGATATGTACATACATTGCCTGTCACAGGTTACACTATTTTAATAAGTGCTATCCTCTCACCCGCCAGGCCTGTTTCTTTTTTTGTGTTTGTTTTGTTTTGTTTTGTTTTGTTTTTGAGATGGAGTTTCCCTCTTGTTGCCCAGGCTGGAGTGCAATGGCGCGATCTCGGCTCACCACAACCTCCTGCCTCCCAGGTTCAAGCGATTGTTCTGCCTCAGACTCCCAAGTAGCTGGGATTACAGGCATGCGCCACCACGCCTGGCTAATTTTGTATTTTTAGTAGAGATGGGGTTTCTCCAAGTTGGTCAGGCTGGTCTCAAACTCCCGACCTCAGGTGATCCGCCCACCTTGGCCTCCCAAAGTGCTGGGATTACAGGCGTGAGCCACCGTGCCCAGCCTTAGGCCAGTGTTTCTCAAAGTGGCCCAAGGTCTACCTGCACCAGAATCACCTGGAGTGCTTGTTACACAATGACGCCTTTCCATACCTAATAAATTAATTTACTGAGATGGAGCTTGAAACTCTGAAATTTAACCGTCACATTGGAGTTGTGAGGTATATAAATTATGTTAATTAACCCATATACAAAGATTTTTTTTTTTTTTTGAGACGGAGTCTTGCTCTGTCGCCCAGGCTGGAGTGCAGTGGCGCGAACGTGGCTCACTGCAACCTCCACATCCTGGGTTCAAGCTATTCTCTAGTCTCAGCCTCCCTAGTAGCTGGGATTACAGTTGCGTGCCACCATACCTGGCTAATTTTTGCATTGTTTTTTAGTAGAGACAGGGTTTCACCATGTTGGCCAGGCTGGTCTCAAACTCCTGACCTCAGGTGATCTGCCTGCCTTGGCCTCCCAGAGTGCTGGGATTACAGGCGTGAGCAACTGCACCTGGCAAAGACTTCTAATTACACAACTGTTCACTGACTCAAGTTTCTATTAGCATTTTCCTTTAGGCTAAAAATATGAAACCACTTAACCTTTTGTCAGAAAGAATATGATACTTCGAAAGTTAAAAATGAATATATGAGACATTTTCCTAATAATTCTTTTTTTTTTTCTGAGGCAGGATCTCTCTCTGACACCCATGCTGGAGTGCAGTTGTGTGATCTCAGCTCACTGCAACCTCTGCCTCTCAGGTTCAAGCGACTCTCCCGCCTCAGCCTCCTGAGTAGCTGGTACTACAAGCGTGACCCACCACACCTGCCTAAATTTTGTATTTTTAGTAGCAATAGGGTTTCACCATTTTCCTAATTCTTAAAGTGCAAGTTCAGAGTAAAACTAGGTGCTTTAAAGATGGCTCAAGGATGCTAAATACTAACCATTAAATTAGCAACAAAAAGTTAATAAAACATTAAAATTGACAAAGATATTTTGATAAAGTTATTCCTTTGTTTTATTTGTTGTGTGTTTTATTGTAAGATTGTCACTAGGGGCCAGACATGGTGGCTCACACCTGTAATACCAGCACTTTGGGAGTCTGAGGCAGGCAGATTGCTCGAGCCCAGGAGTTGGAGACCAGCCTGGGCAACATGGCAAAACCCCATCTCTACAAAAAATTTGCCAGGCGTGGTGGTGGACACCTGTAGTCCCATCTACCCAGAAGGCTAAGGTGGGAAGATCACTTGCTGTGAGGAGTGATTGAGCCACTGCACTCTAGCCTGGATGACAGAATGTGACCCTGACACACACACACACACACACACACACACACACACACACACACACACACACACTCTAAAAAAATTTGCCGGGCACAGTGGCTCACACCGGTAATTACAGCACTTTGGGAGGCCAAGGCGGCTGGATCACTTGAGGTCAAGAATTCGAGACCAGCCTGGCCAACATGGTGAATCCCCGACTCTAATAAAAATACAAAAAAATTAGCCAGGTGTGGCGGGCGCCTGTATTCCCGTCTACTGGGGAGGCTAAAGCAGGCAGGTAGGATTGCTTGAACCCAGGAGGCAGAGGTTCCAGTGAGCGGAGATCGCACCACTGCGCTCCACTCTGGGCAACAGAGCGAGACTCATTCTCAAAAAAAAAAAAAGATTGTCACTAGAAACTATTTTAAGTTAGTTTAGGGCTTATACTTCAGAATAAAAGGGGTATAACTAGCAATTCAACTATTTTGAAGGCCGGGTGCCGTGGCTCACACCTGTAATCCCAGCACTTTGGGAGGCCGAGGTGGGCGGATCACCTGAGGTCGGGAGTTCGAGACCAGCCTGACCAACGTGGTGAAACCCCGTCTTGACTAAAAATACAAAAATTAGCCGGGCATGGTGACGCGTGCCTGTGATCTCAGTTACTCAGAAGGCTGAGGCAGGAGAATCACTTGAATCCAGGAGGCGGAGGTTGCAGTGAGCCAAGGTCGTGCCATTGCACTGCAGCCTGGGCAACAAGAGCGAAACTCTATCTCAAAAAAAAATTGAATAAATATATATTTAAATATATATTGAAAATGTGAGTGAACACAATTTGAAAAATGTTTTGTGTTAATAAGATACACAAATTATAAAATTACACAATTCAGTATTTCAATTGCTAACTCTTTAGTGCTTCTATAATTATTCAAATTAATTTTCCTGATTTATTTTTTTCCTACTGTGTTTTTGTTTGTTTTTTAGAGACAAGGTCTTGCTCTGTCACACATGCTGGAGTGCAGTGGTATGATCATAGCTCACTACAGCCTCTAACTCCTGGGCTCAAGTGCTCCTCCTGCCTCTGCCTCCCAAAGTGGTGGGATTACAGGCGTAAACCATCTTGCTGGGCCCCTACTGTTTTCTTGAATGCTTACCCTCCTTTCTTAGATTCATTGTCATCTTACTACAGTACTGTATCCTTAAGCAGTTCTTTCAGAAATTGTCTCAAGAGTGGCACTTTGAGTCCTTGTTTATCCAAAAGTTTCTATTTTGCCCCCAGGCGTTGAATACTGGTTTGACCAGGGACTGCAGCTCCTGTTGCTCAACATTTAGTGTAACTTCCTTATAGTGTGTCTTCCTAAACTTCAGAGAGTAGAAAGCTAAAAACCTCATTTTCCAGCTCCTTTGTAGCCAGTGTTCTGAGTATGATTTACATAAAACTGTTTTTTTTTTAAAATTATTACTATTTTTTGAGACGGAGTTTCTCTCGTCGCCCAGGCTGGAGTGCAATGGTGCAATCTTAGCTCACTGCCTCTGCTGGGATTACAAGCATGCACCACCACGCCTGGCTAATTTTTTGTACTTTTAGTAGAGATGGGGTTTTGCTGTGTTAGCCAGGATGGTCTCGATCTCCTGACCTTGTGATCCACCCACTTCGGCCTCCCAAAGTGCTGAGATTACAAGCGTGAGCCACCGCGCCCGGCCAAAAAAAACATTTTTTTTTTAAGAGACGGTATCTCACTCTGTTGCCCAGGCTGGAGTACAGTGGTGCGATCTTAGCTCACTGCCACCTCGAACTTCTGGGCTCAAGCAATCCTCCTGCATCAGCCTCCTGAGAAACTGAGAGTAAGTAGCTCATAAAATTGACTCATGTCCTTAAGACCAGTCTGAGTCCAGTCCTGTATATGCCACTTCCACTTGATGGCAGCACATCCTGCTGAGCACACCTAATCCACAGTGCGGAGGAGAAATTATCTCAGGGAGACATCAGAGCAATATTTCTGGTGGTTCAACTTACATGAAGACATGAGTAGAGATGACAGTTAATGGTTTGACCAAAGGGTCAGAGATTTGACAACTACAAGGTAAGAAACCTAGGCCAGGAACAGTGGCGTAGGCCCATAATCTCAAAACTTTGGGAGGCCAAGGCAGGAGGATTGCTTGAGGCTAGGAGTCCAAGGCCAGCATGGGCAACATAGTGAGATTCCCTGTCTCTAAAAATAAAAATAAAAAAATTAGCCAGCGGTAGTGGTGCAAGCTTTTAGTCCCAGCTACTCTGGAGGCTGAGGTGAGAAGACCACTTGAGCCCAGGAGTTCCAGGCTGCAGTGAGCTAGGATCATGCCAGTGCACTCCAGCCTGAGCGACAGAGCAAGACCCCATCTCAAAAAGAAATAAAAATAAATTTTAAAAAAGAAAGAAAAAAAAAGAAACTTGGGAAGCAGAAGCTTTAGGGAAGTATGTGGACAAACTCAGAATAGGCCCCAAATGCAAGGATATTTGTTTCCTGTGTGAAAGCTTATCAAAAGCTTTCTTATCAAAAGCCGTCTTCTGTAGGTAAGGCTCTTAATATTTAGATGGACAGCATAGCATACACTGTGGACATTGATTAGCCTCTTTCCCCAGCCATCCAGTGCTAGCTCAGTTATGCTACATTCTGGGAAAATTCCCTCAGCTTCTTTCTAACTCAGATTTTCAGTCTTTTTTCTTTTCTCGTTTTCTTTCTTTCTTTTCTTTTTTTTTTTTTTTTTTTTTTTTTTTTTCAGAGTCTCTGTCACCCAGGCTGGAGTGCAGTGGTGTGATCCTGGCTTACTGCAACTTCCACCTCCTGGGTTCAAGCAATTCTCGTGCCTCAGCCTCCCGAGTAGCTGGGACTACAGGCATGCACTGCCCTGCCCAGCTAATTTTCGTATTTTTAGTATGGACGGGGTTTTACCATGTTGCCCAGGCTGGTCTTGAACTCCCAGGCTCAAGCCATCCACCTGTGTCAGTCTCCCAAAGTGCTGGGATTACATGGGTGAGCCACTGCACCTGGCCCAGATTTTCAGCACAGTACTAGTGTCCATTCTGCTGTTCAATCCATCTATTAAGCAAAAGTTTGTCTTTTTATTTTTAGTTTTAGTTTTTTTTTTTTTTTTTTTTGAGACAGGGTCTCACTCTGTCACCCAGGCTGGAGTGCAGTGGCACAATCTCGGCTCCCTGCCACCTCCGCCTCCTGGGTTGAAGCAATCCTCCTGCCTCAGCCTCCCAAGCAGGGATTACAGGTGTGCACCACCACATTGAGTTGGTTTTTGTATTTTTAGTAGAGAACGGGTTTCACTATGTTGGCCAGGCTGGTCTTGAACTCCTGACCTCAGGTGATCTGCCTGCCTTGGCCTCCCAAATTGCTGGGATTACAGGCGCCCGGCCCAAAAGCTATTTTTAATAACTTATTTTTAATTTCTAAGAACTATTTTTGTTATAGCAACCTGCTCTTTTTACAATAGATACAGTGACCCCATCAGTCCTTTAGAGGATATTAGTTTTTGTTTTTTCCTTTATTTTCTTCCCTTAGGGATTCATTCTTGTTAGATTTGGGGCCTCTCTGGTGATAAGTATCCCTCAAATATTTAATGCTTGGTTGTCTGCTCATTTTTTTTCATTTCTGAATTCCTGTTTACCCATGGGTGAATCCAAGTTTTTTTGTTTTTTTGGTTTTTGTTGTGTGTGTGTGACGGAGTTTCGCTCTTTTTGCCCAGGCTGGAGTGCAATGGCACGATCTCGGCTCACTGCAACCTCCGCCTCTCAAGTTCAAGTGATTCTCCTGCCTCAGCCTCCCAAGTAGCTGGGATTACAGGCACCTGCCACCACACCCGGCTAATTTTTTGTATTTTTAGTAGAGGCGGGGTTTCACCATGTTGGCTAGGCTGGTCTCGAACTCCTGACCTCAGGTGATCCACCCACGTCAGCCTCCCAAAGTGCTGGGATTACAGGTGTGAGCCACCATGCCTGGCCAATCCAAGTTCTAATTTGGTGTTTTGCCTCTGGTTGTTGGTGGGGGGTGAGAGGGAAACAAGAGGGAGATGTGCTGAGTTCCCTAGGGCCCTGCCCTGTCTGAATTCTTTCTAATGAGGTCCAAGCTCTTGGCTTTAATCAGAGTTCAGTGACACAACCCACTGCTCCGTTAAAATTTTTTTCTTACTTTGATGCCCTTAGGGGATATGAAATTATTTCAGGTTCTAGTCTTTCCTTTCCAACCTTTACACTTTAACCCCTTTTACTGCCCAGCCTCAATAACAAGACAGGGAATAGGGCACAGCTGTAGGTTTCAATCTTTTAGTGGCTAACCCATGATCTCCTTCTACTCTTTTTTTTAGACAAGATCTCACTATGTTGCCCAGGCTGAAATATAGTGGCTATTCACAGGTGAAGCTGTAGCACACTGCAGCCTCAAACTCCTAGGCTCAAGCAATTTTCCTACCTCAGCCTCTTGAGTAGCTGGGACTGCTGACACATGCCGCCATGCCCAGCCTTCTCCTACTCTCTGTATTTGTCCTGAGATTAAAATATCTCTGGAATTGTTCTTACCTCTTTGGTAGTTTTCTCCTGCCCTGATTTGGGATATGGGTTTTCTTGTTTCTCTAACAATCTAATCATATTTGTTTTCCATATTTTAGACACTTCTCCACATCAGTAGTACTCTTTTTGTTTACTAGAATTATGGATTTAATCTTACAAAAGATAACAGAATTTTGTCATGCACATAATATGGACTCTAATAAAATGAATACCCAGTGTCCAACATCTAGCTTGAGAAATACTATATCACAAATAGCATTGAAATGCACCCTGTGTATTCCTCCCTCATGTACCTCCCTCCCCCCTGCAGCGGACGTTTAATGTGACTTGGAACAGGTAGAGAAATAGGTGAACATGATCAGTTTGCTATGTTGAGGCAATCATTACTGAATTCAAAAATTCAAAAATGTTTTTCCACAACAATACATATCTTTAAAGTGTCACTCCAGTATTACTATTTAGAGCCAATTTTTTACGACCTATACTGTCTCCAGATAGAGCTAATATTAAAAGTGTTCTTTGAAATCAAACATATTAAAACAACATCTATATTTAGCAATAAAGTTTCAAAATTAGATAGGTGTTGAAATGGATGAAAGCTTTGATCCTAGTGATAACAGATTAGGGTTTATGTTCATTAATGTCAAAAATCAATTTGTAGGGCCAGGCACGGTGGCTCATGCCTGTCATCCCAGCACTTTTGGAGGCCGAGGCGGGTGGATCACGAGGTCAGGAGTTCGAGACCAACCTGGCCAACATGGTGAAACCCCGTCTCTACTAAAAATACAAAAATTAGCTGGGAGTGGCAGCATGCACCTATAGTCCCAGCTACTCAGGAGGCTGAGGCAGGAGAGTTGCTTGAACTCAGGAGGCGGAGGTGGCAGTAAGCCAAGATCCTGCCACCGCACTCCAGCCTGAGCAATGGAGTGATACTCCATCTCAACAAAAACACACACACAAAAACACCAATTTATAGTGGCTCCAAAATGAGCACTATGAGACCTAATTTATATAGAAATTAGTTTACTGTAATAAGCATGTGAAAACACACATACACACTATTCTCAGAAGAATGTAAACATCAGGCTGGGGCATGTTTGGGACAAAGGCAGCTTTGAGGAATGACCCATTTTCTCAAAGGAAAAACACCTGGTTGGCATTCTGCCATCCAGGATGAGGTCCAGACAGGTAATGGACTTTAAATGAGGACTTACCTTTTTACCTCCATTGACATCACCTTGAACTTCTAGCACAGTTATATTGTTTGGTTGCAAGAATTTCTTTTGTACCACCAGCATCTTCTTGCTGCACTGTCCACAGATTATATGCCAGTAACCGGGTATCACACAAACATGGTCACTTTGCAACTCTGCAATGATAACCAGTCTAGGCCTAGGAAGGAATGACCAGGCCCTAAAGCAATATAATCTATGACTGTAAGTGGACAGCTTTCACCCTGACCAGCATTCATCTTTTCACTTGAGTTTTCCTTGAGAGACTCTTTGACTCTAGGCCATCATAGCAGGATTGTCAATCAAAGTCCCTAGAGCCATAGGGTAGGAACATAATCCTAGTTAGGGGAAAACACTGCTAGAAATTTGATTCATGAGCACAATGACATAAGATAGAAAATACAGGAGCTGAGATATTTTGATGGCAGGGCTCTAGGACTGTCCCTGTTTCTGTAACTTAAGATTTCTAAAATTACTCTGGTTTTTATCTTTCTTAAGGCTGTGGACCCAGCTTTTCTTAGACTTTATAAGCTATCCTTTGTCCTGGATAAATTTTGTTCTGCTGAAGATATAGCCCAAATGAGTTTCTACTGCTTGCAATCAGAAAAGCGTACCTGATCCATTCATTGATGTCACTGTCAGCTGTTCCCTGAAATTGGAAAGCTGGAATCTAACACTTTAATGTTTATTATGGATCACTGTTTTGTTTTAAAAACAAAATGCTAACATTTGTATCAAGAGTGCTTGAACAGGCCAGGCGCGGTGGCTCATGCCTGTAATCCCAACATTTTGGGAGGCCAAGGCGGGCAGATCACTTGAGCTCAGGAGTTCAACACCAGGCTGGCCAACAAGGTGAAACCCTGTCTCTACTAAAAATACAAAAATTAGCCAGGTGTGGTGGTGGTGGCACACGCCTGTAATCCCAGCTACTCGGGAGGCTGCGGTAGGAGAATCGCTTGAACCTGGGAAGCGGAGGTTGCAGTGAGCCAAGATCACGCCGCTGCACTCCAGCCTGGGTGAGAGAACAAGGCTCCGTCTCAAAAAAAAAAAAAAAAAAAGTTCTTGAACAACCCTGAGTTAACTTCAAATCTCTTTTCATTCATCCTAAAAAAAATAGTACTTTTATGAGTGAAATAAGATATTCTGCCCACACAGTAGTGGCCAAAAAAACTTTATTAGCTTAGTCTCCACCCTTTTAAATGTACTCTAGGTACAAAATAAACATTATACACATATAAGATCAGTCTTTCCAACTTTAGAATGTATAAATAAGAATGACATTTTAAAATAAAATAGTTTAGTCACAGTCACACAAAACTACCTTCTAAGGAAAACTGTCCAGTGAAGCCGTTAAATTTGTGCTTTCAGCTATGAAGAATTAAACTTAAAATGCATTCATTCTTCTTTTAATGAAAAATAACCTACCCTTGGAAACAGCATAAGCATTGTTATGGTAGTCTAGCTCCTAAATGAAAATGTGGACTGAGTTACAGTTTACTGTAGTAACCTACCTAAGAAGCCTTTGAAAATTAGCAATCGATCAAAGTATTTACATAAATTCAAGCCTTTTTCTTAGGACAAAAGGTAACACAGTTCCTTAACCTCTTTTAAAAGGAACTTTGAAATTAAACCTTATGGTCACAACTTTCATTCAAAAATGTTGCTTAAATATCAAATTTCTCTTCACAGACGCTATGTCCATTTTCTTCGTAATCTTCTCTTGTTACCACCATATCTTCAAAATCATCATTCTCTGATATCAATTTTCCACCTTCCCAGGCATAAGTAATAGGGCTGAAAATAAAGGTATAAATGAACCCAGATGATTTTACAGGAAAACTGAAATGCCTGAAACATAAATTACTATTAGGTTGGTGCAAAAGTAATTTGTGTTTTTTTTGCCATTAAAATGTGGCAAGCTCTACCCAACCCAACAGAAAATTGTTTAAGGTACAGAAATAAGCATACATTTCATATGAGTAGAGCAACCCAAAAAGGAAAGGAACCTTGTTTACCGCTACAAAATAGTAAATGTTCCTTTTTCCCTATGTCCTGAATTTATGGACCCTCTAATTCTAAAGAAAAAACAAGGATATAAGCAAAAGATCAAAAGATGCCTAAAAGGAAAAACTGTCATACTGAGTCTAAATTCTGTATGTGGCAAAGATATGTCATCTCAATAATTCTCATAGCAACTCATAAAATAGCTATTACTCCCACTTTCTTTCTTTTTTTTTTTGAGACGGAGTCTCACTCTATCGCCCAGGCTGGAGTGCAGTGGCACGATCTCAGCTCACTGCAACCTCTGCCTCCCAGGTTCAAACGTTTCTCCTGCTTCAGCCTCCGAAGTAGCTGGGACTACAGGCACATGCCACCACACATGGCTAATTTTTTTTGTATTTTTAGTAGAGGTGGGGTTTCACCATGTTGGCCAGGCTGGTCTTGAACTCCTGACCTCAGGTGATCCACACACCTCGACCTCCCAAAGTGCTGGGATTATAGTTGTGAGCCACCACACCCAGCCTACTCCCACTTTCTAGATTTGAAAAATGAGGCTCAGAGAAGTTAAGTCTGGAACTAGAATTTAGGCTGGAACTAGGATTTAACTCAGAACTGTTTTCACAGTCTGTGCTTTTGCTGATAGACTTTGTTGCCTCTAATAAATGAAACAGAAAACATAGTGTATGATAAACAATTATGTGGGAAGACACAGACAATAGGTAAAATTAGAGCAGGTAAAACATCTAGTTTGGTTTTGCTATCTACAACCAAGGTTATACTATGTGTTATGACTCAATTCTGTTTCTACTATTCTTTTTCCCCAGTTTAGAGTTTCAAATCTGAAAAAGGTAAAGAAAAATGTTAAATCAATATTTTCTAGCCAAGTATGATGGCATATACCTGTAGTCCTAGCTACTTAGGAGGCTCAGGCAGGAGGATTGCTTGGACCCAGGAGTTCAAAGTTGCAGTGAGCTATGATCACACAAGTGACAGAGGGAGACTTTGTCTCTATTAAAACAAAGGTCGGTTATGGTGGCTCATACCTGTAATCCCAGCACTTTGGTAGGTCGAGGTGGGAGGACTGCTTGAGCCCAGGAGTTCAAGACCAGCCTGAGCAACATAGCAAGATCCCATCTCTACCAAAAATTTTAAAAATTAGCCAGGCATGGTGGCTCATGCATGCAGTCCCAGCTACATGGAAGGCTGTGGTGAAAGGATCACCTGAGTCCAGAGGTCAAGGGTGCAGTGAGCCGTGATCATACCACTGCACTCCAGCCTGGTAACAGAGCGAGACTGTGTCTCAAAAAAAAAAAAAAAAAAACCCAAAGCCAGGCGCAGTAGCTCACACCTGTAATCTAAGCACTTTGGGAGGCCAAGGCAGGCGGATCACAAGGTCAGGAGTTTGAGACCCGCCTGGCCAACATGGTGAAACCCCATCTCTACTAAAAATACAAAAATTAGCCAGGCATGATGGCATGTACCTGTAGTCCCAGCTATTCGGGAGGCTGAGGCAGGAGAATCGCTTGAACCTGGGAGGCGGAGGTTGTGGTGAGCCAAGACTGCGCCACTGCACTACAGCCTGAGCAACAGAGTGAGACTCCATCTCAAAAAATAAAAAAAAAATTGAAAAAAATTTTAAAAACCCCCCAAAACACAACTTGGCTGGGCTAAGGCAGATTACTGAGCCCAGGAGTTGGAGGCCAGCTTGGGTGAAACAGTGAGACTCCATCTCTACAGCAAAAAAAAAGGTTTTCTTTTCTTTCTTTTTTCCTTCTTTTTTTTTAGAGACGGGGTCAAACACTGTTGCCCAGGCTGGAGTGCAGTGACGCAATCCTAACTGACTGTAACCTCAAACTCCTGGACTCAAGCCATCTCCCTACCTTGGCCACCCAAAGTGGTAGAATTACAGGTGTGAGCCACCAAACCTGGCCAATAAATGTTTTATTGTATTTATATTTGCATTAAGCTTTTATAAAAATAGATTTATATATAAGTATACACATATATTTATACATATATAAAAGCAGTAGACGCACAATAAAAATTTATTTAATAAAATAATAAGACCTATTTCTGTGGATCCCTTGGCCTGTAATCTGTGCATGCAAGAGAAAAAGCCAATATGCTTTATAGTCTTAAGAACATATGAACATTAGTGGTGATAAAAATCATCCCAATATTTTTAAATTGTTTATTCATTTATCTCATAGCTATAAAAGAAAGTGATACCAATGAGGGCCTTCTATTAACTTGCTGATTTTGGAAAATTCTACTTTAGCTTTAAAACAAAACTCTAGAATTAAGAGTCAGGTATGTGGGGTCTTGTTTGCAACTCTGCCACTAACACTAGGGGTGAGTTTTTAGACATATACTTTGGGTAAGAAGTCCTCACTCAAGGTAAGAAAACTGGGTTTTAATCTGATCATTGCTATTAACTCACCATAGGGCATTTGCCAACTCATGAGCCCTTGTTTCTTTATTTACAAAATAAGAATATAGAATAGGATGATATATAAGCCCTTAGAGCTGTAAAATTCTACCTTCTTTTTTTGTTTTTTTTTTTTTGCCAGGGGGGTTTGTTTGTTTGTTTTTGAGACAGAGTCTTGCTTTGTCACCTAGGCTACCATACAGTGGTGCAATCTTAGCTCACACCAACCTCCACCTCCTGGGCTCAAATGATCCTCCTACCTCAGCCTCCTGAGTAGCTGGGACTACAGGTGCACACCAGCACATCCGGCTAATTTTTTGTAGAGACGGGGCTTCACCATGTTGCCCAGGCTGGTCTCAATCTCCTGAACTCAAGTGATCTGCCTGCCTCAGCCTCCCAAAGTGCTGGGATTACAGGCAAGAGCCACTGCGCCTGGCCCTACCTTAGTTTATTTTAACCACTGAAGTGGAAGTGATGATATGCACTTTTTCTCATATAACACTGTACAGGGTAGACATAAAACAGTTTTGAATTTTAAAAACCTCATTAATAAAAGTCATTTAAAGGAGAATTTAAAAAATTCTAAAACAATTTATGAATTGATAAAACTTATCACAATGGTTCAATTATTCAATTTCTATTCCTGACAGAAACTGTCAATAAATAATACATCTCAGATAAATCATATAGACAATAACCTGATTGCTTTGCCTATAAAAATCTCTTAGGACCAAGGCTGATTTACTACATGGGAGTAATCACCCCATATACTTAATTAAGCACCCATTGTGTATGAAACATTATGGCTGGCACTTTACATACTTCCATTTAATTTAGTGAAATGTAAGGTTTATCATTTCAATTTTTGAAAGAAGAAAAATGAATATTCAGCAGGTGAAATGAACCTGCCACCGTGGGAGAGCCAGGTTTTAAACTCAAGTCAACAGACCACCTTTTCTACATGTGGACTTCCATGTTTCGTTTCTATATAAAACAACACTTACTTTTCAGGCAGCACAACAGAAACATCATAATCTGTTGGAGTAAGACATCGAACTTCTGAGTAAACCCGATCCCTAAATCCTGGGAAAAGGGAATTTCCTCCTGTCAAGACAATGTTCTTAAAAAAATGCGGCTGCATTTCTTTAAAAGAAGAAAAGGAGAAGGAAAGGAAAAAAGGCATTAGAAAATCTGTTTACTTTTCTGGAAAGATGTGGATGAGGGATCAGATAAGAAGCAATTAGGGATTACAGTTACTGGTGGGAAACCAAATAAATTTTCAGGTCCATTCTAAGATTTGTAATGAGGTTACAGTTTATACAAATAAAGACATGAAACAGTGAAAAATGACCACATAGATCTTTAAAAGAAAAACCTAAGGTGAGGGGGGTAAACTACTGGCTACTTACTATACACTCATGTAAGCCATATATAAATGAGTGACACTGTAGTAAAAAAAACAGTTGGTAATTATAATTATTCTTCTCTAAAATGGAAGGGGGGTGGTTCTTGCTGTAGGCTGAGACTGTGAGCTACCACAAGGATGAAAACGAGGTCTTTCATGACATTTGAACTTACAAGCCCAAATCTCCACATTATCTCATTGAGGCAAACATGTATGTTGTGCAATACTTACCTTTGATAGTTAAAAACACTCATAAACTATGTTTAAAGAAGGGATCTAAGTATGAACACTCATTAAAGTTACATGATAGCAAATGTTACTTAAAGCCTTCAAAACACCACTGGAAAATCCATCAGGAATTAACAGGTATGGGCCGTCCCACCTAATGTTTCTGTTCAGTAAAACAAGGGCAGAGTTTCCTTATATTGACCTCGAGTCTCACTCTGCCATGACCTTAAAGCAGTGTAGTACAAAATGTTGTACACATCATGACTGCAACTTTATATAAAATGTGAAATATGAAAATAGCTGTGAAATAATTATGTATGGACAGCATTATGTTTTTCTTTTTTTTTTTTTTTTTTTAATGAGAGGAAAGCACATGGCCTGTGCTAGATTTTCTCCAATGCCTACTTCTTGCAAACCAGGGAGATAGTAAAGTACCCTAAAACTCTGGAACATTATTTACTTAAGGCATGTTTCAGGAGAATCCAGAAATCACTATGAAGCACCATATTCCAATCTCTTTAAAATTAATCCTGTATGTTACTCTAAATATAGCAGAAAGAATAAGTCAGTCTACCAATAGCTGAAAACCATTAAATTGTTACATTATAAATTTATATTCTGTACAGATCTGGGTTAAATTAAAACTTTCCTAAAATGGATATGGCAATTTAATGCTCATGGAGAGATACATTTCTTCAAGTTTAAATGGACCATAATGATTTTTCCTCTATCGAATTTATAATCACAAAAAAAAACTTATAATCAAAGATGAATCAAGAATTATATAAATGCATTATGGGATCTACAAATCTCTGCAAATAAAACAGACTCACCAATTTGCCTGAAATTATTTAGAGGAAACAGGGTTCACAGGGCTTATGATGTTTTTAAAACAATTATAATTCTTTAGTATTTTACTCTATTTATGTACCTTCAGGTAGATTTTGAATTGAATAGACAATAGCTTCTGGAATTCCCATTTCTTGAATGCCTATATCAGAAGGATTAAAGAGTATTTCCGGAACAGCAAATCTCTCATTGGCCAAACGAAGAATTTGTTCCCCAGATTTGTATTTTCCACTCAACACCATCTCTTCCCTTGGCTTAAAGACAAAGAAGATTAAAAGTTTAAGTTATATTATCTAGCTCACATGACTAATAATTAGTAATATGCAATTATATATGCAATAATATATTAATAATATATTAATAATGTTCTTGGAAGTTTCAGGATTCTCAAAATTTAGAAGAATGTGTGGCTGCCTTTACTGTTGCCAAAATCACACAAAACACAACTAAATAATTACTGACGCTAATATGGCTGTTCCTTCAAAGATAATTTGGCAGCTTTATTCCACACACTTTAAAATACAAAGAGGGCCAGGTGCCCTGGCTCACACCTGTAATCCCAGCACTTTGGGAGGTCAAGGCGGATGGATCACTTGAGCCCGGGAGTTCAAGACAGCCTGGGAAACATAGCGAGACCCCCGTCTCTTAAAAAACAAAACAAAAATTAAAATACAAAGAAAAAAAGGAGGAGAGACAAGAGAGAACTTCATAATATACCTATAATGGTACAATGATTCTAGTTTCTAGGGAACAAAGAACACATTCTAAATAAAAAACATTTACTATGTCTTGTGTTTCTAGTACTGTCTACTTTCACTCCCCTAATTTAGGTGTTTACTGGATATGTGGCTCTATTCTATTAGGATTCCCCCTTTCCCTTCTGGAAAGAGCCTACATCTCTACATTTCTTTAATATGTATTCAATCTCTATTCAAAATTAGTTTCCAAATGATGTAAGCAAGTCCATGGTCCTTATCCTTGAACTTACCTTATAATGCTAACTTTATATGAGGCCTATGTATAACAAACTTTAAACAACCATGACTCATATTTTCTTGTTATTTATTTTCTGCTAACCCACCCAATCTGTGAGCTGTAGTGCTGAGGGGGCTGCAAAAATAATCTCCTTCCACAATATTCTAAATCATTAAAATAATGGTCCCTCTCAATTTTACAACCATCAGCTTTCCTAGATTCAGGTAAAGACATTCATTTCATTTGACTTATAAATGCAGTTGTCCTCCCATAAAAGGATAGGTCCCTTAATATAATCAGCCATCTACTCTCTATTCAGATTTCAGCTTCCTGAGAGGTTTTCTCTGCTTCCCAAATAAAAAGATCCTTCACTATTCTCTATCACCCTATATTATCCTTCATAGCTTATATTGTTCACCATCACATATCCACTAACTATCATAAAAAAGTACCTGGCACACAGTAGATACTCCATGAATTCTTGAATAATAGTAAGCAAGACAGCAACATGTCATTCATTAAACATATTACATACATTATCCCACTGAACTCTCATATAACCCTGTAACACGGGCATATTTTCCTTTTAAATTAATGATGCAATTGGGCTCTGCAAGGCTACATTACTTGTTCAAGGTCATTCATATCATAATCCAAAGCACATACAAAATATTCCTTCCATGATACTACCACTCATAACCTGGATATAAATGGTTAGATTTTGATCATTTGGGAATTCCATGCTCAAAACATTATTCTAAAATAAAAAATATCCTGAAAATTATACAGTATTCACAAATACTCCAGGAAGAACAGAAAACTATAAATCACTTTTAACCCAGAAAACTATAAATCACTTTTAACCCAAAATATTGTTATATAGTAACAAAGAGAAGAATATTATGCCTCATAGAAGTATTCTTCCTTCTCAAGCAGAATGGAAAATATTTTCTATGAATTTACAAATTCATTAAATTCCAGCCATTCACTGACTTGAGTTTAAGGGATATAACTCATTTTATCAACATTCAAAATAACCTGAGATAGTTGCAGACTTAGGAATTTCAGTTGACAAAACATTAGAGGTTATCTAGTTTATAGCCCTGATTGACAGAAGAGGATCATGTGACTTATTCTAGATTAAATGACTAACTAGGGGAGAGAGCCAGAACTAGACATCCTTGTTAAATGTTAGCACTAAAGCCATTAACCATTAACAAGTAATCTGGAGGCTGGGCACACTGGCTCACGCCTATAACCCAGCACTTTGGAGGCCAAAGCGGGAGGATCACTTGGGCCCAGGAGTTGAGGCTAGCCTGGGCAACATAGATGAGCGTGGTACCTCGTCTCTACAAATAACTTTTTAAAAACTTAGTCAGGCTTGGTGGTGACCATCTGTGGTCCCAGCTACTTGGGAGGCTAAGGTGGGAGGATCACTTGAGCCTGAGAGGTCAAAGCTGCAGTGAGCTGTGATCACACCGCTGTGCTCCAGCCTGGGCTATAGAACGAGACTCCGTCTCAAACCAAACAAAAAGTTAGTTCCAGTACAATTAAAGAAATGATCAGTGTATGTTATACTGGCTCTGCAGAAAGTGGTAATCCATGATGAGGACGATTTTCTCAATTTAGGTCAGTCGAATTCATTATACATTAGTAGGCTTCCTCTTTCTGATAAGAAAGAAAACTGGAATTTCTATTGGTTGTTATCTGTAATGATATTACAGGCCTATTTTTATTGCTATTGTTACTACCATTAGTGCTAGAAAATCAAGTATGTAACTTCCCCCAGCTACTTAAAAATATTCTTGAAACTATCAAAATTCAAGTGTTAACAAAACCCTAGGAATAAAGGCTCTCAAATAAATATTTATTTTAATCAAGTATTAAAATCAAAACAATATAAAAAATTCCAATATATAAAATACAACTGTTTCTAAATCTTTAAAAAATTATTAAGATGATTTAACACAGACTCTGAATAAGGTGTACATTTTAACGAAATTGACAAAGATTAAACCATTCTTTCTACAATAAACATTTGCGGTAACACTGTATCATCTGCCAAAAGCCCAGTTCCAACTGACTTTGTCCACTCATCTGCTATTAAAATACACATTATATATGAGAATCAGCAACAGAGTGTATCCTGAGTAAATGAAGCCCACACAGTCCATAACCAGATTGTGTTCACAAGGTCAAAAGCCAATAAAAAACCTTATATGGCTTCTGCCTTTTCTAAAGATGAGTAAAGTAATGGTCAACTGGGAGAATAACCACACCTCTACTGGCTTATTGCATAAGGTACTCACTTGAGAAAACACGGCTTATGATTTGGCAAGGAAGAAACTGGCAGAGTTTAGAAGAAAATGTCCAATAAACAAATAGGTTGTAATTTGCAGGGAAGGAGAGTTTTTCTAAAAAGAAAGATTTCCTAGTTGACTATCCAATCATCTGGAAGAGGTTTTAAGTTTTCAAACTTATGAAACAGGCAATTCTAGGAAGAGGAACTGAGAACACGGATACAGGTTTTGTTTTGTTTTCAAGTGCCCCAAGAGATTCCAATGATCAGTCAGATTTGAGGAGACTGGAAATCACTGAGACTTTACTCAGATCCATCTCTGTAGAAATCAGGATTACTTTACCCCTATTAACCCTATAGAGTACCATAAAATTTCCACAAGGTATCAGCTATAAAATATGACAATAATCAAATGTGCCTAGTAAGAAAGAGGTTTGGTATTTAAATGTTTGGGGCAGTTTTTCTTGTCTTGTGAAGAAGAAAAAAAATACACCTTCCGTATCTTAGCCAGGACTTGGGCTTCCAGTTTCTCTCTACCTGATACATGCCCAGGCAACCTTATCCCATCATCTATCTCAATTCCCATTTCTGAAAGCCAGCCTAGGTCCTTTCATAAGGATCTGTTTCACTTTTTGTTTTTTGTTTCTTTTGTTTTTAAAGAGACAGGATCTGGCTCTGTTGCCCAGCTCTGGAGTGCAGTGAAATGATCATAGTTCACTGTAACCTCAAATTCATGGGCACAAGCAATCCTCCCAACTCGGCCTCCTGAGTAGCTAGAACTACAGGTGTGTGACACCATGCCCAGCTAATTTTAATTTTTTTTTTTTTTTTTGTAGAGACAGGGTCTCACTTTGTTGCTGAGGCTGGTCTCAAACAATCCTCCCACTTCAGCCTCCCAAAATGCTGGGATTATAGGTAGGTGTGTGCCACCACACACAGCCATAAGGATCTGTTTCTAAGAACATAAAAGGATGATTTCAGTTTTATAAGGCCCCAAGTAGTCTCTGAACTCTGATTCATACTTCACCTCAATAATCTGGCCCAAAAAAATTCACTTTTGTTTTCAGGCATACTAAGTATAAATAATTATATAAAACCCATGTATTCACCAACCAGCTTAATGTAACTTTACAGATAAGCTGACACTCCCCTAATTTGGTATTTTATCATTCACATACATAGTTTTTTATACTTTTACTTCATATTTAAGTATACCTTAATAACATATTATTATTCTCACCAAAAAGAGAACATAATTATTCTGCATAGACTAAAAGTGTACATAGCTTTCTAAAATGTGCTTTTCTGTGAAAATCAGATTTCTGAGATTTGTCCATGCTGTTTATATAAGCTCTACTTGATTTCTCTACTGCTTATTATTTTACTATACGAACATATCAAAAATTAATCTCCTTCCATTAGTGGATATTTAGGCAGGTCTCAATTTTTCATTATTTTAAAGTACACTGCAATGAATATTATCATAAATGTCTCCTTGCCCAAATGTGCTTATGTTTCTGACCAAAGATTTTTAACTTCCCAACAGTCCTCATCAAGCTGGTAACCAGAAATGCAAACTTCACATTTACCTAACCACAGAAGTAATTTTATCTGAGCTGATAAAAGATAAATAGAAATTATTTTGACATCCATGATAAACTGCTTCTCAACACTTTGAAATGCCATTGGATTTTGCCCTTTTCTAATCTAATCATACCAGACCAAACAGAAGTAGAATTTGGCCCTAGGTCAGCTATGTCAATAATTTTCACAATAGGAAAATAACCAATTTCTAACTCAATTTAAACTAATTTTTAAGTAAACAAAAATGGGTTAGCCATAATATACATAATGATACTGTTTATCTCCAGATTTGCCCTATGTGCTATCTTTTGGCTGATAGTTCTTTTTCTAAATAAATTTACTAAGAAATTTATTAATCAAATTTCACTTTTGCCGGGTGAAATGGCCAGCAGGAAGGTAGTAATCAACAACTCTCGAAGGCCCAAGGAGCTGTGGCTCACGCCTGTAATCCCAACACCTAGGAGCCAAGGCAGGAGGATCATTTGAGCCCAGGAGTTCAAGGTCAGCCTAGGCAACACTGTAGGACCCCACCTCTACAAAAAATACAAATATGAACCAGGCGTGGTGGCACATGCCTGCAATCACAGCAACTCTGGAGGCTGAGACAGGAAGATCACTTGGGCCTGGGAGGTAAAGGCTATAGTGAGTGCTGTGATCGCACCATTGCACTCTAGCCTGGATGACAGAGTGAGATGTTGTCTCAAAAAAAACCAAAAAAACAAAACAAACAAAAGAAAAGCAACTCTCTAAGGCCCTGCCAATGCCAGCTGGATGTGAAATTCTTTTTTTTTTTTTTTTTTTTTTGAGACAGAGTCTCGCTGTGTTGCCCAGGCTGGAGTGCAATAGTGTGATCTCAGCTCACTGCAACCTCCACCTCCCAGGTTCAAGTGATTCTCCTGCCTCAGCCTCCCAAGTAGCTGGGACTACAGGCACCTGCCACCACACCTGGCTAATTTTTTTTGTATTTTTAGTAGAGACGGGGTTTCAGTATGTTGGCCAGGCTGGTTTTGAACTCCTGACCTAGTGATCCACCTGCCTCAGCCTCCCAAAGTGCTGGGATTACAGGTGTGAGCCACGGTGGCTGGCCTAAATGAAATTCTTTTCAAATCTAACTGAGGTGATCACTTGAAATATCACTGATTTTTTTTTTAATTTTATAATAGAGACAGGGGCTTGCTTTGTTGCCCAGGCCAGTCTCTTAACTCCCATCTTAGCCTCCCCAAGTGCTGGGATTATAGACAGGAGCCGCAGCAACCAACCATTGATGGTTTTTAAAAATTACCTTACAAAAGCCCTTTTTAATTGTACTGAAGTCAGGCAAGACATAGTCTATCATTACTGTATTTTCTTCTCCTTTCAACCTGGAAAACAAAATTGAGATTTATGAAACATTCTAATTATGTGTAACATCCCCTAACAATCTACTTTCCAATTCTTAGATTGTCATTATACATACTTTGCAATATCCATGTCTCTATAAAAATCCTGAGACACATAGCATACATCTTCTTTCACTTGATTAATCACATGTGTTTCATCCATAACATGTAGCTGCCTAACAGAAATAAAAGTTGTAAAATTTGAAGCAAAACAATTAAACATAATTTATAATTATCTGAAATTTTTTTCTGGAATTAAATTTTCAGGTAACTGATTTTTTGAAATTTTAAATTCTTGAATGTGTAAAATAATTTTAACTTTATGGAATACTGTCACTTCCATTAATTTCCACACTATTCCTCTGAGGGTAGGTATTAGTCTAGTTTATAGGTAAGGAAACTGAAAACAAAGATGTTAAGTGGGGTTTATCTAACTAAAGATCAAACATTCCCCCGCAAACCATTCTGAATAGAATCTTGCTACAATGCCTTAACTCTATGCACTTTCTTTTCTGATTATATTAAGTATTGCTGAGTCAGCACACAGTACCAAGCACATACAAGCTGTTCAATAAATGTTTGACTGAGGGTGAAGCTTAAACATTGGCTTACTATAGAAATAAAGATGTTTAAAAATAAACAAAAACTTTTCCACCTCCCAAAGTGCTGGGATTACAGATGCGAGCCACTGCACCTGGCCATAATTATTTTTAATGAAAAAATGGCTAAATGTATGGCATGACTGGGTGTGGCCATCCCAGTATTCATTCTCCCACCAGTATCTTTAAAACATATATATATATATATTTTAAGCTGACATGTAATAATTGTACATATTTCTCAGGTACACAGTGATGTTTTGCTGGGAGCTGTGGCTACGCCTGTAATCCCAGCACTTTGGAAGGCTGAGGCAGGAGGACAGCTTAAACCCACGAGTTTAAGGCCAGCTTGGGCAACATAGTGAGAACCTGTTTCTACAAAAAAATACAAAAATTAGCCAGGTGTGGTAGCACATGCCTGTGGTCCCAGCTACTTGGGAGGCTGAGGCAGGATAATTTCTTGAGCCAAGGAGTTGAGGATGCAGTGAGTAATGAACAAACCACTGCACTCCAGCCTGGGTGACAAAGACCCTGTCTCAAAATCAAAAAGAAACCCACACAGTGCATCAGATCAGGATAACTAGAATATTCATCATCTTCAACACTTATCCATTTTTGTGTATTGGTAACACTCAATATCCTCCTTCTAGTTATCTGAGACTGTAACATTCTTGCCAAGCTCAGGGGCGCGAAGTGCAGGTCAGTAATCCCAGCTACTAAGGGAGGCTGAAATGGGAGATCTTTTGAGCCCAGGAGTTTGAGACCAGCATGGGCAACACTGTGAGACCCTGCCTCAAATAACAATAATAGTAATAATAAAATTGTAAAAAGAAAACAAACAAAAAGAAACTAACATTCTTCAGATAACAAACATATAGCGATGGAAAGCCAATTAGTAGTTGCCAGGGGTCAGCGACACAGTCAGGGAGCAAATACAAAGGAGTAGGGCACATAGGGGAGCAAAGGGATCCTGATGGTATGATACCATCCAAAGTTAATGTAACAAGAAATTGAGATTTAAGAATTCTACTTATGTGTTAAACACAATAAAATTAAAAATAGTAGCATAAGTTATGTTAATGTACAACATTTACAATTTTTTTTTTTTTTTGAGAGAGAGAGAGTCTCACTTTGTCACCCAGGCTGGAGTGAAGTGGCGCGATCTCGGCTCACTGCAACCTCCACCTCCTGGTTCAAATGATTCTCATGCCTCAGCCTCCCGAGTAGCTGGGATTACAGGTGTGTACCACCACACCTGGCTAATTTTTGTATTTTTAGTAGAAGTGGGGTTTCACCAGGTTGCCCAGGCTGGTCTCGAACTCCTGGCCTCAAGTGATGCACCCACCTCGGCCTCCCAATGTGCTGGGATTACAGGCGTGAGTCACAATGACTGGCCTTAAAAGTAAGGAATAATCTTAAATTACTGTAAAAGGTTCCTCCCCAGAGCCCCATCCTCCCAAAGAATCAAAGCTAAGCATCACCTGTAAGATATGATCTCCTTTAGATGATTGGTTAAGAGTTTTCCTCCCACATTTATCCTGCAAGGGGAGAACTCAAATTTAATTATCGCACATATCATTCTGTTTAATCTTTAGAAACAACATGAAAATTAAATACAACTCACCGAATAATTGCTTCTTTTTTCTTTTTACTTCTACAATAAGGAACTATATGTGTAAAGGAATATCCACTATCAACAATGATACAGCATAATTCGGAAGGATTATCTCGGAAATACCTATGTGCACTGAGAGCCCCAGCTATTTAAAAAAAGATAAAAAAGTGAACAAAAATATAACACTAATTTAAAGCAATTAAAAAGGTAGGAAACAAAGACAAGCACCAAGACAAAAATGTTCCCTTTATTACAAGAAAAATGTTAATTTATAATACTATTCATAACTGTCAAAAGATCTTTATTGTGTTTATACTTTAAAACACCACACTTACATGGTAAACATAATAAAAATTTGGTATCCGTTTTTAAAGGTAAATATTCACTCCATAGTTTAAAAGAATTACTACAACAGCAGCTCATTTTTACTGATCATTTATTACATGCCAGACTCTATTCTAAAATCTGTATAATGAGTGTGTGTGTTAATACTCAAAACAATTCCATTTTACAGATAAGGAACCTGAAGCTCAGAGAAGTAAAGTAATGTGCTCAAAGCCACACAGTTAGGAAGTACCAGAGCCAGGATTCAAACCTAGGCAGTAGGTTGAGACCTCAGAACTATTGACATTGGGGGTTGGATAACTCCTTGTTGTAGAGGGCTTTCCTATGCGTTGTAGGATGTTTAACAGCATCTTGGCCTCTACCCATGAGATGCCAGTAGCACCTTCCCGGTGGTAATGATCATGGCACACTGCAACCTCCACCTCCCGGGCTCAAGTGATCCTCTTGCCTCAGCCTCTCCAGTAGCTGGGACTGTACACATGCACCACCATGCCTGGTTAATTTTTTAATTTTCTTTTGTAGAGATGGAGTCTCACTATGTTGACCATCTAGCCTAAAGTGGTCCTGCTGCCTTGGCCTCCCAAAGTTCTGGGATTACAGGCATGAGCCACTACACCTGGTTGAGATTGTGCCCTTAACCACTGCCCATACTGCTGCTTATATGGACTTAAATTCTGAAAGTTAAATATTTAAATACTTTCATTGTACCCAACCATGTCATGTAATCTAAGCCTGTAATACACTTGCTTCTAGATGATATTTACAGATTGTTCTCCCTCACACTGGCAGCCTGAGCTACTAACATTATTTCAAACAATAAGAATTCGGCCTGGAGCCGTGGCTTATGCCAATAATCCCAGCACTATGGGAGGCCAAGGCGGGAAGATGACTTCAGTCCAGGAGTTCGAGACCAGCCTAGGCAACAAAATGAGACCCTGTCTCTACAAAAAATAAATAAATCAGCCAGATGTGGCAGCACATACCTGTGGTCCCAGCTACTTGGGAGGCTGAGGCGGGAGGATCCCTTGAGCCCAGGAGGTGGAGGCTACAGTGAGCCATGTTTGTGCCACCACACTCTAGCCTGGGCAACAGAGCAAGACCCTGACTTAACAAAAACAAACAAACAAACAATAATAATTGCAAACACATAAATGACAGGAAAGATAACTACCTCAGAATCTTTCAGAAATAAGAAATATGTGGCCAGTAACTTCATTAGAAGAAATATTAGTAAAAAGATAAAATGAGAGATGTCTGACTATATAATCTCTAAGGGTCCATTTAGTTTTAAGATTCCAAAACTTGCGCAGTGGCTCATGCCTGTAATCCCAGCATTTTGGGAGGGCAAGGCGGGTGGATCACTTGAGATCAGGAGTTCAAGACCAGCCTGACCAACATGGTTAAACTCCATCTCTACTAAAAATACAAAATTAGCCAGGCATGGTGGCGAACGCCTGTAATCCCAGCTACTTGGGAGGCTGAGGCAGGAGAATCGCTTGAACCCAGGAGGTGGAGGGTGAGCAGAGATTGCTCCATCACATGCCAACCTGGGCAACAAGACCAGAACCCCATCTCGGAAAAAAAAAAAAGAAAAAGAAAAATCCAAGACTTATTTCCTTCAAATCTAAAAAATGCCACATAGTATTCTGGAACTTTAAGAGTTTCTTTACTTGGTTCATATCCATATTCAAGCTTCACAGAATTCAATTTCTTTTTTTTTTGGAGACAGGATCTCACTCTGTCACCCAGGCTGGCACGATCATAGCTCACTGCGGCTTCAACCTCCCAGGCTCAAACGATCCTTCTGCCTCAGCTTCCTAAGTAGCTGGGACTACAGGTGCGTGTCACCATGCCCAACTAATTTTTCTATTTTTTTGTAGAGACAGGGTTTCACCATGCTGCCCAGGCTGATCTCAAATCCTAAACTCAAGTGATCTACTCGCCTCAGCCTCCCAAACTGATGGGGTTACAGGTGTTAGCCACTGTGCTAGCCAAGAATGCCACTTAATATTTTGGGACTTTATGAGTATTACCCTATTCATATCCATAGTCATATAACTCAATTTCAGTGAAAACTTGAACTCACCATTTACTCTTAATACTGCTTGAAACTGGTATTCTTCAAATAGAATTTCATTCATTGATTCTTGAATTGAAGTGAAGTTAAAGTATGGTTCAGTGATAATAATATTAGTATCTAAAAAATCAACCTATAGGAGAAAACATTCCAAAATGTTTCATAATTTGTAATGATAATTAACACTTGTTTTACATGTACAAACAAATTTATTTAATCCTCACAATAATCGTGATGTCTTATTACTATCCCCATTTAATAGATGAGCAAACTGAGGCACAGAAAAGTTAAATAAGTGACCAAGTTCATAGAGCTATTTAATGACATAGGTAAGATTTGAATCCAGGGAGTCTAGTTACAGAATCCATGTACTCAACTATTATGCAATTTTACTTCTGTTAGAGGTAGCATTAATAAAATGTTACCAGCCTGGCACAGTGGCTCATACCTGTAATCCCAGCACTTTGGGAGGCTGACGTGGAAGGATTGCTTGAGGCTAGGAATATGAGACCAGCCTGGGAAACACAGCAAGACCCCACCTCTACTAAAAAAATAATAATAATAATAAATAAAAATTAACAGGGCATGGCGGTGCATGCCTGTAGTCCTGGCTACTTAGAAGGATAAGGTAGGCTAATTGCTTCAGCCTGGGAAATTGAGGCTGCAGTGAGCCATGATTGTGCAACAGAGCAAGACTCTGTCTCTAAAAAATGAAAGAAAATGTTACCATAAAATTGTTTAAAGACAATTATAGAAACATTAATGAATGATACAACAAATATTGGGGCTGTTATGTTTCTAAATGAAAGGAAAACAAGGTCAGGCACGATGGCTCAGCTTGTAATCCCAGGACTTTGGGAGGCTGAGGCAGGCAGATCACCTGAGGTCAGGAGTTCCAGACCAGCCTGGCCAACACGGTGAAACCCCATCTCTACTAAAAATACAAAAAAAAAAAAAAAAAGAGCCAGGTGTGGTGGCGCATGCCTGTAATCCCAGCTACTCAGGAGGCCAAGGCAGGAGAATCACTTGAACCCAGGAGGCAGAGGTTGCAGTGAGCAGAGATCATGCCACTGCACTGCAGCCTGGGCAACAGAGCAAGACTCCCCCTAAAAAAAAAAAAGAAAAAAAAAAGGACAGAACAAGACAAAGACAAAACAAGAGAAGATGGGGCTGGTGCGGTAGCTCACGCTTGGGCGGATTGCTTGAGCCCAGGAGTTTGAGATCAGCCTGGGCAACATGGTGAAACCCCATGTCTATTAAAAAGAAAAGAAAATCATAATAAAAAAAAACTTGCAGATGTTTTATTTATGTATTTATTTATTTATTGAGACATAGTCTTACCCAGGCTGGAATCCAGTAGTGCAATCTCGGCTTACTGCAACCTCCACCTTCCAGGTTCAAGCAATTGTCCTGCCTCAGCCTCCCAAGTAGCTAGGACTACAGGTGTGTGCCAACATGCCTGACTAATTTTTGTATTTTTAGTAGAGACGGGGTTTCACCAGTTGGCCAGGCTGGTCTCAAACTCCCAACCTCAAGTGATCCACCCGCCTCAGCCTCCCAAAGTGCTGGGATTACAGGCATGAGCCACTGCGCTTGGCCTGCAGATGTTTTAAATTAAAAAAAAAAAGGCAAAGGGCAAGATGCTTAAGATATTCAAGTTTATGTAATTCTCTCACACACATTCTTGAGAAGTATTAAAACTTGAACATTTTCTCCTTATACCTATAATCACATTACAGACATTAAAAACACAAAATCCTCTTGTAATATTCATGTATTTAGATATGTAAGCAAAAACGTTTGTGAAAATTAAGATGATATAGTGAATTGATCTAATAATAGAAATCTGAAGTAAAATTTTGAGTTTCATACAGACTATCTTTACTCAACCTCTACTTCAACATGGAAATTTTATTCACTTGCATTTATTATTTATTTTAAATGTGCGGAGAACATTATTCATAAGTTTATAAATCTTAAAATGTAAATTCTAATTTTTCATTACAATTAAACATGGAAATAGAATTTTAATACATACTCTAATTTGTTACCTGATACATTTCTTTTCCAAAAAGGTAATCCCAAACTTGTCTCTGAACATCCCAATTCACCAAGTAGCCCTAAAAAATGTTTTTATAAATTTAATTATCAAGAACATTTGAATAATTTTTAAAAATCAGATTATAAATATTTGAATAATTTTTAAAAATCAGATTCCAAATCACTGATTTCTATCTATGGTTACCATTTCCAGTGTAATGCTGTATGAATTTCTTTTTTTTAATTTAAAAAAAAATTTTTTTATTATACTTTAAATTCTGGGATACATGTGCAGAACGTGCAGGTTTACTACATAGGTATACTGCTGTATGAATTTCAAACCAATTATGTTAGTATGTTTTTCTCCTTTAAAAAGTTAAAAAACAAACTCACAAATAAGCAATAACTAAAATGTCAGAGGTTCAAAAGACACACCAATATATACAGTTGCCTCCCTATACTTATTTTCTTAAATTAATGTGTGCATACCACTTAGATTTAATGTAAGTAAAAATCAGTACTCACAATAAGTAACTAAATCATGGTCGTTTATTTTTACCCAAACAATTAAATTTTAATTTGGGTTTAATTAGGTTGTAGTTAAAATTTAAGTTACACACAGCCTTTTATATACAATTAAAATTATCTTTAAATTTAGGTCTACAATGCTAGAAATGAAACATAATTAATTGGATTACCTTTTGAAAAGGGAGGATGTAAAAGAGTCCAGAAGGGTCTTTTATTTCATCTATCTGGTTGGCAGTAAAAGTTTTAAGACGTGCTGTTTTTGACCGGAACTGACAATTAGGAATAACCCTAGAAACAAGGAAACAAATAATTATCCCCTAAATATTTAGTTCCTAAAAACATTTTTACTTCACCACCACTCTTGATGCCAAAAGATTAGCGTATCCTAAGATTGGTATATCCAGTGTTTCTCATTCTGTCTTAAAATAATACCAAAGGCTGGGAGTGGGGGCTCATGCCTATAATCCCAGCACTTTGGGAGCAGGATGATTGCTTGAGACCAGGAGTTCAAGACCAGCCTAGACAACATAGCCAGAACCTGTCTCTACAAAAATAAAAAATAAGGCTGGGCATGGTGGCTCACGCCTGTAATCCCAGCACTTTGGGAGGCAAAGGCGGATGGATCACTTGAGGTCAGGAGTTCGAGACCAGCCTGGCCAACAGGGTGAAACCCTACCTCTACTAAAAAAAAACACAAAAATTAGCCAGGCATGGTGGCACATGCCTGTAGTCCCAGCCACTAAGGAGGCTGAGGCATGAGAATCACTTGAACCTGAGAGATGGAGGTTGCAGTGGTCTGAGATTGCACCCCTGCACTCCAGCCTTGGTGATGGGGCAAAACTCAGTCTCAAAACTAATAATAAAATAAAACAGAAAGAGAAAAATACGAATCAGGCAGGCATGGTGATGAGCATCTATATTCCTATCTTCTAGAGGAAGGCTGAGGCAGGAGGATTGCTTAAACGCAGGAGTCTGCAGCTGCAATGAACTGTGATCCCACTACTGCATTCCAGCCTGGGTGGACAGAACAAGGCCCTGTCTCTATTTTAAAATAATAATAACACAAAAATGCCCCTCCCCCATTTTTTTTTAAAGTTCAGTATGTAACAAGTTCTATACTGGATCCTTTCTTTCTCTAATAATCCTCAAGAAATCCTTACAGGTAAGTATTGCTTCCGCCACTGCAGAGGCGAAAGCCAGTGCTTTGGTAAAGGTCCTAGTCTTTCTGGCTTTAACACAGAAAGTCTTAATACCATTTGGATTAAAGATTCACAAGTTAGGCCGGGCGCGGTGGCTCATGCCTGTAATCCCAGCACTTTGGGAGGCCGAGACAGGCAGATCACGAGGTCAGGAGATCGAGACCATCCTGGCTAACACGGTGAAACCCTGTCTCTACTAAAAATACAAAAAACTAGCCAGCCTGGTGGCGGGCGCCTGTAGTCCCAGCTACTTGGAAGGCTGAGGCAGGAGAATGGCGTGAACCCGGGAGGCAGAGCTTGCAGTGAGCCAAGATCACGCCACTGCATTCCAGCCTGGACGACAGAGCGAGACTCCGTCTCAAAAAAAAAAAAAAAAAAAAAAAGATTCACAAGTTAAAAATTATGGCCATAAAAATTAAGTTTCCAGCCGGGAGCAGTGGCTCACAGCATGTAATCCCAGCACTTTGGAAGGCGGAGGCGGGCGGATCATGAGGTCAGGAGTTTAAGACCAGCCTGGCCAACATGGTAAAACCCCATCTCTACTAAAAAATATAAAAATTAGCTGGGCATGGTGGTGCATGCCTGTAATCCCACCTACTGGGGAGGCTGAGGCAGGAGAATTGCTTGAACCCAGGAGGCGGAGGTTGCAGTGAGCAGAGATTGTGCCACTGCACTCCAGCCTGGGCGACAGAGCAAGACTCTGTCTCAAAAAAATAAAATAAATTAAGTTCCCATGAAGCCAAAGATCTTCAATCAGCAAGATGCTATAGGGCAGGGATCCCCAACCGCAGGGCTTGTGGTCCGGTACCTGTCTGTGGTCTGTTGGGAACCAAGCCTTCATAGCAAGAGGTGAGCACCAGGGTGGGGAAGGAGGGTGGGGCCGTAAGCATTAACACCTAAATTGCACTTCCTGTCAGATCAGCCATAGCATTAGATTCTCATAGGAGCAGGAACCCTATTTTGAACTGTGCATGCAAGGGATATAGTTTGTGCACTTTTTTTGTGAGAATCTAATACCTGAGAATAGTTTCATTTCAAAACCATCGCCCACACTCATACCCCCAACCACACGTTAAAATTGTCTTCCACGAAACCAGTCCTTGGTGCCAAAAAGGTTGGAGACTGCTGCTGCTACAGGGTACAGAAGTAGCAACTTTTTTTTTTTTTTTTTGAGACCGAGTCTCGCTTTGTCGCCCCAGGCTGGAGTGCAGTGGCGTGATCTCGGCTCACTGCAAGCTCCGCCTCCCAGGCCCACGCCATTCTCCCGCCTCAGCCTCCCAGGTAGCTGGGACTACAGGCGCCTGCCACTACGCCCGGCTAATTTTTGTATTTTTAGTAGAGACAGGGTTTCGCCGTGTTAGCCATGATGCTCTGGATCTCCTAACCTCGTGATCCACCCACCTGGGCCTCTTGCTGCTTGCCATGAGCTTACAATCTGGTTTGGAAGACAAACTAGAGCCATTATTAATTATACACACATGTATGCATACAAATGTGTCTGTATGTGTATACGAGATGACACTGGGATAATACTGTAAAAAAATGTTTTACACCTGCTTATTTCACTTATAATACTGTCAGCATTTTCTCTACATGTTTAAATGTTCTTTGAAGACATAATTTTAAGAAGCTTGAATTTGTTATCAGTCTCAGGTTGTATTTTGGTGTATTTAGCCAATATGCTATTCCTGATTATTTAGCTTCCTTCCCATTTTTTGGCTGCCTGTATACGATGACTATGAATAATACAAAGCACTTCTAATTAATTCTCTAGGTAATAACAGAATTGCTGTGTCATGGCCCGGTGCGGTGGCTCACACCTGTAATCCCAGCACTTTAGGAGGCTGAAGCAGGCAGATCACGAGGTCAGGAATTCCAGACCAGCATGGCCAAAATGGTGAAACCCCCGTCTCTACTAAAAATACAAAACTTAGCCAGGCGTGGTGGTGCGCAACTGTAGTCCCAGCTACTTGGGAGGCTGAGGCATGAGAATGGCTTGAACCCGGGAGGCAGAGGTTGCAGCGAGCCGAGATCGTGCCACTGCACTCCAGCCTGGACAAGAGAGCCAGACTCCCTCTCCAAAAAAAAAAAAAAAAATTGCTTTGTCAGCTGGGTGTAGGGCTCACGCCCCTAATACCAGCACTTTGGGAGGCCAACGCGGGTAGACTGCTTGAGGCCAGGGGCTCGAGACCGGCCTGGCCAACATGATGAAACCCCGTCTCTAACAAAAATACAAAAAATTCGCTGGGAGTGGTGGTGCACGCCTATAATCCCAGCTACTCTGGAGGCTGAGGCGGGAGAATCACTTGAATTCAGGCTGCAGTGAGCTGAGATCGCACCACGGCACTCCAGCCTCGGTGACAATGATAATGATACACATTGCCAAAACGTTTTCCAGAAAGATTGTAACAATTTACATTCCTACTCAGTTTGATTTCCCTCTTTCATTTCTGTTTCAAAAGAAATGAAAAAGAAGGAAAGGAGGGAGGAAGGAAAGAATTTTTTTTAATGCTCTGTTAATTTGATAAAGGAAAGGCGTGTCTTTAGGTTTGCTTATTTATTCAAACATATATTTTATGACTATACATGTTATGAATGCCATTGTATTAACAGTACTTCTGTTTAATTGACCTTACCAACTAGGTCGGCCAGTAGGCCAAAG
This sequence comes from Homo sapiens, assembly GCF_000001405.40. NCBI lineage: Eukaryota > Metazoa > Chordata > Mammalia > Primates > Hominidae > Homo > Homo sapiens. The sequence goes on along the minus strand of NC_000012.12, from coordinate 100,201,366 downwards.
TCTTCAAAGCCTCTAGATCCTAAGACCGTGATTTTTAGACTTTTGGAGGGTCATAGAACCCTTTGAGAATCTAATGAAACCTATAATCTTGTACCCAGGAAAATCCGCATACACCCAAACACCGTGCCCATAGTTTCCAAAGGCTGATGAACTTTACGGACCCTTCTGTCAGGAACGCATCTCTATAAGCCTATTTTCTTTGGCTATTTCCTGTTACGAAATAAAACATATATCCCACTTCCGGGGCCTCGCAGCCCAAAACTAAAACCAAAATCAATTTCAATTCAAAGCATCACAATCACCCACCCAGCTCCAACCAGGGAATCCCTCTGGCTAAGTCAGGGCCGCGCGGGGGTGTCTGCAGTTCATTGATGTCCGGAGATGAAACGTAGCACATGAAACCACTAGGCGTATATATCTTGTCCCTCGGAGAAAGAAAGTACTTACGACACATTTTCATGGCTGTAACCGATTTTGGCGTTGTAAGCTCCATTATCCAGCACTAAGGTCGTCATCTCACCACCAACCACACCGCAGCCGTAGTTGTTTTCCCTTTCCGACCCCTCTGCTCGAGCTTTTTCCGGTACTCTATGGTTTGTTGGGCGGAGCGTTAGGACGCGCCTCTGGTCACCTTAGCAACGGAGGACGCCGGAAGTCGGAGATGCTAAGCAGCACCGAATGTTAGGGGCTGTGCTTCCAAACTTAACCTGTTTATGTGGTGGCGAGATTTGACTACTATGTGCTTTCTCGCTCATTTCGTATTTGTTTTTAACTACGCAGATTAATTCGCGCAAGTTTTTTCTAATCCTGTAGAGAACCGGCTGCGTGTGTGTGTGTGTGTGTGTGTGTGTGTGTGTCTTCCAATCGCATTCTTCAGACGGTGACATTCTTTGAAGAAAAAAGTGCAAAACTTGCTCTTGGACTCACATTCATACTCTCCTCTTCCCCAGCCCACTTGCTCTTCAGGACGAAGCTGAGTGAGTCTTTCTCATCCAAAAAAGGCTTTTGGGCCGGACGCGGTGGCTCACGCCTGTAATCCCAGCACTTTAGGAGACCAAGGCAAGCAGATCACTTGAGGTCAGGAGCTTGAGACCAGCCTGACCAACACGGCGAAACCCCGTCTCTATTAAAAATACAAAAAGTAGCCGGGCGAGGTGGCGGGCGCCTGTAATCCCAAGTACTCGGGAGGCTGAGGCGGGAGAATTGCTTGAACCGGGGAGGCGGAGGTTGCAGTGAGCCGAGATGGCTCCACTACACTCCAGCCTGGGCGACAGAGCGAGACTCCGGCAGGGCGGGGACTTGGCAGGTGCGGGAGGCAGGACCTGGCTTCCGGGGCGTCGCGGGGGCAACGGCCAGCGGGCGGGGGCAAGGGCCAGCGGGCTAGGACAACTGCCAACGGGCTTGGAGGGGGGCGTTCTACAAATTCCAGGCCACTTTGAGCGCCTGAGAGAGGAGCGGGGCGGCGGGAAGGGGGCACCGCGGGGGCAGGGAGCGCAGCAGCCGCAGCGCGAAGGCGCGGGGGCCGGGGAACAAACGGTTGGCGCGCAGGCAGCCATACCGGGGCCGGAACCCGGGCAGAGGAGGGCAGCGACGGCGATGGGGAGGCTGCAGAGCCCGGGGCGGGTACCGCGCGGGAACCAGCGCGACTGCGTGGCTACCGCAGCCGTCGGTTCGTGTTGGACGGGCGCCGCTGCTGCCTCTGCTACTTCAAGAACCCCCACGACCCGCTGCCCCTCGGCCACCTGGACATAGCAGAAGCCTGCTTCAGCTACCAGCGCGCCGACGAGGCGGCGGAGCAGCCTGCGCACTTCCAGGTGCGCAGCGCGGGAGCCGCCACGGTGCTTGAGGTGGGAACTCGCGCCCTGCAAGCGCCTGGGCCCTTCTGTCGGCGCTCCTTGCCTCCCCTGGGGGCCTGCCCCATCCACCCTCCTTTCTCCAAGGCCTCCTCGCACCCTGCCAACGTCGGCCTGCCTTTCCCCACTTCTCCACATCCCGTCCTCGTTCCTATCTCCTCCCCTCCACCTGGGCTTAGGCCCGGGTGGCTGGGGCTACCCAGCCCAGTCTCCTTCCTCAGACACTTTGACCCATTATCTCCCTCTGCTCCTTCCCTCTGACCCCTCTCTAGTGTCTTCTCACCCCCAGCATCCCGTGGATGTCCGGTGCAGCCCTCCCAAGCATTCATAACCGTAGGCTTCTGCCCCAGGGGCCTCCTTTAGAACTCTGCTAGGACCTTGGTACATCAGTTAACCGCTCTGCCCTTCAGCGTCCTCTAAAATGAGATAGCAGTAGTATCTATATCATGGGGTGTTGAGATTAAACTAATTATACTCTAAACTGCTCAGTAAATGTTAGTACATTTATTTTATTTTTATTTATTTGTTCTTTTTGCCATAGGATCTCGCTCTGTTGTGCAGACTGAAGTGCAGTGGTGTGATTTCAGCTAACTGCAGCCTCATGCCTGGGCTCAAGTGATCCTCCCACCTGAGCCTCCCACCTGAGCCTCCCAAGTATCCGGGACCACAGGTGCAGGCCCACGCCTGGCTAATTTAAAAAATGGTTTTTGTGTGTGTGTGTGTGTGTGTGTGTGTGTGTGTGTGTGTGTGTGTGTGTAGATGGGGGTCTCGCTATGTTGCTCAGGCTAGTCTCGAACTCCTGGGCTCAAACCATCCTCCCCACCCATCTTCCTGGGATTCCAGACGTGAGCCACAGTGCATTTAGCACTATAGACAAAAAGAGTCAGAAATGGCAGGGCCCTTAGAGATATTCCACTACATTTCCTCCGAGAGTGGGCAGGGATGCTCCAGCTAAGGTCACACAGCCAGTAAGTGGCAGACCCTCTTTTCTTGCTCCTTGTTTTGTCCAGGAGAGGTGGGAGGGGGTCACTTCAGCCAGTTAGGCCTTGCTCTTTGAGGCTCTTTTAATCCTCCAGCGAAGAGACATAATGGGAAAAATAATGCAGAAGCAGGAGAGTAGAGTGAGGAGTCCTGGTGCTGAGAGGCCTCCCCTTTCCTTGGGAGTCCTTAGCGGGCTAGACTCTGTCACCTCCGAGGGGTCCACCTGCTTCGAGCACATAGAGGGATCTGGGCCCAGGCCTGGAGCCCAGTATCCTTTCTCCAGGCTGTGCTCCCTGCCTGGCTCCTGTGAACCTCCACCTTCTCTCTCATTCCTCTTCCGCGCTGCAGGCTCGGCTTTCTCCAGGGCAGCAGGGTTGGGCTGGGATGTATGAAAGCACTCTCAAAGCTGGCCACGCGGAGAGCAGAGTAGGCAGGCTCTTGGCCTTATGAGCACAGGACTGTTCCTCAGACCCCCAGAGCTGCTAACAGCTGCAGCTGCCCCCGGAGATGTTCTCAGAGCTTTGTCGACTCAGCTTTTGCCAATTCAAGCAGGATCTGATTCCCATGTTCTCTCGGGCTCCTCTGTCCTGTCTGTAAGTGGGTGCAGACAGCCTGTTTCCCCGAAGGAAGCCAGCCAGGGTTGCAGTCCTACTCAGGCTTACTTTGCGCCTGTATAAACATGGGAATGACCCCGGTGGAAGACCTTTGCCAAAGGTAGAGGCTCTTCCTCAGTGTATACATGGACTGTCCCCATGTCAGGTGAATTTCCTGTAGGATATTTGTTAACAAAGAAAATAGAGCGTCATGTTTCAGATTTTTCTCAGATGACTGTAAAGCCCTATATGGGTTACAGGGCATATTGTCAGGAGCATGGCTTTAGACTTGGATGGGCTTGAACTTGAAGCAGGATCCTGCTGCTCACATGTACTGGACAAGTTATACCACGTCCCAGTTCCTCTTTGGTCTTCTCATTCCTCATCTTCAATGGGAATCTTACCTTCCTCATTAGTGGCTGTGAGGATTCTGGAGAATGTTATGGAAATGGCTGGCACATTTTCCATAGTGGTACGGAAAGTAGTAGGCACTACATGGCATATGAAACATCAAGCAGTGTTTTTGGCCAACTATGTAGTATATTCATATAATGGCATATTATGTGGTAGTAAACAAAGGAACTAGAGCTATAAGTGTCAATGTGGATTACTCTCACAAACATAAAATTGAGCAAGAAATAAGTTACAGACTGATTCTGTTCAGAATGATACCATTTATAGAAAGGTTAAGAAGATCATGTAAAATAGTGCTACAGATCACAAGGATATATACTGTGTCAGGAGGGGAAGAGATGCAAGGGGGTGATGAGCTCTGGTTTCTAGGTGGTGGTTGCCTCTGATGGGAAGAGGGGGGATGTGATTGGGAATGGCTGCCTTGGGGCTGGTGCCTTGTGGCTTCCACTGTTGTTTTGCAGTGTTTTATTTCTTGGACTGGGTGGTGGGTGCATCAGTGTTTGTTGTGTTATGCCATCCATCTTTTTTTTTTTTTTTTTTTTTGAGACAAGAGTTTTGCTCCTGTTGCCTAGACTGGAGCGCAATGGCGCGCTATCAGCTCACTGCAACCTCCGCCTCCTGGGTTCAAGTGATTCTCCTGCCTCAACCTCCCAAGTAAGTGGGATTACAGGCATGCGCCATCACGCCTGGCTAATGTTGTATCTTTAGTAGACACGGGGTTTCACCATGGTGATCAGGCTGGTCTCAAACTCCTGACCTCTGGTGATCCACCCGCCTCGGCCTCCCAAAGTGCTCAGATTACAGGCACGAGCCACTGTGCCTGGCCGCTATCCATCTTGTTGTAGGTTCAGAGTATTTCTTTTTTTTTTAAGAAAAGGAAATATTTTCCTTTGGGTTACTGACAATGGAGGAATATTTTGACATGTAAAATTAAATTGGTCACAGAGTAAGATAATACCTGAGGCCTCGAGTGTTGGCTATTTACAACAATGGAAATGGAAACAGGCAAGGCTTTCCAAAAGAAGGGATCAGGGTTTTAGAGTAGGGGTGTTTTTTGTTTATTTGTTTGTTTTGAGACATTGTTTCACTCTTGTTGCCCAGGCTGGAGTGCAATGGTGTGATCTCAGCTCACCACAACCTCCGCCTCCCAGGTTCAAGCAATTCTGTTGCCTCAGCCTCCCGAGTAGCTGGGATTACAGGTGTACGCCACCACGCCCAGTTAATTTTTGTATTTTTAGTAGAGACGGGGTTTCTCCATGTTGGTCAGGCTGGTCTCGAACTCCCAACCTCAGGTGATCCACCTGTCTTGGCCTCCCAAAGTGCTGAGATTACAGGCGTGAGCCACTGTGCCCAGCCAGGGGTGTGTTTTAAGAAAGATAAATTTCATTGTACCATTATTTCTTTTGAGCTCTAGAAGTAAAAACTTTATGGTGGTAAATAAGGAAATTACCGATTTATCTTCCTTTTCATCTTTCAGATCCAAGAACTGATTCCCATAAGCCTTAATGTTTCACTTCAGGGCTGTCCAGCCATAGAGGAGACCCTGATTTCTAAGGATTTTTAAGTTAGGTTTTAGCCCTGCTCAGACTTCAGCTAGTTGTGTATAATTTTACAAATACCATTTCTTTTCACAGAGGGTTAAAAAGTAAAGAAAAATCAGCAATGTTCTTATTATAGTATTATATATTTTTCTTATTTTAAAGCATCTTTGAGCCTTCTCTGGAGAAGCTGTGGTTTTGTTGGGCTTTTCCAAAATGTTTTACTATGTGAGTCTTAAAGCTGATACAAGAATTTCTTGGTAAACTCCTCTATTCCAAAACTTAGGGATCTGATCTGGTGCCTTATTTTACAGATGCGGTAATAGAGGCTGGAGAGGGTATGTAATTTTGCTGATGTCATGAAGCTAGACTCAGACCCTCTCTGAAAGTAGAGGCTCCAGGAACAGTGAGTGTCCAAAATGTGGAATATCTAATTGTATTGTCCGGTCTGACAAGTCTACTTTTTTTGACTTTGGATATTAATTGTTTTGGATCAGATAAGGTATAGTAGTCTTTCCTTTTACTGTATTTGATAGCTGTCCTTTTTGGACAGTGAGTATCACCAGGAACATTTTACTGCCCAGTTGTTTACCAGGATGCATAATACCTTTTACTGGACATATCTGCAAACTGTTGTAAGGGCCTAGCAGAGGCTGACGCTACTGTGTGCATATCTCTGTGTGTGTAGGGGGGCTGGAGGCTTCTCGTGGAGCTTTACTGGAATCTGAGGCACTTAGGGGAAGGAGAGCATGTGATTGACTGAGGGTGAAGTTTAAACAGCCTTGCTCTTCCGGATCTCTGCAGTCTTCGGAGCAAGAGAGTGTCATCAGACAGTCAGCAAATGATTTCCTTCCTCTGCTGCCTTCTTGTAGGTGCTTGGTGCTCAAATGGACATGTGTGTTGGTTTCCGAGCCACACGTAACGGAATAGCTATGTACACCTATTCTTAACCCACTTTTGTGGGAGTGTGCATTCCCTGTTGTTGAAATTGCTCTTAATGACAAACATGTATTGGCTTGGGTAATCAGAGTGTGTTCAGTACAAACTAGATGTGGTGAACCAGCATTCTTTGCTGTATGGTTCTCCTAAGTTGTTCTACCCTGGAGCATCTACTCAGTCTTGAAGCATTATTTAACCTTTAAGTTATGGGGGCTTAAACTTTTCAAGGCTTTCCAATTAGTAAGTTCCTTCAAGGCAAGTCCAGTATTGTGCTTGTGATACCACAATGGCATTTCATCTTCCACTGCCTTTCACACAGTCCTCATTGCAGGGGAGTCCCCAACCTATTTCCTACCCGCCAGAGGGTGAGCTCCCTAAGGACTGTTTGTATCCTCAGTTCATGCAACAGTATCTGGCACAAAGGAGGCTTTCTATAGACCAGTGTTGGTGTTTGTGTTCCTGAAAAACTCATATGTTGATGCTCCAACTCCCAATGTGATGATATTTAGAAGTGGGGCCTTTGGGAGGTAATTAGGTCATGAGGGTGGAGCCTTCGTGAATGGTATTAGTGCCCTTATAAACGAGACCCTGGAGAGATGATCTCCCGCTCCACCTATGAGGATACAGCGAAAAGGCATTCCTTTGCAAACCAGGAAGAGGGCCCTTGCCAGGAACCAAATTGACCAGCACCTTGATTTTGGACATTCTAGTCTCCAGAGCTAAGGAGTCAATTTGTGTTGTTTAAGCCACTCAGTCTGTGGTGTTTTTGTTATAGCAGCCTAAACTGACTAAGGTATGGTGCCCAGGTAGACACTTGTTGAATGAATGAATAGAAAACGGTTACCCAGTAAGCACTGGTTTTGGTGACGCTTTAGAACTGATCAGCCAGAACTCCCAAATGTACAGATGTATTACATGCCATTCTTGCCTCATGTCATAGAGGAGGCAGCCATTCAGTAAATGCCCACTGAATAGAACGGATATTGGGAATCCAAAAGGGGGTTATGACTCACCCTTCCCCAGAGGAGAGAGCTTACTTACAGTCAGTTCTGTATTTTCAGGTATCTTGTATTTCATGCCCATAGTCAGGACTTCGAGGACACTGTTACAGCAGGGGCAAACTTTTTATGTAAAGGGCCACATAGTATTTTGGTTTTGCACACTCTGCCATCTCTGTCACTATTCTGCTGTGGTAGTACAGAAACAACCGTAGAATGAGTATAGCTGCATTCTGATTTTTACTAATGTACTCTGAAATTTGGATCTCATGTAATTTTCACATTTCACAAAATATTCTTTTAATTGTTTTCAGCCATTTAAAAATGTTAGCTGGGCACAGTGGCTCACTCCGGTACTCCTCCCAGCACTTTGGGAGGCCAAAGTGGGAGGATCACTTGAGCCCAAGAGTTCAAGACCAACCTGGGCAACAAAGTGAGACCCCATCTCTATAAAAATTTTAAAACTGGCCAGATGTGGTAGCAAATGTCTGTAGTCCCAGCTACTTGGGAGGCTGAGGCAGGATTGCTTGAGCCCAAGAGGTAGAGATTGCAGTGAGCTGTGTTCTCACCACTGTACTCCAGCCTGGGTGACAGGCTGTTTTTTGTTTCAAAAAAACAAAATAGCAAAATAAAAATGTTAAAACCATTCTTGGCTTGTAGATTGTACAGAAATAGGCAGAGGCTGGAAATGACTCCAGGCTGTAGTTCACTGACTTGCGTTCTAGGAAGGCCTCAGGAGCTTCCCACTCACTCACTCACTGTGTGTGATTAGGCACTAGGGATATGACTGGACAAGATAGTCCCTGTCCTTGTGGAGCTGTCAGTATCCAGGGAACAGATATTAATAAAATATAACAAACACCAACCAGTGCTAGGAAGTTTGAAAGGAAAGAGAGGCAGTACATGTATAGTTCAGGATCTTGATGTGGTTTAGGGGTTGGGGAGGGCTAGGAAAGACTTTCCTGAAGAAGCGACATTCCAGCTGAGACACAAAGGACGAGTTGGTGTTGACTGGGGGGCGTGGAGAGGGGGAGTAAAGTGTTCTAGGGAGAGGAAGTGGCATAAACAGAGGCCTTTAGGTGGGGGTGCTGTTTGCATGTGGGACTCAAGGAGTGCCTGGTGGCAGCTAGGGGTGAAGGGGACATAGCCTTTGGAAGAGGCAGGGCTTGGGTCAGGGCAGGATTTTGGTCTTTGTCCTAAGAGCTATGGAGTCAGTGAAGAGTTTTAAGCAGAGTTTGACAAATCGTTTCTTTTCTTTCTTCTTCTTCTCCCAAATTGATTGCCTTTGTTTATTTGGGCTGCTGTGATAAAATACCATAGACAAGGTAGCTTATGAACAACAGAAATTTATTTCTCATAGTTCTGGAGGCTGGGAAGTCCAAGATGAAGACAGCAGCAGATTTGGTGTCTGGTGGGGGCTCACTCTCTGTTTTAGAGATGATGCCTTGTAGCGGTGTTCTCACAGCAGAAGGGACAGACAAGTTCCCTCTGGGGCCTCCATCTATGTATACATATATATGTGTGTATATATCCATGTATGTATACATATATATGTATGTATGTATCTAGCTACCTAGCTAAGTGTATTTTTCTCCTGAAATCCCTTTTACCACTCTGGCCTCTTCTATAAGGACCCTGATCTCATTCCAGAGGGGTCTGCCCTCATGACTTAATCACTTCCCACAAGGCTTCACTCTTACTACTATTATCTTGGGGACTAGGTCTCAACATAGGAATTTTGTGGGGACACAGACATTCAGACCGTGGCACTGATGATGGTTTAGTCATGCCTAGTATTTTTATTTAACTAGGTTGGAGGATTATCTTGTTTGTGTATGAAGGGTTGAAGTATTTATATGTTATGTACTGGCAAACATTTAAAAGTAGATAAATGCAAAGCTGAACCTATTTGGAGCAGTTGCTTCTTAATTGTTTCTGAGTTGGGGGTGCTGTGATGGATGAAGCTCACTTTGGCAGGTATGTGTGGCTGGGGCCAGCCCCACCCCGGTGGACTTCCTTTCCTGAAGGATTCCTAATGGCCCTTAGCATTGACTTCTCTCCTGCTGCACTTGCTTTGCTTGTATGCACATTGCCAGTTTCCTTCCACCATGGAGATAACAATTTCTTGAGAAATGAAAGGAGGGGTCAGATGCATTCGGGGTGGAGGTGTACCAGCTCCCACCTCACTGAGGCATCTGATGAGGGTAGACAGGTGTCCTTGGTCAGACGCTTTTACCTTTGAGGCACTGGGGTGCAGACTTCCCACCTCCAGTCAGAACAAAATATAGACAGTAACAACCCCTTCCTCTAAAGAAAGAAAAGGACCCTGCCATTGTATCTCAGACTGGGAGAGGGAAGGGCATTTTCATTAGCAATTTTCAGTTCTGGTATTTATGTAGTGGGGTCTTAATGATATTTGATTGGGTGTTTACCTATATCGTATCAGGCTAGCCCTCAGCTGGGTTTCGTTTACTTTCACAGAATGAATGTATTGTGGAAATGGTAAACTAGGTAGTCGTGACTAATTAGTGGCTTCTAACTAGTGTTCTGTGAAATACTCTGCCTAAAGTGCTCAGTTCAGTAAACATCCTGAGCACTCGGTTGTGTGAGACCATCTGAGGGGCAAGGAGCTGAGAGGATCCCTAGGGAGACTGTGGCTTTCATGATTGTCCAGTAGGCAGTAGCTCACCAGCCAGCACAGGGGGCCCTCAGTCGGCTAGAGATTCAGGATGGTTTTGCTCCCTGATCTAGTCTTTGAGCATCTGCTGTTGTGTCCTACTAGAGCATCACCTCCTAGGAGGAGATTTTGTCAGTATAGTTCACTACTGTGCCTTTCATGCTTAGAGGATGCCAGATGCTTATTGCCTAACCCAAGCTTTAAGCCCTCATATCCTCTTGGAGTGTGTGTGTGTGTGTGTGTGTGTGTGTGTGTGTGTGTGTGTGTAAACCTCTCCCTCTCTGGATCAGTGAGAGTGTTGTTAAGGTTACAAATAAGAAATGCCTAGCACACTGCCTGACTGATTGTAAGTGCTCTGTAAATGGTGGCTACACACCCCAGGCCTGCTGGCATTGCTGCCACTGTTGCCCCTCTGACTCTTTTGAGCCAGTAGGTGAAGTGTGTCTCCACTCCCTTGGGTGGAGTGGACAGGGTGCCTTTCTCAAGGGCAGTTGTGAGGGCTGAGCTGGCCGGGAAGGTGTGCTCTTCCTTCCAGGCCTCCCTCCCACAGGTCTTCTGCGGGCCCTGCAGTTGGCCCTGCTCTGACTCTTAGTTTTTGCTTCATTCTTGACCCACTCAGGCCTGGTAGAAAGAGTTATCTGTGAGCACGGCGGGGGTTCCCAAGAATCTATTATGGTTTTAGTGTCTAGGACTCTAAAGTCGTGACAGTGACTCGTCTCTTCAGCCCCTGTTTGCAGCAGAGGGCGCAAACCAGCTCAAAGCAGGCACACAGATGTTTGGTGAATTGGGAGAAGTTGTTCCTGTCCAGGAGCCATAACGTGGTATTTGTAATTTTCCTCGTTGGAAGGCATGGCTCTGTCTGCCAAGAAAGACAAGGCATGTAGTCACCATGCTGCTGCCTCACAGTGACATTTTTAAAGCCAGACCTTCTAGAGAAGGAAGCAGGAAGGAAGGCGACTTGCTTTTGGGCCCGTGGAGTTTCAGCAGTTGCGGGAAGTTGGCTGGGCTGTGTGTGTGTGTTGCTGCATTGGTGCCTGGTCTTCTTTGATAGCTCCCAGGAGCATGAGGTTGTGCTTAGCAGTTGTGTCCCATCAGTCCTCTTGGTCTCGATCAGTTCACACGCTCCCAGGGCCCCACGTATCAGAAGGGCCGCCGTTGCATAACACTGTCCATGGAAATCACTGCAGTCATGAGAGGAGCAGTGGCTTTGGCCTGTAGACTCAGAGACCTTTCACCATGACTCAGCATGGGAAGCGGAGGCTCAGAGAACTTCAGCCTGTCTTGTCCAGGGCCACCAAGGGAGCAACTGAGCCATGTCTTCTGTTATATTTAGAGTTGGGGGCTGAGGAGGGGCGCCTATCTGCATTCTCTGCCGGTCCTGGGTCCACCTGTTGCAGGGACCCAATTCTAAGGGACCTGAATCAATTCAATCTACTGCCTCAGCCTTTCAGAGGCTTCTCATTGCTTTAGGCTGAAGGCTGTGCTGCTGAACATGGCCTTCAGGGTCCCATGGGGTCTGACTCCTGTCATTTCCTCTGTTGCAGGCCCACTTGACTTCTTGCAGTTCTTCAGATGTATTGTCTTCCCGACAGGCCCTGCCTCAGGCTGTCCCTTTGCAGGGCGGGCTGTCTCTTCTCTGGTTACTTCTGTTCGTTCTTCAGAGAAGCCTTCCCTGTTCCTCCCATTCCTCACTGCCGTGCTTCTCCTTCACAGCCCTTACCACTGCCTGTAGTTACTGTATTTCTTTGTGTACTCATCTGTGGTCTAGCTCCCTTGCAAGGCTGGGAGCTCCATGGGGCAGGGACCCTGTCTGTCTTGTCTCTGGTTTACCCCAGTGCCTCACACGGCCTGGTACATAGTGGGTGTCCAGCATCGACTTGAGGAAGAGTGATGAGGGAAGGCTCCAGACCCTTTCAGGGGCAGAGTTGCTCTACTGCTCCTGCTCCTGCTGCTTGGGGCTCATCATCCTCTGCCCTGCACACCCGTGGCAGGGGGGGTCTGCCCACACCCACCTGCCTTTGTGCCACACTCCCTTCCCTAGCAGGACGATGGTTCCTCTCAGCACTGTCCTTTTTGTTTGGCCTCCTGGTGGGAGGTGAAGCCAGCTGGACTTCCTGGGTCGAGTGGGGACTTGGAGAACTTTTCTGTCTAGCTAGAGGATTGTAAACACACCAGTCAGCGCTGTGTCTAGCTAAAGGATTGTAAATGCACCAATCAGCACTCTGTAAAAACGCACCAATCAGTGCTCTGTGTCCAGCTAAAGGATTGTAAACACACCAATCAGTACTCTGTAAAATGGATCAATCAGCACTCTGTAAAATGGACCAATCAGCGCTCTGTAAAATGGACCAATGAGCAGGATGTGGGCAGGGACAAATGAGGGAATAAAAGCTGGCCACCCCACCCAGCAGCGGCAACCTGCTCGGGTCCCCTTCCATGCTGTGGAACCTTTGTTCTTTCGCTCTTCATCATAAATCTTACTGCTGCTCACTCTTTGGGTCCGTGCCACCTTTAAGAGCTGCAACACTCACCGCAAAGGTCTGCAGCTTCATTCTTGAAGTTGGCGAGACTAAGAACCCACCAGAAGGAACCAATTCTGGACACTGGGAAGGATGTTACCTTCGGACACAGTGTTGTTCACTTTTTTGACTGGGAACCGACAGCAGATAATACACCTTTGTATGTAAATGTATACTGTCAGTATGTACATAAAACTGAAAGAAAAATGTCACTGCTACATATAGTAAAGCTAAGTACTATTTTCTCTTTTAATACTAAAAAAAATGCTTGTCCCCTCAAAATTGACTTCTTATCTTCTTAATTTGATATCCTGGCCCACAGTGGGTCACCACTCAAGTTTAGAGAAGCCCATTCTGCAGGACTGCCTGGCTGTGCAGCTGGTGCTCCCTCCCTCCCTGCTGCATTTTCCTCTCCCCCTCACTGTGGGATGGGGCTGAGGTTGTTCCCTTGGGTAAGAGGCTGTCCCTCCCTGCCTTCAGCAGTTTGAAGGGTTCTCAGGAAGACAGGCAGGCAAGGCCTGTGAGTCCTCTGCCACAGGTGCCGTAGGGTGCAGTTCAAGGCTGAACCCAGCATGTCACAGCCTCCCTGGGTGCACCAGGAAGAAATGGCTTATTCTTTGCGGTGTGGGTTTTGGGAGAGGCTAGTGATGGTTTTGCTCTGAAGACGAGTTTTGACTTAAAGGGCTTGAGCGATGGAGAGGGACTGGCCAAAGGGAAATGTAAGTTCAAGGACACCCATGCAGAGGCAAGGAAGTCAGAACAGGGTGTGTCTCACAAGTGGCATGGGTTCTCATGCCAGGTGCATAGGGTGCTTAAGGGGGTGAGGATAGAAGAGGAGCTGAGGAGGCCAGGGAGCCCAGGGTGAAGGGGTGGGGGTGTCTGCCCTTTGGGCAGTAGGGAACCAGTGGAGCTGTACCTGTCTGAAAGTTCTACAACAAGAGTATTGTTTCTTAGATGTTTGGTTTATTTGAGGCTGTGCACGTTTTATTAGGTGTTTGCTCTAATGTGTTAGAATTGGAAGGATGATGTACTCATCTGTCCAGGTAAATGTCTAGAGTATTTTGGAAAGGGTCTTTCTGATGACACCCTCCCAGATCCTCAGGATCAAAAGACATCATATCAGAAGTAAATATATTCTAACTTTGGACATTAATGCTCCAAACTTGAATGCCAGCTGAAGCCTGGACCACAGCAGAAAGCAGCCTCTCAAAGTCCTTGGTTTGAAGGGCAATAGCTTTTTAGAGAGTGATTGTATTAATTTGCTCTGGCTGCTGTAACAAGTTACCATAAACTTGATGTTTTAAAACAACACATATTAATTCTCTGATAGTTTGGGAGGCCAGAAGTTCAAAATCAGCTTCACTAGGCCTAAGTTCAGGTGTCGACAGGACTGGTTTCTTTGGAGGCTCCAGGGCAAAGTCGGTTCCGGGCCTCTTCCAGCTTCTGGTGGCTGC